>NC_000014.9:35369288-35672319 GCF_000001405.40 Homo sapiens
GGGTTCCAGCACTAACCCTCGTGGCTGCCCCACGCTGGGCCCTGGCCTTTGTAAACGGTTCCTTTATTAAACTCTCTCCAAATACCCACGGCATGCGTGTGACAGCGGACTCCTTCCTGCCCGTCACACCGGCGATGTGCACAAAAAGTATCTCAGACCCTCTCCTCACCCCACCTGATCCCGTCAAAAAGGCCTCCATGAACGCCACCCTCCATGCTGGGGTCTCGGGGCCTGCAAGATCCCAGCTCAGTGGATTTGAAGGAACTGATGGGCCTGGAGTCTGGCAGTGTGAATGAATACATTCTGGGAGCAGGCCCCGCCGCAAACTCCCGTTTCAGACCTATGGATGTGCCAAGCACACTCCTCCCCAGGTGGGGCCTCCGGAGGCACCGGGGATCATATGTCCATCATGGATCCGACTGAGACCACCGCTGTACCAAGCCGGGTGCGGGGGCACCTGGGCATACAGGGCCCTGCAGGTGCGGCCGGGCTGCGGGGAGGCCCCTCCTTCCGCACCAGCTCCACCCGTGGTAGGGCAGGGATGACACTTCTCAGCTCCTGGTAGGGCAGGGATGACACTTCTCAGCTCCTGGGCCAGACGCCAATAAGCGGACCCAGGGGCCACACCCAGTCCTAGAAGGAAAAGGGGCGGCCGGAGGTCGGGGCTCACTAGGAGATGCTGCCTTTTCTGGCACACACCGCCCCGGGATGCTGACAGCCAGTCAGCTTTCGGAGAAACAGGAAACGGTCTCAGACTGGTCCACGCTTGGCACTCATGTTTTTTTCCAGGTCTAGAGAGCAGCAAGAAACGCATCCTGTTACCGTAATATGAGTCAGATGAATCCTGTTGTGTCCTCCAGGTGTCCAGATGTACAGCCCGGGTTGGGGCGGGGACTGCAACGCAAAGGAAGCTAGACTTTGCAAGCTAGAGGAGAGGTTGGGGAGCTTCTGACCAGTTCTCTAATCACCTGAATTTCACAGACCAGGAAGGGGCCTGGGAGTTGGAGCTTGCTCATGAGTTGCAGAGCCGGACCAGAACCCAGGAATCCCAGCTTGGTGCAGCGCCCTTCCCTCTAACCCTGCTCTCTTGGCACTCAGCGTTCTCTGAGCAGCTTTTCTAAACTCTTTGCCAAAAGCCTGGAGTCTCAGACCAAAGAGGCTTAGTTGAAAACTGGTTTTTCAGAATCCTTGGCATATTAAGAAAAGTAAATGCCACCTCCTCCTGAAGCTGACACTGCCTTTGCAAAAAATTTAACAGTGAGGATGAGGAAATGATGACAGTGAAAGGGATCTGACTTAACCAACTCCATCCTGCCTTTAACCTCCAAAGTGCCCCTGGTCATTCTTAGGTGTGAGCCAAGCTAACGCTGGGAGAAATTTAGTTTATAGTTTAAATGATAATAGCTCTTCTACAAAATTAAACCACTTTTGTAAAATGAATGAAAGGCCACCAGGTTAGGACGATGAGAGGGGCTTGAGCTCTGCTAAGATGTACACATAGTTCAATGATTACCAGCCATTATTCCAGAAGTCACAAGATTTGTAACTTCTCCAATTACTTTCTTATATCACATACATCGCTATTGTAGAACCTGAGACTGGCCTTCTGAGATGGCTTTTCAGCCGTTTGCATTTCTGAAGACCAGGCCTCTTGACCCAACTTTTGTGTGCCCCACACCCAGAAATGGACTCAGTGCAAGAGGACCATTTTCCACACCACTATGATCGCATCCCCAGCCATTCAGCGATACTGACTCCCTCGTCCCCTGCCCACCAAGCTATACTTGAAAAACCCTAGCCTCCGAATTTTCAGAGAGGCTGATTTAGTAATAATAAAATTGTGGTCTCTTATTTAGTCAGCTCTTGGTATATTAAACTCTTTCTCTATTGCAGTTCCCCTGTCTTGATAAATTGGCTCTATCTGGGCAGCAGGCAAGAAGAACCTGTTGGACAGTTAGTTACAAAGCCCTCCCATAGGAGGGCACTCCTATGGGAGTGGTGACCGTTCCCTTTTCTGAGATTCCATCTCTTGGGATCTTCCAAAGTAGGGTAGAAATATAGATATCAATCCACACTGACTATGTGATGCCAGTGTTCTTTCTTCCTGCACAGCACACAGCTTCCTGAGCAACTTTCCACCTCCCCATTCATGCCTAACTTGAAAAGTGTGTGCTGAATGTGGATGGACAGTCATTCTAGGGCAGAAGCCATGGAAATCCAAGGACTGGACTGAAGAAGATCTAGATGCCGCATCTCTAGGCTATCCGGCTGAGACAAGGCCTTCTGCAGCCCAGGTGGTTTGGGGGATGGGGGTGGGGGGTGTTGACTCCGATTAGTGGGACCAACTGGGATTATTTTCTAAAATGGGGCAGATAAAAGATCTTCATAGTCTCCCCACTGCCCAATAACTAATTTTTTTTTTTTGAGATGGAGTCTAGCTGTATCACCCAGGCTGGAGTGCAGTGGCACGATCTCAGTTCACTGCAACCTCTGCCTCCCGGGTTCAAGCAATTCTTGTGCCTCAGCCTCCCAAGTAGCTGGGATTACAGGCATGCAGCACCACACCTGGCTAATTTTTGTATTTTTAGTTGAGACGGGGTTTCACCATGTTGGCCAGGCTGGTCTCAAACTCCTAACCTCAAGTGATCCACCCGCCTCAGCCTCCCAAAGTGCTAGGATAACAGGTGTGAGCCACCACACCCGGCCCCAATAACTAATATTAATGGTCACATTATTGAGAGCTTATCATGGGTCAAGTGTTTGGGTTACTTCTTTCCATACCACAGGTAGGAACTACAAAATCCTTCAATTGAAAGGTAAGCAAATTGAGGCACAGAAAGGTTAGGAGATGTGCTCAAGGTCCCACAGTTGGCAGGCAGTGAGGCCAGGAGGCCACCATGAACCACTGCGTTCTATTGCCTTCCCAGAAGTGACTCCATGGTGGCCTCCCTCCCTTGATGGAGTATCAGGAGGTCCTCTGAGCAGGGACTCACAAAGCCTGCCCAGGCAAACCGGGCCCCAAGAGCAAGGAAGTTTTTCTTGGTTATTCACAGTGAGGACTCCAACAGTGAACTGTTAGAAGGCCTTGCTCAGACCAGATCCTTGGCTGCCAGTGGGCAAGAGGAGACCATAAGGAATGCGTCCAGCTGGACCCTGGGCCCACCCCTGTTGCTGCCTGCTGGAGGGTGGGTCATGGAATTCTCACCAGGAGCTTGGTTGTTCAGACTGCACAACAATGAGGCTGGGCCAGGACACGGTGGCTCACACCTGTAATCCCAGCACTTTGGGAGGCAAAGGCAGGAGGATTGCTTGAGCCAAGGAGTTCTAGACCAGCCTGGGCAACATAGTGGGACCCTGTGTCTACAATGCCAGGTGTGGTGGCATGCACCTGTAGTCCCAGCTACTCAGGAGGCTGAGATAGGATAATTGCTTGAGCCTGCAAGGTTGAGGCTGCCACAGTGAGACATGATTGCACCACTGCACTCCAGCCTGGGAGATGGCGTGTGACCCTGTCTCAAACAAAACAAAAACAATGAGGCTGGAAGGCAAGCCAAGGTGCAGGACTAGCAAGCCAGAAACAGTAGTAACTAGTGCCTTCCCCTCATCAGGATATCAGAGGCCTGGGGCACTGAGCAGTCAGAACTAAAAGTTCCCATTGAGACAAAGTGGACTTTTGAAGCAGACCATTTGGGCAGAAAGTCAACACTGTGTATGCAGCTGGCCCCTCTTTTCCCAGGGAAGGGTCCTGGCCAGCAGTCTTTCCTGCGTCTATGAATGGAGCCTTTAGCAAATAGAAAGGGCAGGTTCTGGACCAGGTGTGGTGGCTCATGCCTGTAATCCCAGAATTTTGGGAGGCACAGGCAGGAGGATTGCTTGAGCCCAAGAGTTCAAGACCAGCCTGGGCAACATAGTGTAGACCTCATATCTAAAAAAAAAAAAAAAGAAAAAGAAGAAAAAAGAAAGAGAAAGAGAGAAAGAGAAAGAAAAAGAAAGAAAGGAAGGAAGGAAGAAAGAAAGAAAGAGAAAGAAAGAAAGAAAGAGAAAGAAAAGAAAAGAAAAGAAAAGAAAAGGGAGGGAGGGAGAGAGGCCAGGCGCGGTGACTCATGTCTGTAATCCTAGCACTTTGGGAGGCTGAGGCAGGCAGATCACGAGGTGGGTGGATCACGAGGTCAGGAGTTCGAGACCAGCCTGACCAACATGGTGAAACTCCGGCTCTACCAAAATTACAAAAATTAGCCAGGCGTGGTGGTGTGCGCCTGTAATCCCAGCTACTCAGGAGGCTGAGGCAGGAGAATCGCTTGAACCCGGAAGGCGGAGGTTGCAGTGAGCAGAGATTGTGCCATTGCACTCCAGCCTGGGTGACAGAGTGAGACTCTGTCTCAAAAAAAAAAAAAGAAAAAAGAAAGAGATAGAGGACAGGCGCGGTGGCTCACGCCTATAATCCCAGCACTTTGGGAAGCTGAGGCAGGTGGATCACCTGAGACCAGGAGTTCGAGACCAGCCTGGCCAATACGGTGAAACCCCATTTCTACTAAAAATACAAAAATTAGCCGGGCGTGATGGCACGTGCCTGTGATCCCAGCTACTCAGGAGGCTGAGGCAGGAGAATTGCTTGAACCTGGGAGGTGTAGGTTGCAGTGAGCTGAGATCGTGCCACTGCACTCCAGCCTGGGCAACAAGAGTGAAACTCCGTCTCAAGAAAAAAAAAAAAAAAGAGAGAGAGAGAGAAAGAGACAGGTTCTGTTTCAAAGCCCCCTGTGCTGCACCTGAAGGAGTCCCAGCTGTTAACACCTATGTCTCCCTACCTTCTGTGATATTGACTAGGCTACCATTTTTTTTTTTTTTTTGAGACAGGGTCTCGCTCTGTCACCCAGGCTGGAGTGCGGTGGCACAATCTCAGCTCACTGCAGCCTCTATCTCCCAGGTTCAAGCAATTCTCCTGCATCAGCCTCCCAAGTAGCTGGGACTACAGTCATGTACCACCACACCCAGCTAATTCTTTTAATTCTTTTGTATTTTTTGTAGAGATGGGGTTTCACCATGTGACCCAGGCTGGTTTCGAACACTTGAGCTCAAGTGATCCTCCCTCCTTGGCCTCCCGAAGTGCTAGGATTACAGGCATGAGCCAACACACCCGGCCTGCACTCATTTCTTAATCAAGGAAAAATGAATATAAAAGGAGGCTTGGGAAATCTAGGAAGCTCATTACAGGAATTCCTCATAGAGGTGACTCAGCACTTCATTTCACAAGGAGGACCAGAAGTGTCGCAAACACAGTGTTCTTCCCTTTAAAGAGTCAGATCGAACCAAGATCTCCCTGCGTAACTCTCTCTGCAGGAGACCCGGGCTCAGTTACAAAAGACTCTGGGTTGGCAGAAACAGTGCTCCCACTTTTTCAGAAGTGATTGGGTCTGGAATGGCTGAATTACATGATGTGCTTCTGCGAGAGGATGGCAGACTAGCTGGGGCCAGGTAGCCAGGGCTACCTGAAACACCAGGAAATAACTATTAGTTCATCTCATGAACCAGACACAATAGTGCTAACAGAAAATTTGCCTCTAAATAGGTCATAAAATCCCAGCCAAACTTTCGCACACAGCATGATCAATGGCATCCTAGTTTTTTATTAATATTCATTATTAATTTAATATTGATATTATTAATATTCATTTGAGCTTATAAATGTATATAAAATGTATATGAACACTATAGTCAAGAAATTGAAAGGATGGAATGTCTTTATAGTAGCTTGTTTTGCCAAATTACCTAAGGGTTTTTTTGTTTGTTTGTTTGTTTGTTTTTGAGGCGGAGTCTTGCTCTCTCGCCAGGCTGGAGGGCAGTGGCACAATCCTGGCTCACTGCAACCTCTGCCTCCCGGGTTCAAGCGATTCTCTTGCCTCAGCCTCCCAAGTAGCTGGGACTACAGGTGCACGCCACCATGCCCAGCTAATTTTTGTATTTTTAGTAGAGCTGGAGTTTCACCATGTTGGCCAGGCTGGTCTCGAACTCTTGACCTCGTGATCTGCCCGCCTCGGCATCCCAATGTGCTGGGATTACAGGTGTGAGCCACTACACCTGGCCAAGTTTTTTTTTTTTTTTTTAAAGTACTTTCCAGGCCGGGTGAGGTGGCTCACACCTGTAATCCCAGCACTTTGAGAGGCCAAGGCAGGTGGATCATGTGAGGTCAGGAATTCGAGACCAGTCTGGCCAACATGGTGAAACCCCATCTCTATTAAAAATGCAAAAATTAGCTGGGCATGGTAGCACATGCCTGTAATCCCAGCTACTCAGGAGGCTGAGGCAGGAGAATCACTTGAACCTGGAAGGCAGAGGTTGCACTGAGTGGAGATCATGTCATTGCACTCCAGCCTGGGGAACAAAGAGCAACACTTCATCTCAAAAAAAAAAAAAAAAAAAAGGTACTTTCCCAGATGTCATGCCTTCCTTACCAATGCTGTAATTTTCCTAATTTCACGCACAGCTCACATATGGTATATTTCAGCCAGCGAGAGCTCAACTAACTGCAGAACATCCAGCACTGCATGTCATATCGTGTCACCCACTTGCTGAGGGCAAGCCCAGCATGGTTTGGTCTGAAGCTGACTTGAAGAGCTGAGAGTTCAAGACTTGTCACTGGGTCCCAAAAAGGCCCTGTGAGCCTGGAGGCAGAGCCCAGTCCTGTCTCAACCACCAGGCTCAGGACTGGGGGCTTTCCCGAGGATAGAGTCACACGCGCGCGCACACACACACACACACACACACACACACATTCATTCTGTTCGATGGTGGAGCTCCTTCCTTATGGAGAGACACTTTTCAATAAAAAGAACATATAGGTTGCTTCTCCTGCAAGCTGCACTGGCCTTCCGCTAGCCCCAGAACCTCTCCTATCCAGGCAGTCCCTCTCTGGGCTGGGAGTCACCAGCACTGTTCTTAAGAGCTCCCTGGCATTACTTTTCCCAATGACTGGAAGTTCTTGATAGCAGGAGCTATGACTGGCTTTTTGAAGTTTCTTACAGCACTTTTAAAGAAATATATACTTTAAAAAGTAACCCAATGAGCAGCAGGCACTTTATTTAATTTTAAAGTAGCTTCTAATCCTGGTTTGTGGTATAGGCATGCATTTTACAAAGTCTCGATTACGATGAACATCTTCCTTTGTATTTTAATTTCTGCCTTAGCATCCTACTGCGTCCACATTCCCATGTGTTTCAGTTACCTATTGCTGTGTAATAAACCAGCCAAAAACTCAGTGGCTTAAAACAACCTTGATTGTTTCTCATGATCCTGTGCGTTGGCAGGGAGGTTCTTTGGCTTCACGAGTATTGCTCATGTGCCTGCACTGAGCTGGGAGCTCTGTCCTTCTTCCTGTGCTGGCTAGCCAGGACTTCCTTACTGCATGGCAACCAGGCTTGGAGGGAGTGATCTGAGAGAACAGACATAAGGTGCAAGCGCTTATCAAGGCTCATCTTGTGTCATGCCTCCGAAGAGTCCCATTGGCCAAAGCCAGTCACATGGCCAAGGCCAGCCTGACCAACCTGGTGAAACCATGTCTCTACTAAAAATACAAAAAAATTAGCCAGGCTTGGTGGTTCATGCCTGTAATCCCAGCTACTTGGGAGGCTGAGGCAGGAGAATCTCTGGAACCCAGGAGGCGGAAGTTGCAGTGAGCCGAGATCGTGCCACTGCACTCCAACCGGGGTGACAGAGTGAGACTCTGTCTCAAAAACAAAACAAAACAAAGCAAAACTAGTGATGGCTGAAAAGAAGCAAGAATAAGGACAAGATACAGAGGGGCTCTCTATGAAGATATGATGATTTAGGGAGTGAGGAGCTGCAGGAACATTTCCTTATGTGCAAATTTGGAAAGTAGCAAAGGTCTTGAAACATACCTGTTGTAATTGTCAGGAGGCTACTGAATTAATGCAACAAATCTTTTGCTGATATTAATAGAATTTAAATAAAAGGGGAAATTGGACTGGTTGCCGTGGCTCACACCTGTAATCCCAGCACTTTGGGAGGCTGAAGTGGGACGACTGCTTGAGCCCAGGAGTTCAAGATCAGCCTGGGCAACATGGCGAAACCCCGTCTCTTTTTTTAAAAAAATGCAAAAATTAGCCAAGCATAGTGTGCCTATAGTCCTAGCTACTCAGGAAGCTGAGTCAGGTGGATCATTTGAGCCCAGGAGGTCGAGGCTGTGGTGGGCCGTGATCACACCACTGCACTCCAGCCTGGGCAACAGAATGAGACTCTGTCTCAAACACACAAACAAATAAATATAAAGGGAAAATAATTCACCCAGGGGCACCTCTCACTTCTCCAGATTCTCTTTGTTTTTGTTTGTTTGTTGTTGTTTTAAAGAGTTGAAGTCTCTCTACGTTGCCCAGGCTGGTCTTGAACTCCTGGGCTCAAAGGATTCTCCCACCTCGGCCTCTCAAGTAGCTGGGACTACAGGATCATGCCACCTCGTCCAGCTCAGATTCCCTCTCTGAACACCCTCAAAGGAGAGAGCCACCCACCTGCCCTGCAGCAGCAGTCAGTAATTTCTTACAAGCCTGCCACTTGTGTCTTTGTCCCAATTCTGTGGTCATAGTCCTGTATGATTTTATATAAGTGTAAGCATAGAGTACGTACATTTTATATTCATGTCTGTAATCCACCTGCGATCCCAGCACTTCGGGAGACCAAGATGGGAAAATCACTTGAGGCCAGGAGTTTGAAACCAGCCTGGGCAATACAGGAGACCCTATCTCTATTTAAAAACATTTAGTTGGTCGGGAGGGGTGGCTCACACCTGTAATCCCAGCACTTTGGGGGGCCGAGGTGAGTGGATCACCTGAGGTCGGGAGTTCAAGACCAGCCTGGCCAACATAATGAAATCCCATCTCTACTAAAAATACAAAAAATTGGCCAGGTGTGGTGGCAGGCACCTGTAATCCCAGCTTCTCGGGAGGCCGAAGCAGGAGAATCACTTAAACCCAGGTGATGGAGGTTGCAGTGAGCTGAAATAGCACCATTGCCCTCCAGCCTGGGCAACAAGAGTGAAACTCTGTCTCAAAAAAAAAAAAAAAAAAAAGTAGCCAAGCGTGGTGGCATGCACCTGTAGTCCCAGCTACTGAAGAGGCTGAGGTGGAAGAATCACTTGAACCCAGGAGTTCCAGGCTGCGGTGAGCTATGATCACACCACTGCACTCCAGCCAGGGCAACAGAGCAAGACTCTGTCTCTTAAAAAAAAGAAAAAGAAAGAAAAGAAAAAGAAAAAGCATCATAGACACCCTTCTTTCTCCTACTCTGTGTTTGCTTAACTCTCCCCCTAATGGTGGGTATACGGGCTTTCCAAACTGTTGCTATTGTAAATAGTGTTGCTATGAAAATCTTTGCAGGTCTTTTATGTTGGATTATTTCCTTGAAGATATGGCCTCTAAAATGGGCCAGGGACTATAAATATATTTCTTGTTGCAAATTTCCAAACAGTTCCTAGATCCACCCCAACAGAATAAACTCCAGATGGATTGGACTTACGTGTAAAAAAAATAAACCAAAAACCATAAAATCTGGGCTGGGCGCAGTGGCTCATGCCTGTAATACCAGCAGTTTGGGAGGTCAAGGCGGGCGGATCACTTGAGGTCAGGAGTTTGAGACCAGTGTGGCCAACATGGTAAAACCTCATCTCTACTAAAAATACAAAAATTAGCCAGGCATGGTGGCGGGTGCCTGTAATCCCAGCTACTCAGAAGGCTGAGGCACGAGAATCACTTGAACCTAGGAGGTGGAGGTTGCGTAAGCTGAGATAGTGCCACTGCACTACAGCCTGGGCAACTGAGTGAGACCCAAAAAAGTGAGTCTAAAAAAAAAAAACAAAAAAAAACCCACTATAAAATCTAAAGACAAATGAAGGAAAATAAGCAATGCAGTCACTAGAGACAAGAGGACTTTCTAATTATATAAGAAAAGATTGATAGATTTGAAAAGATTGATAGATTTGATTATAAAACACTCTGAGCCACATTGAGCTAAGAAAAGACTATTCCCTATGGCAGTGAGGGAAACTGACCTGTAAGCAGAGGCCTCTAGCCTCTCATTGCATTAAAGTGTAAACAATAAAATCTCTCAGGAATAACACAGGAGTAGTGTAAACTATATGGAACAAAACATCCTCTGCTTGGAAAATAGCATGAGATGTCTGAGATGTACTATCATGACTAAATGTTTCAATTAAGTCAGATATTGTGATTATAAAGGTTTATTTATTTATTTATTTATTTAGAGACAGGCTTTCACTCTGTTGTCCAGGCTGGAGTGTAGTGGCATGATCATAGCTCACTGTAGCCTGGAACTCCTGACCTCAAGTGATCCTCCCACCTCAGCTTCCCAAAGTGCTGGGATTACAGAGCCACCAAGCCCAGCATAAAGTTGTTAAAAATTAAAAGACTCGGCCGGGCGCAGTGGCTCATGCCTATAATCCCAGCATTTTGGAGGCAGAGGCGGGAGGATCACTTGAGGTCAGGAGTTTGCGACCAGCCTGGCCAACATGGTGAAACCCGTCCCTACTAAAAATACAAAAAATTAACTGGGCGTGGTGGCAGGCACCTGTAATTCCAGCTACTCGGGAGGCTGAGGCAGGAGAATCTCTTGAACCCGGGAGGTGTAGGTTGCAGTGAGCCAAGATCGTGCCACTGCACTGCAGCCTGGGCAATAGAGTGAGACTCCATCTCAAAAAAAAAAAAAAAATTAAAAGACTCTGGGCCAAGCACAGTAGCTCATACCTGTAATTCCAGCACTTTGGGAGGCTGAGGTGGGAGAATCGCTTGGACCTGGGAGTTCAAGACCAGCCTAGGCAACATGGTGAGATCCCATCTCTATGAAAAATTTAAAAAATTATCCGGCCGTGGTGGCACATGCCTGTAGCCCCAACTACTCAGGAGACTGAGGTGGAAGGATCACTTGAACCTGGGAGGTTGAGGCTACAGTGAGCTGTGACTTCACCACTGCACTCCAGCCTCGGCAACAAGAACAAGACTCTGTCTTGGGGGAAAATAAAAGAAAGAAAAGAAAAGAAAATCTGATAAAAGATATTGATAGACAAGATGACAAAGAGTTGAAATTCTTACTACATGATTAAATTCTAAAGAAAAATAATATTACTCCAAGATATGTAAAGAATGAGTAGAGAAATCACACATAAAAAACCACAATTGATTATGAAACTATTGAAAAAAATATAATCAGGTTGGGCGCGGTGGCTCGCACCTGTAATCTCAGCACTTTGGGAGGTGGAGGCAGGTGGATCACATGAAGCCAGGAATTCAAGACCAGGCTGGCCAACCTGGTGAAACTCCATCTCGACTAAAAATACAAAAATTAGCTGGGTGTGGTGGCGGGCGCCTGTAATCCCAGCTACTCAGGAGGCTGAGGCAGGAGAATCACCTGAACCCAGGAGGCGGAGCTTGCAGTGAGCCGAGATTGTGCCACTGCACTCCAGCCTGGGCGACAGAGCGAGATTCTGTCTCAAAAACAACAACAACAACAAAAATAAACGAAAATCTATAATCAAATAAATATACACTTAAGATATATTTTCTATCTATCAGATTAGCTGACTTTAACAACGTATAGCATCCAGGGTTACAGAAAGTGCTGATGTAGAACATGCGTCCTCACTAAGCCACTGCTGGGAGAAGGGAGACTCGCTTGTTTGTGTAAAGTGAACCGATTTCTCAATGTGTGTAAGGAACCTTAGCAACCTCATGCCCTTTGGCCCAGTAAGTGCTCTCGTAAAACTCCATTCTAAAGCTATAACTTGTGGCTGGGCATGGTGGTTCATGCCTGTAATCCCAGCACTTTAGAAGGCTGAGGCGGGTGGATTACCTGAGGTCAGGAGTTGGAGACCAGCCTGGCCAATCTGGTGAAACCCTGTTTCTACTAAAAATACAAAAATTAGCCAGGTGTGGTAGTAGGCGCCTGTAATCCCAGCTACTAGGGAGGCTGAAGCGGGAGAATCCCTTGAACCCGGGAGGGGGAGGTTGCAGTGAGCCGAGATTGTGCCACTGCACTCCAGCCAAGGTGACAGAGCAAGATTCCATCTCAAAAAAAACAAGCTATAACCTTAAATACATAAGACGCTCTATAATCAACATTATCTCTAATACCTATATCTAATACCTATCTCTAATCTATAATCAACATTATCTCTAAAAATGGAAGTGGAAATAAAATATCTAATAGAGAAGTGATCAGATAAATTACTAAATTCACTTGGCTGTTATGCAGCCATTAAGACTTATGCTTAAATAACTCTTATAATATGGAAACTACTTATATTATAATGTTACATATAAAAATGTATGCAGTGATACCTAGTAACCACTTCATTACCTGGGACTTGGCCATTTGATTTATTCCTACTGGCAGAGGTGGGTCATTTATGGTCATTTCATTATATATACACATATATATGTATATGTATATATATACACATGTGTGTGTATATATACATATATATGTATATGTATATATGTACATATATACATATATATGTATATGTATATATACATATACATATACACATATATGTGTATATATGTGTGTGTATATATACATATATATACATATACATATGTGTGTATATATGTACATATATACATATACATATATGTATACTATATATACACACACACACATATATATACACATATATATATACATATATATATATATATTTTTCGAGGCGGAGTTTCGCTCTTGTTGCCCAGGCTGGAGTGCAATGGCATGATCTCGGCTCGCGGCAACCTCCACCTCCCGGGTTCAAGTGATTCTCCTGCCTCAGCCTCCCAAGTAGCTGGGATTACAGGCATGCACCACTGTGCCAGGCTAATTTTGTATTTTTAGTAGAGACAGGGTTTCTCCATGTTGGTCAGGCTGGTCTCAAACTCCTGACCTCAGGTAATCCACCTGCCTCGGCTTCCCAAAGTGCTGGGATTACAGGTGTGAGCCACCATGCCTGGCCTCATTTTATATTTTTCAAATTTATGTTCAAATGTTCTCCAAAAGATCAGCATGACTGAAGATGTTGGATGAGGAGGAGAGAGCTGCAGGGAAGGGTGAAAGAGAGGGTAGATTTATAACCTAGAACACAAGCTGGGTGCAGTGGCTCACGTCTGTAATCCCAGCAATTTGGGAGACCAAGGTGAGAGGATTGCTTGAGTCCAGGAGTTCAAGACCAGCCTGGGCAACATAGTGAGACATTCATCTCTACAAAAAATTTTAAAAATTAGCCAGATATGGCCGGGTGCAGTGGCTCACGCCTGTAATCCCAGCACTTTGGGAGGTTGAGGCAGGCGGATCACAAGGTCAGGGGATCGAGACCATCCTGGCCAACATGGTGAAACCCCATCTCTACTAAAAATACAAAAATTGGCTGGGTGTGGTGGTGCATGCCTGTAGTCCCAGCTACTCGAGAGGCTGAGGCAGGAGAATTGCTTGAACCTGGGAGGCGGAGGTTGCAGTGAGCCGAGATTGCGCCACTGCACTCCAGCCTGGCGACAGAGTGAGACTCCGTCTCAAAAAAAAAAAAAAAAAATTAGCCAGATGTGGTGGTGCATGCCTGTAGTCCCAGCTACTCGAGACACTGAGGTGGGAGGATGGCTTGAGCCCAGGAGGTTGAGGCTGCAGCGAGCCGAGATTGCACCACTGCACTCCAGCCTGGGTGACAGAGTGAGACCCTAACTCAAAAAATAAAACAAAAATAAATATAAAACCTAGAACTCAAAAAAAGGCAGGCCATGAGGGAGACGGAAGGTGGGAAGGAAGCCGTGTAATTGGGCATGGATGTGACATTTCCAATAGAAATACTGAAAATGAGTCTTGAGTCATGCAAATATTCATTCAAAAATATTTCTCGAGCACCTAATTGGGAACACAGAGCAGAAAAGACACAGGTTCTGTCCTTTGAGGAGAGATGCCACACGGCTGACAGAAGACTGGCCACTGCATAGCCTGCGGATCGCCTGGAGGGTGCTGAGCAGGAAAAGCGAAGGCCTGTAATGGCGCCTGGAGCCCGATGACTCTTGTCAATGGGACGAAAACCAACACTGCCAAAGGCTGCACCAGGAACTGGTTGTGGAGGCATAGGTGTGTAAAAGAAGCTGGAATGGATTGGAAAGCGACACACCAAATTCAGGAAAAGTGCTACCTGCAAAAATGGGAGGGGAAAGGAATGGAACCAGGAGTGGTCATTAAAAGGGAAAAAGGATTGCAAGCAAATGGCACAAAATGTGATATTTCTGGGGGGAATAAATGCATTGGTTGAGATATGTACAAACGTGGTGGGATCAAGGAGAAGGAGCACTTAGAAACCTGAGGAGGGAGATAGGGGACCTGCAGGCTGAGGAGGGGTTGGCCAGCCCCAGTGGGACAAGATGGCTGGTGGATGGGGTTCAGAGGACTTTCAGGCAGAAGCACCCCAAAAGTAAGTTTGTGTCTGCTGTGGGAAAGACTGTGGCAAGCAGGTGTGGCAGATGCATGAAAGGCCTGGGCACCCTGGAAGGACATCAGGCTTCATGCTGAGGGAGATGGGAAGCTTGTTGTGGGACAGTATGAAGGGTAAACTGAGGGAGGGAGGGGCCTACAGAGCCAGGACCTTCCTCAAGAGCCCTGGAAGCTTGGAGGCCAACACACCCAGCTGCCGTCTGCAGCGGCATTGGATGCAGCACAAATGGGGGAGAAGCCCTGGGGAGCAGTTTCAGGAGAGGAAGAGGGTGGGGAAAGGGCTCAGCAAGTTGGGGAACCAGTGGAATGGTGACAAGGCCAGGTGGAGGCTGGCTGTATTTTGGGGGCATCCAGTGCCCCATCCTAAGAGCACCCTGACCTCCTTGGAGGAGATCGCCTTATGCCCGCTTCCCTCAAGGAGGGCCAAAGGGGTCATATCCTTCCCAGCCAGCCCCAACCTGGGACAGGAATGTGGCGTCCCCTGGCCAATTGGTTGTTCTTGCCTAGGGCTTTGGCTCCTGAGTGAGTGAGATGAGGACACTGGTGGTAAGAGGTCCTTTATAAAAGCAGGTGCGGCAGCAGTGGCTGTGGCCCCGGGGTCCTGGCCGAGACTGGCTGACTGGCTTCCGTCCCCAGAGCCCTCACTTCCTGATTTTCCCAAGCCTGGTTTCCCCCTGTCTATTGTCCATTCTGTGAGCTCTCCCCACTGTGGACTTCCATTAAATTCCCCGCTGCTTAAACTAGCCAGAGTCAGTTTCCTGCTCCCAGACACAAGCATGGGCCTGAGTCAGCCGCTCAACTGACGTCCGTGGAGTCAGCTGGAGTCTCTGCAGTTTGCTCCTCACAGTGCATCTTGAACCTGATTCATTCCCCTGACCTCTCTCCAGATCTGCATTTTCTCACTCCTGGGCAGCTGCAGCTGCTTCCAGCCTGGGCTTCCTCCCAGCTCTCTACATCCTAAGTTCTCTTAAGTATCACTGCTGGACTTTGGTCCTGCAGACACCCCTGCTCAAGAAGTTCATGTGGCTCCCGCCGCCCAGTGGTCAAGTCCAGCGTCCATAGCCTTCTGTAGCCCGGCCCTGCCCCCTGCCCCGTGACTGGAGAAGCCCTGTGTTCTTGAGGGGCTCCAGGCGGGTCACCTTGCAGCCTTCTCCCAATGGAAAGCCTGTCCTAACCTTAGTGAGAGTTCAGGGTTGGGGGTTGGCTCTCTGGATCTGCGTCAGTGCTCCAAGCAACTGCCTTAGTGGGGCAGTCACTGACCCCCCTGGAGTTGCTGCCATCTACAGAAGGCCTGGGCTGGGTCAGGTGGCCGCTGGCCGTTCCTCACAGCGGAACGGATGCTCTGCAAAGGCCCTCCTGACTTTTGTTCACTTCGTCCCTTTGTGAGGCCCCAGCCCTGGCAGAGGTCATGGAGGGACCATCCAAAGGCCCCGCCTTCTCCACCTTCATCATTGCAATCCCATGAGCCAGGTGGGCACAGGTGGCTTGCACTGTGGAACCTCAGGAAAAAGGAGACAGGCATTGATGCCAGCCCCACAGAGGCACAGAGCTCTTCCTTGGCGCCTGCTGTGTGGACAAAGGCCTGGCCAGTGTGCGGAGTCTGGGGTTCTGTGATGCCACAGGCCCTGCCTCTGTGTGAGCTGCTGCCTGCAGGGCCTCCCTCACCCTGCAGCCTCATCACCTCCTGACCATTGCAGGCAACCGACCAAGCTCTCGTGTGAGGTGGGCACCCCCTGGGCTGTCTCTCCAGCTTACAAGAATGGCCCCCTTTCAAGTCATTGCCTTGAGCTGTCTAGACCCATCCAGGCAGGGTTTTAGCACAAGGCTCTCAGGAGTTAAACATGCCATGAAACATGCCCCACTTCCCAGGATATAATTAGACCAGAGTCCTCTCCCTGGGAGTGTGTGCGTGTCAGAGAGAGACAAAGAGAAAGAGAGGGAGGGAGGAAGGGAGGGAGGGAGGCGGAGATTGGCTGAGGGCCTGTCTCTGGTTCGGGGCCTGTCACCCATGAGCAGCTTGGCTCCCCGCTGAGTTCCCTCGCCTCTTGCCATTGGCAAGACACACGGAGGAAGGCTCCTGCAGAGAAGACAGACAGGCAAAGCTCCTCAGAGGGGAGCTGGCCAGGAGGCCCAGGCCTCACCCACCCCGTCACTGTCCTGGCTCTGAGGCCATCCTCACCCCTTGCTGCAGGGGCTTACCCATCTCCACTGGGTTAGGCTGTGTGCCCGACTGGCCTTTTTCCTCTGGGTATTTGGGGCATGCTCACCTGTGGACTAATGTTTTTGAGAACAAATTTTAAATGTTAATAGCCTTATTTTTTTTTTCTGATAAAGTAATAGAGGAAAACATTAAAAAGAGAGTAAATCTCCCTGCTTTGTTTTGCTTTGAGGGTCTGGCTCTGTTGCCCAGGCTGGAGTGCAGTGGCGCGATCTCAGCTCACTGCAGCCTTGACCTCCTGGGCTCAAGGGATGCTCTCACCTCAGCCTCTGGGACTAAAGGCATGTGCCACGACACTCAGCTAATTTTGTTTAGTTTTCGTAGAGACGAGGTCTCACTATGTTATCCAGGCTGGTCTCAAACTCCTGGGCTCAAGCAATCCTCCCACCTTGGCCTCCCAAAGTTCTGAGATTACAGGCAGGAGCCAAGGTGACTGGCCTATTGTTAGTTTTTTAAAGTGTGATTGTAGTATTAAGTTATAGTTTTATTTTTGTTTTTTAAAGAAGGTGGGGGGAGGGAAAGTGAGGAAAGGGGTAAAGGTTATATTTTTAAAGCATAGTCCTCCTGTTTTAGGGATAAGTACTAAAATAGGGATGACTTTACATGATATGACGACTGCTGCTTACTTTTGAAGCAGCTGTGTTGTCTAAGACATACCCTGGGGTTCTTTGTCTTGTGCCAGGAAAATTTAGGGCACGGACACACACGAGGAGTTTAGGAGTGGAGGTTTAATAAGCAGAAGAGAAGAGAAAGAGAAACAGTACTCTACGAGAGAGAAAGGTCTCCCAGTGGAAAAGACCAGCGGGCAGCAGATGTGCCACATTTTAAAGGCAGGTTTGAGGAGACGGTGTCTGATTTACATAGGGCTCACAGATTGGTTCAATCAAGTATGAGATTTACATAGCACCGGGAATGCTGGACGCCCTGCCCTAATCTTATTATGTAAATGAACTCTCCCGTTGACCAGCGCCATGTTGTCTGCTCCTTACTGTACGCCTGGCGGATAAAGAGAAAAGAAGATGGAGCCGCCATCTTGAACATGATTGGCACAATTGCTGGCATCTATGTCCCTGCAGCTAGATTTTATAGGCTGCTCTTTGTTAGAAAGGAAAATAAGTTGGGGCTGCTTTTCATTAAAAGGAAAATTTGCCGAGGACTTCCCTACCCTCACTATCTGCCTAAGTAATTTCTTAACTCCTGTATTACTTTGAAATGGGGAGAGGGAGATGGATAAAAGTATAAATGAAATAAAATTGCTCTGAGGATACAGGAAAAAAACAAACCAAAGTGCTCCCCCTATTTTCTTACTAAACAACACAGATACTTCAGTGACCAGATGTGTGGGGGTATCTCCCCATATACCAAGCAAGCAGCAGAATTCAGCTCAATTCTGACACTGTCTACCTAGGAAACAGCCTCAGATCCCGCGGATTGGAGGCTTAGTCCCACAAGACTTCAGACGCTAATCGCGAGCCCCAGGTTGTTTTGCTTGTGATTCTGACTGACAGCTTTAAATCTGGGTTCCCAAGACCCTCTCCTTGAGTTCAATTAATTTGCTAGAGTGGCTCACAGAACTCGGATAAACACTTTACTTATATTATCGGTTTATGATAAGGGATATTACAAAGGATGCAGATAAAGAGATGCACAGGGCCAGGCATGTGGAATGGGGCACGCAGATTCCATGCCCTCCCCGGGCACATCACCCTCCAGAAACCTCCATGTGTTCAGCTGCTTGGAGGCTCCCTGAACCCCATCTTTTTGGCTTGTATGGAAGCGTCATTACGTAGGCCTGATTGATTAAACCGTGGCCATTGGTGATCAACTTGACCTTCAGCCCCTCTCCCTTCCCTGGAGGTTAGGCAGGGGTGGGACTGAAAGTCCCAACCCTCTGATCCTTCCCTGGTCTTTCCAGTGACCAGCAAGCTGCTGGGAGTGGCCAGCCAACAGTCAACTCATTCGTATACAGAAAATGGCATGTCACTTTAGAGATTCTAGGATTTTAGGAGTTGTATGCCAGGAAACTGGATGAAGACCAAATATATGCATACTTTTTTTTAAAAAAATGTAAGCCTTTATTTGCTTATTTTGCAAATAAAGCTGGCTGAGTTGGTTGCTTTTTGGTGGTTAGTCAAAGAGACCAAATCCCATATCCTCATCCAACTCCTCCGACTCCTCGTTTTCAAACTTAGTTGGGGCTGCCGCAGCAGCAGGAGCAGCCGTGGCGGTAGTGGCCACAGGGGCAGCAGCCACAAAGGCAGATGGATCAGCCAAGAAGGTCTTGATCTTTTCAGCAGGCGGGAAGGTGTAATCAGTCTCCACAGATAGAGCCAGGCATCCTTTGTACCCACTGATGATAGAAGGGGGTACTGATGCAACAGGTGGGTAGCCAGTTTGCAGACACACTGGCAACATTGCGGACACCCTCCAGGAAGCCAGAATACAGAGTTTCTTCTGTGATGTCAAGCACTTCAGGGTTGTAGATACTACCATTGTTGAACACCTGCTGGATGACCAGCCCAAAGGAGAAGGGAGAGATGTTCGGCGTGTTCAGCAGTGTGGCTTCGCTGGCTCCCACTCTGTCTCCAGTCTTGATCAGCTGCACATCACTCAGGATTTCAGTGGTGCCCCTGGAGATTTTAGTGGTAATGCCTAAAGCCTGGAAAAAAGAAATCTTCTCGGGTCCCAGACCAGTGTTCTGGGCTGGTACAGTGACTTCACATGGGCCAATGGCACCAGCACGGGTGGCAGCTGGCACCTTATTGGCCAGCAGCAGATCCCTGACCTCAGTGAGGTCCTCCTTGGTGAACGCAAAGCCCACATTCCCCTGCAGAGGAGGCAACAGTTTCTCCAGAGCTGGGCTGTTTTCCAGTTGTCCTTGGGTGGCCTTGCGCATCATGGGGTTCCTGCCCATTGGCACCACGGCCTTCCCTTGGAGGGACAGGTGGATCTACTGTGTCTGCTTGGAGCCCACAGTGTCTGCTCCCATGATGAAACATTTCAGATAATTATCCAAAAGCTGGATGATCTTAAGGAAGTAGTTAGACTTCCAGGTCGCCCTGTCTTCCCTGGGCATCACGGCGGTGTGTCAGGGATGGCCACGCAGGCCAACACGATGTCACTTCCACGAGGATGCCTGGTGAGAGAAGGCCCAAATATATATTTCACAATATCACAATTGCCCGTGAGCTGATAACGAAGCTAGAGATGATATCTATTTTAATATTGTGTCTACATTTGTGTATATTTGAACTTCTAAATAATACTTTTTTTAAAACACCATAGAAGACAACCACCCAGCAAAAACCGCTGTTGACATCTTGGGACATTTGTCACCTGAACCCATTTCCTATGTTTAGGGGATGCACTGTCTTGAAGCACAAATGCAAGACAATCACTTTCCCAGCCTCCCTTGTGTGGCATCTGACGGAGGCTGCCCAGACCTTGAATCAGAGGCTAACAATGGGAAAACCTGTATGCATTCTGGGCACAGCATGAGGGGTTGCGGGAGGTCGGCTGCAGGAGTGAGCTCAGCGGATCTCTCTTGCTCTCCAGGTCACCCGGAGAATCTTAAGGCTTCCCCAAATCCTCTTCACAAATCTCTTTTTGTTGTTGTTATTGTTGTTGTTGTTGTCGAGACGGAATCTCACGCACAATCTCGGCTCACTGCAACCTCCACTTCCTGGGTTCAAGTGATTCTCCTGCCTCAGCCTCCCTCCTGAGTAACTGGGGTTACAGGTGCCCGCCACCACACCGGATAGTTTTTTGTATTTTTAGTAGAGATGGGGTTTTGTCATGTTGGCCAGGATGGTCTCGAACTCCTCACCTTAAGTGATCCACCCACCTCGGCCTCCCAAAGTCATGGGATTACAGGCGTGAGCCACCATGCCTGGCCCACAAATCTCCTTTCTGTCCAAAGTATCCAGCATTAGTTTCTTTGGCTTATAACCAAGAATCTTGGTGGGGAGAACATGTTGGCATGGTTGTGTGTTTATTGGTAGGATTGCACTATTCTTTTATTTATTTATTTATCTATTTATTTATTTTTTGAAAAGGAGTCTCGCTCAGTCCCCCCAGCTGGAGTGCAGTGGCATGATCTCAGCTCACTGTAATTTCCACCTCCTCCGTTCAAATCATTCTCCTGCCTCAGCCTCCCAAGTAGCTGGGACTACAGGTGCGTGCCACCATGCCAGGCTAATTTTTGTATTTTTGGTAGAGATGGGGTTTCACTGTGTTGGCCAGGCTGGTCTCAAACTCCTGACCTCAGGTGATCCACCTGCCTTGGCCTCCCAAAGTGCTGGGATTACAGGCGTGAGCCCCAGGCCCAGCCAGGATTGCACTATTCTAACGGTGTCGAGCTTTCCCCTTCTGCTGAAGAGCAAAGCACAAGGAGGGGCGTTTGCGGGGATGCAGCCTTCCTCCCTCCCTCATTCTCTCCCAGCTAGTGCTGCCACTAGAGCAAGGCTCTCTCCTTCCCCGCCTTTCCCACCAGTGGTAGAAGAAAAGGAAAGCATTTATAATAAAGCCCACTTTCTGCATTACAGAGGCAGGATGGGGAGGGCTGAGGGCCCAAGGTTCTGCCTGATTTGCTGACCCCCTCACAGAGGGCTCCAGGCAAGGCCCCAGGAGGGGGTGTTCATCTCTCTCTAACCAGGTCGGGCTTCCCTACTGAGTTGCATCCCCATTACCGTCAGCGATCTGCCACCTGGCCCACTGCTGACCACAGGAGCAGAGGCTTCTCTCACCTTCCATGACTTGAGAGGACTCCCAGAGGTCCAGGGCCTTCCAGGCTTGCACCTGGGGTGGGCCCATGACAGCCCTCCGTTTCATGCCTCCACCTGGTGGGTCATGCCCCCCAGCCTCAAGGCAGCTCCCGTGGGTCAGGGCTGCGCTGAGCAGGTGTTGGAGGCTGGGAAGGGCCTGGTGAAGGGGGCTCCCCACTGGCAAGGGACAAAGTCAGGGAGGGTCAAGAGGAAGACTAGATGTTCCAGTTTGTCCTTAGAGGATCTGGTTCCTCAGGTCCTGGCCACCCTATGAGTAGGGGAACAGGAAGTTTTGGCTTGCAGGGAACAACGTGCCTACAGGGAGGGCTGTCAGATGCTCTTCACATTAGTGATAATTAATCATCCTAATTGAAGCTGTCACCTACTGAGTGCCTACTATGTGTCTGGCACTTTGCCAGAGCTTTACAGACATCATGAGTCATAGCTAAGCCTCACAGCCACTCTGCAAGGCAGCTGCGGTCACCCTGCTTTAGAGATGAGGAATTGAGTCTCAGAGAGGTTAAGCCACTAGCCCAGGGTTACATGGTGTAGAGAGTAGGGCCTCCAGTGGGAGCCAGGTTGGTCTGAACCTCCAATGGAGAATGATCGATTGCTCTGAAGGCTGTCTCTGTCATGAGAGCCACCCAGGGTGTTCCTGGTTGTTGGCCTTCCCAGGACCTGGCCTTCCCAGGTCTCCCCTCAGACAGGCCTCGCAGGCGTCTTCATTCTATACCCATCTCCACCCCAGTGGGTCAGCTGGAAATGGGCTCAAAACTTAATCACACAATTACCTCAGCCGTGGCTTCCCTGCAGCCTCTGAGGAGGCAGAGTTTTTTCTCCTTTGCTGGTAGGTTTCTGCTGTCAAAAACCATCCCAGGGCTGGGTGTGGTGGCTCACACTTGTAATCCCAGCACATTGGGAGGCCAAGGCAGGAGGATCACTTGAGGTCAGGAGTTCGAGACCAACCTGGCCAACATGGTGAAACCCCATCTCTACTAAAAATACAAAAATTAGGTGCACATAGTGGCACATGCCTGTAATCCCAGCTACTCGGGAGGCTGAGGCAGGAGAATCACTTGAACCTGGGAGGTGGAGGTTGCAGTGAGCCAAGATTGCGCCACTGCACTCCAGCCTGGGCAACAGAGTAAGACTCTTTCTCAAAAAAAAAAAAAATTAGCTGGGCTTGGTGACATGCACCTGGGATCCCACACACTCGGAAGGCTGAGGTGGGAGGATCATTTAAGCCCAGGAGGCTGAGGCTGCAGTGAGCCATGATTGTGCCACTGCACTCTAGCCTAGGTGACAGAGTGAGACCCTATCTCCAAAATGAAAAAAAGAAAAAAAAACCCTCCTGGGATAGTATCCTGAGCTGGGACCAGAGCTACCTGGAGCCTCTTTGCCAGCAGCCAAGTCTTGGGTGTCAAGATGGCACCTAAGGCTATTACAATGAACTGAATGTTAGTGTCCCTTCAAAATCCATATGTTGAAATCTGAATCCCCAAGGTGATGGTGTCAGGTGGGGCCTTGGGAAGTGATTAGGTCATAAGGATGGAGCCCTCCTGAATGGGATTAGTTCCCTTATAGAAGAAGCCCCAGCAAGCTAGCTGGCCCTTTCCACCACGTGCAGACACAGCAAGAAGGCCTCATCTTCAAATAGAAAAGCTGGCCCTCACCAGACACAGAATCTGCTAGCATCTTGATCTTGGACTTTGCAGCCTCCAAAACTGTGGCAAAATAAATTTCTTTCTTTCTTTTTTTTTTTTTCTTTTTGAGACAGAGTCTTGCCCTGTCACCCAGGCTGGAGTGCAATGGTGCGATCTCGGATCACTGCAACCTCCGCCTCCCAGGTTCAAGCACTTCTCCTGCTTCAGCCTCCCAAATAGCTGGGATTATAGGCTCGTGCCACCATGCCCGGCTAATTTTTTGTATCTTTAGTAGAGACAGGGTTTCACCATGTTGGCCAGGCTGGTCTTGAACTCCTGACCTCGTGATCTGCCCACCCTGGCCTCCCAAAGTGCTGGGATTACAGGGGTGAGCCACCACGCCCAGCCGGAGAAATAAATTTCTATTGTTCATAAGCAACCCAGTCTATGGAATTCGGCTGTAGCAGCCTGAACAGTCTAAGACAGCTGTGCTCATGCCATTTCCTATGGACTTACAGCATCTGTCACTTACTTTTCACACACTCCTATGAGGTATCTTTTCAATGTTTCCTATGAGAAAAATTTTACACAATAGAAACAGTAGCAAATGACTTCTCAGAGTAAAATAAGTTTATTTGGTGGCCAGGGCCATGTAAGATTAACACCAGCTGCACTGGAAAATGGCAGCTGTTGAGAAGCCTTGAACATCTTCAGTAAAATGAGGAGGCTCACCCTGACCAGTCTGGGAACAAAGAGCTTTGGAGCCAAAGGGAGCAGGTTTGAGTCCCAGAATGGCCACTTTTCTTGGTTTCATCACCTCAGACAAGTTACCAAGCCTCTTTGAACCTTGGTTTCCTCAATAATGTCCCCCTGTGATGATCACATATGCCTGGCATATAGTCATTGTTTCATAAATGACACCTACTACCATTATTATTCACCCATAGCTGGATTAGCTGGGTCCTCTGCAGTGTGAATTATAGTGTGATGGGATTGGAGCTAAGGCTCGTCAGTGATAGGTGAGATTCTAAAACAGGTAAGGCTTGTTTTTTTGTTTGTTTGTTTTTTGAGACCGAGTCTCGCTCTGTCGCCCAGGCTGGAGTGCAGTGGTGGATCTCAGCTCACCGCAACCTCCGCCTCCTGGGTTCAAGCGATTCTCCTGCCTCAGCCTCCCAAGTGGCGGGGATTACAGGCGCCCGCCACCAAGCCCAGCTAATTTGTTGTCTTTTTTTAAGTAGAGACGGGGTTTCACCGTGTTAGCCAGGATGGTTTCGATCTCCTGACCTTGTGATCCGCCTGCCTCGCCCTCCCAAAGCACTGGGATTACAGGCGTGAGCCACCCAGACTGGCCCGAGGCTTGTTTTTTAATGCACCCCTCCTCCATGCTCCCTGTCCTGCTTAGCAGACCTCCAACATTGTCGTGGGTCCATTTCCTGAATTTTTAACTTTTTAAATGTGTTGAAAGATACTTGACATGTGTCCTAGCCCTCAGGTCTTTAGGCCTAATGACTAGTCAGATTGAGGCAGAAACTATCCCCTTCCACCTCCAAGTTTATTGTCTGCATTAACATGACTTTTTTTCTCCCACTGTCTTTGGTACAATAACTTTACTATTCCAAGAGTCTCTTGCCCAGGCAAATAACTTCATTGTTTATTACAGGAATTTCCCAAGAGGCCCATCAACTCTTCAATAGGCGAGCTTTATTTAATAGAAGCATCAACAGACATTTCACACCTAAGACATTTCAAACCCCTCGCCTAGCTGTTGCCACCAACCTGAAACTACTGTATCATTATCTCCCCCAATCCCAAGCAAGCCCCTGCATTGAAAGGCCCTCCTTAAACCAATCTTGAAATTCTCAGTGAGATCCTAGCCTCTCCACTTCCCCTGGCAGCCGCGATGGAGGCTCTGTGCAGGGGCTATTCTCTCCCCTCCATAAGCAATGAACTCAGCTCTGCCTTCCACCATCTTCCCAGAACAGAAATTCTGGTGCGCTCCTTCCAGAAAGTCCTTTCGGTGTGACTGACCCAATCTGAGGAGCCGTGAAAGCCAGGAGGGGAGGTCCCAGGGCCAGGTTGGCTCTGGGTGTCCTTTCCATTCTTCCCTGTGTGTGGAGCTGGTCCCGCTGTGGGGACCATGGGTAGAGGGCAACGTGCACAAGAGCCCCTTGAGGACATCCTTGCTGCACACATTTCAGGCCTGGGAAGTTGTGCACACACAGACAGAACCCTTCATGGTCAGTCTGCTGGGGGTACTGTTATTCCCGGTTCTAGCCTCTAAGAAATGAAAGCTTCCACTCCCGTTTGACTTGTAGATTGCAGGATATTTGTGTGTCCAAGGCTTGAGTCTCTCTTTCAAACCAGAGGTTTACTCTGTGTTTTGAGAAAAGAATGACTGAATTTATGTACACGGAAGAGTCTATAGAGCCAGCTGTCCAGTAGCTAGGAAACATACAGTGGGCCACGTGGCAAGGTCCTGCCTTGGGAAATTGCCTCTCAATGACGGAGGTGGGAAGGCCTGCGAAGGAGAATGTTAAAAATCAACTTGAAACTAAGTTGGTATTAAAACACTTCACCTGAAAGAAGTTCATTCATTGATCCTTAAAAAGTTGCATTTGCGGCTGGGCGCGGTAGCTCACGCCTGTAATCCCAGCACTTTGGGAGGCCGAGGCAGGCAGATCACAAGGTCAGGAGATCGAGACCATCCTGGCGAATATGGTGACACCCCACCTCTCCTAAAAATACAAAAAAAAATTAGCCGGGTGTGGTGGCGGGCACCTGTAGTCCCAGCTACTCGGAATGGCGTGAACCCGGGAGATGGAACTTGCAGTGAGCAGAGATAGCGCCACCGCACTCTAGCCTGGGCGACAGAGCAAGACTCCGTCTCAAAAAAAAAAAAAAAAAAAAAAAAAAAAGTTGCATTTGCTTGTTTGTTTGGGGCATCCCCAGAGATGAATATTAAAATACTGTTAAGTTTTTAAAAGTCTGACCAAAATGTTTAATGTGGTGACTTTGGGTAGACCTGAGCCTCGGTGAGAACCAAACCCAGACCACACAACTGGAAACTCCTGGAAGTAGACGCGCCTCACTTCCTTAATTTAGCACCTTATGAAACAATAGTAAAGATTTCAGCCGGGCGCGGTGGCTCAAGTCTGTAATCCCAGTACTTTGGGAGGCCGAGGCGGGCGGATCACGAGGTTAGGAGATCGAAACCATCCTGGCTAACACGGCGAAACCTGGTGTCTACTAAAAATACAAAAAATTAGCCTGGTGTGGTGGTGGGCACCTGTAGTCCCAGCAATTCCGGAGGCTGAGGCAGGAGAAGGGCGTGAACCCAGGAGGCGGAGTTTGCAGTGAGCCGAGATCGCTCCGCTGCACTCCAGGCTGGGCGACAGAGTGAGACTCTGTCTCAAAAAAAAAAAAAAAGATTTCAGAGAAGATGAAGTAGGATACCTGTCTGAGTCCCACAGGATTGTTCAGTTTACTGGGGTCTCCTGAGGTCTCAGAACTTGCATTTTCTGCATTATTATATAGTTTCCATGAGACAGTATTTCCATTAACATAAAACATCAGAAATTCAAACCATCCTTTGTAATATTTGCCCAGTTTTGGTAGTATAGCAACAGATACATAAGGAACATATTGACGATTGATGACCTGAAAACACTTTTGTTAATTCCTGTGTGTGCTTGGTAGCTGCTGCTTTTTTTTTTTTTTTTTTTTCCCTGACTGGGCTTTGCTCTGTTGCCCGGGCTGGCACCATCTTGGCTCACTGCAACCTCCACCTCCTGGGCTCAAGCAATCTTACCGCCTCAGCCTCCTGAGTAGCTGGTGTCAGGCCTCTGAGCCCAGGCCAGGCCGTCGCATCCCCTGTGACTTGCACGTATACATCCAGATGGCCTGAAGTAACTGAAGATCCACAAAAGAAGTAAAAACAGCCTCAACTGATGACATTCCACCATTGTGATTTGTTCCTGCCCCACCCTAACTGATCAATGTACTTTGTAATCTCCCCCACCCTTAAGAAGGTACTTTGTAGTCTCCCCCACCCTTAAGAAGGTTCTTTGTAATTCTCCCCACCCTTGAGAATGTACTTTGTGAGATCCACCCCTGCCCACCAGAGAACAACCCCCTTTGACTGTAATTTTCCATTACCTTCCCAAATCCTATAAAACGGCCCCACCCCTATCTCCCTTCGCTGACTCTCTTTTCGGACTCAGCCCGCCTGCACCCAGGTGAAATAAACAGCCATTTTGCTCACACAAAGCCTGTTTGGTGGTCTCTTCACACGGACGTGCATGAAAGCTGGGACTGCAGGTGCGCACCACCACTCCCAGCTAATTTTTTGTATTTTTGCAGAGATGGGGTTTCACTGTGTTGTCCAGGCTGGTCTCGAACTCCTGGGCTCAAGCAGTCTGCACACCTCAGACTTCCAAAGTGCTCGGATAACAGGAGTGAGCCAGTGTGCCTGGCCTGGAAGCTGCTTTATCCCCAGGTTAGGAATATATACCTAGAGCCTGGCTCTGCCATTTACTGGCTGTGTGACCCAGGCTGACTTTCTTTCTTTCTTTCTTTTTTGTTTTTTGAGACAGAGTTTCACTCTTGTTGCCCAGGCTGGAGTGCAATGGCACGATCTCCACTCACTGCAACCTCTGCCTTCTGGATTCAAGTGATTCTCCTGCCTCAGTCTCCCAAGTAGCTGGGATTACAGGCACGTACCACCAGGCCTGGCTACTTTTTGTATTTTTAGTAGAGATGGGGTTTCACCATGTTGGCCAGGCTGATCTCAAACTCCTGACCTCTGGTGATCCGCCTGTCTCAGCCTCCCAAAGTGCTGGGATTACAGGTGTGAGCCACCGTGCCTGGCCTTAATGTATTTTTTTTTGTAGAGATGGGCTCTCCCTATATTTCCCAGGCTGGTCTTGACCTCCTGGGCTCAAATGATCCTCCTGCCTCAGCTTCTCAAAGTGCTGGGATTATAGGCATGAGCCCCCGCACCTGGTCACACTTACCTGGATTGCTGGCCGGTTTGTGGGCCTTGGCCCTATTTTCATGTCAGTGTTCAGAGTCCAGTCCTACTTGTCAATGACTCAGATTGGCTGATGCTGGGTCATACTTCCTGCCCCCTGTGAAAAGGGTGCCTGCCACAGTCACTTGGGGCATGGGATAAGATAATATAGTACTGGCAGGTAAATAGCTAACTGGAATATGAGCTCGGGTCCCGTCTCTCCCACCTGCACTCCGCGCTGGTGCCTGGGCTCAGCTCCCGTGCTATGGGCTTTCATCTCATCACGCCTTTCCATGCAGTTGTCTGTCTCCCTCTCCACCTAAGCAAGGAGCTCTTAGGGGCAGAGGCCATGACTTATTCCTCTTATTCCTGCCCTTGGCAGGAGGCCTGGAGAATAGTTCTTTTTGATGCAAATGAAGGAATGGGTTGGAGAGTCGTACTTCTCTAGGAGGGAAACACAGGTGAGGTCCAGTTTCAGTTTCTGTAATGCTCTCTTTCAATGGGGAAACAGCCTAGGATATTCTTGTCCAGGCACCAGAGGTTGGGGAATGTTTCTTGGGCATGTTTCAGACTGGAGTTCCACAACTCAGACTTTTCTTGCCAAATGAAATTTCAGCTACACTTAAGGCAAGTTAATGAAAATCTGGCAGAAAGCTGGGGGTGGGGGAGTGGGTGGGTACGGGGGTGGGAAGTCTTGGGGAAGGAAGACCCATCTGACAGACTCAATTCTGTCACCACTTAATCACTTCCAGTAGCAACTGAACTTTCCATGCAAATCCACCCAAGCTCCCAGCCTTCTGAATTTCCAGGCCCCAGGGGAAGGTCTTCAGATTGCTCAGACTAGTTTGTTCCCTCTTTAAAGAAAAATCCTTACTTTCTGGAAGGACTTGGTACACGTGGCCGCTACAGGAAATGTATCCTGATGGATAAGGCAGGCAGAAGGAATCAAGGAACTGAATTCAAGGAAGTTGCTGATGTGATATATTATTTCCCCCTCATATCACTTCCCCTTTCTCTAGGCACTCTTAGTCCTACCTGTCCCCACACAATCTGTAACTTCTTGGAGGAAATCAAAGTGCATTAAAGAAGACTCTCCGTCTGCTGGCCTGTTTACTTTGAGATCTTTTGCTCTTGTTTGCTTAGGAATTTGAAGATTTTCTACAGATTAGAATGTTTCCCTTCTAAAATTTTCCTTTAGGGAACTCCAGGCTCCAGTCACCCAACCAACAGGCAGGACAGAAAGATAATAAATTTAAAACAAAAAGAAAAGAAAAGCAGGGAGGGCTGGGTGTGGTGGGTCACACCTGTAATCCCAGGACTGTGGGAGGCCAAGGCAGGTGGATCACTTGAGGTCAGGAGTTCGAGACCAGCCTGGCCAACACGGCGAAACCCCATCTCCACTAAAAATATAAAAATTAGCCGGGTGTAGTGGTGTGCACCTGTAGTCCCAGCTACTCGGGAGGCTGAGGCAGGAGAATTGCTTGAACCCAGGAGGCGGAGGTTACAGTGAGCCGAGATCATGCCACTGCACTCCAGCCTGGGCAAGAGAGTGAGACCCTATCACACACACACAAAAAAAAGGTGGGGGGGGGGATGAGAAATGGGGAGAAGAGCTAGAGAGTAAGGAACCGGGGCAGCCTTCAGTGCTTAACTGGGCCCAGCTACCTCGAGATTTATGCAGATGACAGAACCTTTTCCAAGGTTTAGGACCTAGAAAGAAGAAAAGCTGAAGCCTAGAAAGGTGGGAGACTGGGCCCAAGTGGGTGAGAAGGGGCCCACCCTTGCTTGACCATGGAGGGTGACGCCCCTATGCAAGAGCTGGGCTCTAAGGAGGCTGGGGATGAGGGGGTGGCGCACAGCTTTGTCCTGTTTCTACAACCTAGCACAGAACTAGAGACAGCGTATGGGTGAATTGGCACAAATTTAACCCCTTTACAGAGGGAAGAAGAGTCACATTTGACTGAGTAGAAAGTACTAAGGGCATCGTTCCAAAATTGGGGAGCCAAGTTTCCAACCTTTGTTCTTTTGAGAATGAGGGTGGGGATATCACCCCACTCCCATCTTACCTCTCCCACTTAGCTGAGAGCTGAACCTAACTGACCTAATTCCTGTGGTAGGTCATTTAACACCTGTGTTGAGGTGCTTGGGGATGGACAAGGAATTTCAGGGAAGAACCCGGGCACTTTGACAGAGAATAAGACTGGTAGAGGGACCGCCAGTGCTGGGTTCCGGATGGACTAAGGCTACAGAAATGGAGCAGAGCTGGGCGCGGTGACTCACGCCTGAAATTCCAGCACTTTGGGAGGCTGAGGTGGGCAGATCACCTGAGGTCAGGAGTTCAAGACCAGCCTGGGCAACATGGTGAAACCCTGTCTCTACTAAAAATATAAAAATTAGCCAGGCGTGGTGGCAGGCACCTGTAATCCCAGCTACTCGGGAGGCTGAGGCACAGAGAATCGCTAGAACCCGGGAGGTGGAGGTTGCAGTGAGCTGAGATCATGCCACTGTACTCCAGCCTGGGCGACAGAGCAAGACTCCATCTCAAAAAAAAAAAAAAAAAAAAAAAAAGAAAGAGAAAGAATTGGGGCAGAATTGGCTTTAACCAGTCTGTAGTAACACTCCTTATATGTGGAAGACCACTAAATACTGGCTCCTTTTTGGTCCAAGGTGACCATATTCTTTTGACTTTGACATCGTTTGTGGATCAGGAAAGGGATAATGTAATAATTTTTTCTTAGGTATAAGTCAAAGACATGAATTGCATTTATACACTACTCTGCATTTTCTAGAATGCAATAACTTTACTTTTTCCTCAGAAATGTTTTGGCTGGGTGTGGTGGCTCAGACCTGTAATCCCAGTGCTTTGGGAGGCCATAGTGGGTGGATCTCTTGAGCCCAGGAGTTCCAGACCAGCCTGGGCAACATAGAGAAACCCTGTCTCTACAAATAAAATTAGTCAGGCATGGTGGTGCATGCTTGTAGTCCCAGCTACTCAGGAGGCTGAGTTGGGAGGATCGCTTGAGCCCAGGAGTTTGGGGCTGCAGTGAGCTGTGATTGCACAATTGCACCCCAGCCTGGGCAACAGAGTGAGACCCTATCCCCCAAAAATTTAATAAAAATGTTTACAGAGTACAAATGCAGATTTTTTATATTGTATAGCGGTAAAGTCTGGGCTTTCAGTATACCCATCTTTATTCTTCTCTCTACCTAGGCAAGAGAGCCATTTTAGGGATGAAAACCTCAAGATAGAGCATCTAAGCCAAGTTTCACATTACTGGTTTCTTGTGACATTTGCTCCTGTAGAATCGTCCAGTACAATCAGTAGACTGAACTGATAAGACCCTTCAAGCCTTTATTACTTTTCTACTACAGCCAATAACACATAGATTTAAGAGATGGAATGCTCTTAAAAGATGTTTACCCCAAAACGAGCACGTATGAAATATGTTAACCACCTATTTCTCCTGCAAGGTGACCCTAGACAGGACATTCTCTCTGGACTTGTTTCTCCTGGTATGACATAAAGAACGTTGCGTAACAGCTTGTTTTTCTTTAGCACTACGTGCCTGCCGCTCTGCTATGCATTTTACGTGGATTGTCTTATGTAATTTTCACAACAGCCCAGCTAATAAATGAGAAAACTGAGGCTCAGAGGTGAGCATCTGCTAACAAATGTCAGTGCAGTCCCATTTCTGAGCCTATGTCCTTAGGAACTTCCTGTATTAGTGAGATCTTTCCCAGCTCTATATGAATTCAGCATATTCTTCTTGGCCAAAATAATTTCCTCAACTGGCAATTAGGGTCCAGGAAGTTTAAATCAACGGGATGACAGAATGACAACGGAGAGGTCTCCAACCACAGGCCAAACAGCATGCTTCCACCCCAAGCCTGAGATTGGTAATTTCCTATAACCTTGCAACAGCCTCCCTCCCACACACTGGGCCCAGGGTGCCTGCAAAGCTTTGCTGGAGGCTGGGTGTCAGGTGTGAGAAGCTGCTGGGAGTTACCTCCTCCCTCACACTGCTCCACCTCCACCTCTGCCGGAGGATGGAACTTCAGAACCGGAGGCCCACGGCAGCCTGAAGAAAATGATCAGGATAACTCATTTGTAAAAATCTGTTTAATAAATATACATCATAAAAGTACCAAAATAATTACCAACAATACATTATGTACACCATTTACAGGAGGGTAACACAAACCTTGACAGGTAGTAACTTTTCACCCCACATCACTGAACGCTTAACACTCCTGGCTGTTACATGTCACAGGATACCACTGGGGTCAGTCACTCGAAGCACAATAAATATAAAATGTGGTCCTTCCATGAAATTTTTGATAACCTTCTCCAAAAACCCCACAAAGGTGAGGTTTAAAAGAAGTTTTCTCAGAATTTCAATGATCTTTCTCGTCCCCTACAAAAAGTTCACAAAAGCAACAAAATGAGGGCTGATCCTACCACAATAAGACGTTTTGGGCCAGGCAGTGTGCAGTGTGGATATAAGTACACCCTTTAAATTTTTTCTTCTTTTTTCTTTTTTTAGAAAAATAAAACTTTTTTTTTGTACAAATATACAAGTCCATGTTCTTTCAGCCCCTTTGCGCTCATAACGTCAGACGCTGGCCTCCAAACACACAGTCATCATAGGGCAGCTGAAAACAAGGGGAAAAAAGACACGTTAAGCTTCCGGAGCGGAGCTCTGCCAAGCTACCGGGATGGGGAGGCCACTACTGGAAATAACTCTTGGACTCCATTCTCCATAGCCCAAATATAATGAACTTTACAGGCTGAGAGAGTTTGCCTTTAATGCTTCTCTTTAAAAAAAGAGGGGGGGCAGGTACATTCTTGGGATACTGGTTATGCACAGAAATTTGAGAGACTCATTATGTAGATACCCCTCTGATAAGGAGCAGCTCTAGGGGCCTGGGAGGGTGAAGGGAATGGCACCTCATTAGTTAGAGCGCCGAAGGAGTTCACAGACTCACCTCGTCCTCTGTGAACTCCGTGAACTCTGACTCTGTGTCATAGCTCTCCTCATCCTCACTCTCTGGCAGCATCTGAAGGTTTTCTAGTGTCAGCTGGCCCAGCTGCTGCTGTATCCGGGTGCTTGGGCGGCCCCAGGTGAGCTGGTAGGGAGAATAGCCCTGGTAGGTAACTCTGTTGACATCAGCCCCACACTTCAACAGGAGTGACACCAGGTCAGGATTTTGCAGGTCCACTGCGAGGTGAAGGGCAGTCCGGCCATTACAGGGCTCCTGAAACCAAAAGGAATTTGAGATGCTTATGGCTGCATTTGGAATTTCTGCTCACAACATAAGCACGAGGAGCCTGACTCAGTGCGTCGGGGGCAGGAAGCACCAACCTGAGCATTGACATCAGCACCCAAGGACACCAAAAGCTCCACGATGCCCAGGTAGCCATGGATAGAGGCTAAGTGTAGACACGTGTGGCCTGGAAGAACAAAAGGAAAAAAGTATAACCACCTGTTTCAACCCTCACTCCTTTCACCTATTCTTTTATGGAACAAGTAGTCTTATCTTCTGAATTTTAAGAACCCACAGTCTGGGTTCTGAAAGAACTTTATAAAGGCATCCAATAGGCACTTTGCACACATATTTTCTCAACCTTCCAAATGTTAGGAGTTTAAGCTCTTGCCTGGACTCCTTAAGTTGGCCCACCTGCCCCTTCTCCACGTCACCTGCCCTCCGAGGGGGTGGGGCAGGGCAGGGAGGCAGACATACCATTGTAGTTGGTAGCCTTCAGGATGGAGTGGAGGTGCGGGGTGGTGCAGGACTGAGTCAGGACTCCCACGCTGGCCAGGCAGCCCTGCTCACAGGCAAGGTGTAGGGGGGTATTTCCTCGAAAGTCTCGGAGCTCAGGATCACAGCCAGCTCCCAGAAGTGCCTCAGCAATTTCTGGCTGGTTGGTGATCACAGCCAAGTGGAGTGGAGTCTACGAATGCAAGAGAGACCAGAGAAAGTAAGCCATGGACCAAACCCACACCCCGAGTTCCCCTCAACCCGTGTCTCCTGGTTGGGTGCTGCTCCTCCTAGACAGGGGGGTGGGGAGGGCTGGCAAATAGCAGAGGCTCCAGGTGGGTCATAAAGACCTCACCAAATCAGTGGAATTTCCTTCACTCTCTAGGATGTGGGCTGATGTGAAGTAAAAGGTGAGGGTAAATAGTGCTCAGTGGCCCTGAATTCAGAAAGGATCTGGGGTGACTCTGCTACATCAGCTACGTCCCAGGGTCAGAGAGAACCCGGGCCAGGCAAGCGGCGCACCTGCTGCAGGTTGTTCTGGAAGTTGAGGAAGGCCAGGTCTCCCTTCACCTGGCGGATCACTTCCATGGTCAGTGCCTTTTCTTCATGGATGATGGCCAAGTGCAGGAACCTGTGGGGAAGAGAGGGAAAAACCCCAGGGGTGGTGAGTGCACCGCGTGGGGCCCAGGGAGGCGCGGGCTGCGGGGGATTGCGCAAGGCCGGGGTTTCTGGAGGCCGAGGCCGCGGTGTTTTCCGCGAGGTTATTATGAGCTGAGTGTTCCTGGCAGGCGCCCAGGGACTTTCCGCCCCCCTCCCCCCGCGGCCCCGGCGGGCGCCGGCCAGACCGCCCCGCCCTCCCGCCAGCTCGGAACGCCCTGTACTTCCCCTCCCGGCTGCTCGGCGCCCGCCAGCGGCCAGAAACTCCCGCCCCGCCTTATGCAACCGGGGACTTCGCGTCCCCGCTGCCGCCCCGCCCCCGGCCTAGAGGACGGGTCTGGGGGGAGGGGGCGTGTGGCGACGCTGCCATCCACCAGGGCCCAGCCGCCGCCCCTCCGAGTTGGGCCGGTGCCCCGCGCGGCCCTGCAGCCCTGCAGCGTTCGGGGCGGTGCAGGAGCCCCGGGGTGCCGCGGCGCCCGCCCGGCTGCATCGCTGGTCCCCCGGCTCGGGCTCCAGGCCCGGCGCCTCCCACCCCCAGGCCGCGCGCGTCCCGCCCTCCCGACGACCCCCAGCCCCGGGCCTCCGCCACTTACGAGTCCCCGTCCTCGGTGAGCTGCTGCTTCCAGGGCTCCGAGCCGCGCGGCACCTCCTGCGGCTCGAGGCGGATCTCCTGCAGCTCCTTGACCATCTGCTCGTACTCCTCGTCTTTCATGGAGTCCAGGCCGCTGTCGTGGCGGTCGTCCAGTAGCCGCTCCTTCTTCAGCCCGTCGCGGGGGCCCTCCATGGCCCACTCCTGGGGGCGCTCGGCCGCCTGGAACATGGCGCGGACGAGCTGCGGGCGCTGCTGCGGGTGCGCTGGGCCGCGGGCTGCGCGCTGCTTCCTCGCTGGGGCGCTGGCGGGCGGGACGGCGGCACGGACTGCTGTGGGCTCTGCAGCGCCGCCGCGGCGCCCTATAAACGCTGGCTGGGGATTTCTCTGGGGCGGGGTCAGGCTCGGGGAATTTCCAAGCCAGTCAGACCAGAAAAAGAGAACTGGCTTCGTCCTCTGCTAGGGGGAAAAAGAAGCCTAAACCCTGAGCTGGGGTTCATCGGAGAAACTCCCTGCGATGAGCCACTAGGGTCACGGACAGGGAACTTTTTGATGAGCGCCGAGTGGCTGGAAAGTCCTTCCGACCAGGCCCCCTCCCCCCGGTACTTCCCTGCAGCCTGCACCCTGTAATCCTGTCCCTCTGCAAGTGAGCCTTCTTTCCCTGGGGTTTCCCACGATCGATTTGAATTGGGGTCGTCGGCTGCTGAGATCCCAAGGACGCCGACCTGATGGGCGGTCCCTCTTTGGGGTTTGCCAACCTGCCGGTCCTTTCCGTTTTTTGATCTTTTGAAAACGCAAGAGTGGAAATGATGGCTGGGCGTAGGGATTTGCTTTCCCCAGACTTCTAAGGGGAAGGACGCACTGTGGTTAGGGGGCTGCAGGCCGCGCCGGTGTTTCTGCCTATACCAGGCTCTTTGCAGCAAAGGAACTTTTAGCTTCGCCCCCACCCCCCCACGCACCCCCGCCAGGTAGAAGTTGTGAAAGCTTTGGAGGAGTGAAAAGCCTAAATCCTTGGAGAACTCTCAAATCACTTCCTAGGGATGAACAGCCCTGTTGACTGGGGGAGGGGCAAACGCTCCCTGTATGGGGAAACTGCTGAATAGGACCATGATTTTTTTTGTTTCCCAAGTAAAGCAAGGTGTTAATGTTTGTAGTGGTGGTTGTGGATACCTTGCAATAGCAGAGTAGCTATTGTGTTCATAAGTAGCTATTCGTTTATGCTATCTGACCTACATTGTGCTCCCGCAGAAAAAGGATCGTGAGCCTACTTCTGGGCACCCAAATTCGAGGAGAACTTAGAGAAGGAGGCTGAAGAATGAGTTTAGTTAGTGCCTTAACCGCGATTGGACCTTAAGGACCACTAAGAAAGTAGTTGCCAGGCATCCTGCGGGAGGCTCAAGGTAGTCCCATCCTGCCCGCCCCTCCTTGCTCTCTTGTCCTGGGGGACAGTAGCAGTTGGACCCATTCACGCCACCTGGGTAGAAAGGGGTTTCGGCTCACTATGCTCTGGTTTCACCTGCAGAAATATAATTTATGCTCTCCACTCCACCTCCACCTCCAAGCCTGCAAGCCATGGACTGAATTCATCTACTTGGTAGAATTGGTACAGGCAAAATAAAGCAAACTTCGGTCAGAGCTCTTCAGAATTAGTCCCAGGAGGCCTCTGTAGTTCTGCAGAGATTTCTGGTGATTATTGCAATCATCTTTACCTTGACTGGCCTTGTACTAACCAATCCTTCCCCTCTCTTCGTATCTCCACCCCTCCCCTAATATTAGAATGAAAGAAATCTGACTCGATAGAGAGAGACCAAGTATGAAGGGAAAAAAATTAAAATCAGATAGACCCTCCAGGGTAATAATGATCACATGTTACAATGAAAACTTCCCAGGGATAGACACCATTGTCTCTGCAGGTTTATGATATGCAAATCTACAATGATTGAGGCAAGGTGAAACAGTGACTGCAATGGGACATCTCAATTCCAGGTTCTATCTTTACTTGACTGCACATTAGTTGGAGAGGTCAGTTAACTTTTTTGTGGTATACTTAACTTTTATAATAAGATTAGATTGAATGTTACTTAAGGTCTTTTCTAGCTTAAAAGTCATATTGCTTGTCTACAAATGCATGCCTAACTCTCCTTTGTAAGGGTGACCATGGCTCTTGGAAATGTCAGGGTATAAATTTTTGAAAGAATTCCAGCGCCTTATGTACCACATTGTTCTCAGAACTAATCTTGTAAGATAGATATTGTTCCTACTTCCCTAAAAAGAAACTGAAATGCATAGAAATTTACCCAGGAACCCCTTGGCAGTATATTAATCATTTGGCCAAAGCAGTCTTAGTATTAACACTTTTGAAAACACGCTGTGAAAATCAGACTGACTACACTATAATTTGGAATGTACTCAAAAGTATTTTCTACTCCAACTGTTAGGGAAAATAAAGGGTGGGTGTCCCCTGACCCCCATCTGGGGATAGTCACTTCTTTTAAACAAGTACAGAAACATCAAACTCTAAATGTCCCAATTATAGAGGATACATCAGAAGAAGATATTTGGCTTCAGGTATAAAAATGGTTATAAAAAATAAAAATATCTGAGGAATAAGGTTTTTTTGCACCACCTTCTATGGTTTTATATTTCTGGTAGCCTTCAGGATCTTGGTGTTTATTCCTGATTGTTTTGTGTGACACCTAGTGGTAAGAGTAAGGCACAGGCGTTCCTTGATTTGTCATAGTGCCTTTTGCAAAAATTGGGAGGTGCTGAGCCTTGATGACTTGTCCCTACAGTGGAGATTTCCAAGGAGGTACCTATTGTTTTCCTGCGACTCTGGGAAACAGTTTTGAATAATGTGATCCAACAGGTTTTCTCCCCATCATCTATAGCGCTATATGGTTTAAGTCAACAAACATTACAACGTGGGTGAAAAAGAATATACACTTGGAAATTAGAACCATGAGCAGACTGGGCAGAAGACAACAAGAGGGTCTGGTTTTGATTTAGAAAGACCTTTATGGGCCAGGAGTTGTGGCTCACTGCTGTAATTTCAGCACTTTGGGTTGCTGAGGCAGGAGGATTGCTTGCCACCCAGGAGTTGGAGACCAGCCTGGGCAACAAGGCTAAACTCTTGTCTCTACAAAAAATATAATTAGCAGAGTGTGGTGGCAGGTGCCTGTAGTCCCAGCTACTCCAGAGGCAGAAGTGGGAGAATTGCTTGAGCCTGGGAGGTGGAGTTTGTAGTGAGCCATGATGGCACAACTGCACTCCAGCTTGAGCAACAGACTGAGACCCTGTCTCAAAAAGAAAAAAAAGAAAAAGAAAGACCTTTATGGACCCTTCAGCACTCAGATTTTTCTCCTCCTCATTGTCAAACATTCTAGCTAACATAACCGTTAAAAAAAATGTTAAAACTGTAGGCTGTGCGCAGTGGCTCACGCCTATAATCTCAGCACTTTGGGAGGCTGAGGCAGGTGGATCATGAGGTCAGGAGTTCGAGACCAGCCTGGCCAACATGATGAAACCCCGTCTCTACTAAAGATACAAAAAATTAGTCGGGTGTGGTGGTGCAGATGCTGCTTAGGAGGCTGAGGCAGGAGAATCACTTGAACCGAGGAGGCAGAGGTTGCAGTGAGCCGAGATCGCGCCATTGCACGCCAGCCTGGGCAACAGGGTGAGACTCTGTCTCAAAAAACAAAACAAAACAAAACAAAATACTTTAGATAACTGATTTTTAATGTTATTTGGCCTTTTTAATGCATAAGGCAAAATAATAAGTTACACCTCAAAGCTGCTTTGTATTTTGGCCCAGGACGCAGCCGTAGGAAATGACAGGACGGCCAGTGATGCTCCAGGAGCACCCCCATGGGAAAAGGAGCATCGCCAGGGCCTGGTTTGGCTGCAGGCACTTCAGGCACTCCTCCTGCATGGAACAAGCACAGTATGGACAAAACCTATTGCCTGAAGTGCCATGGAGAGAGTCTACAAGTTCAGCCAGGTGGTCCAAAATCCTCAGGGCAGGGTGGCCTGTGTCAACTGGCCTGGCCAATTAAAACTAAATTGTTTTGGCTACAGCAAATTCAACTCTGGAATCAGGCTACCTATTGCTCAGTGCAGCTAGGCTGGAAGAAAGACGAGCCATGACAGAGTTCCTGAAGAGCAAGGCAGGTGCACTCCCAACTGGCAGCCCCACTGTGAAATTCTAAATATTCTGCTTTCAGTCTCAGGTTGTCTTCTTTCTTGCTATCGTGGTAGCAACTGTCTGCATCCTCTTCAGAACAGGGAGCCCCCAAGCTATGGATCTTTTCCCATAGAAAAACAAGGCTGGGGGCGGTGGCTCCGACCTATAATCCCAGCACTTTGGGAGGCTGAGGCGAGCTGATCACCTGAGGTCAGGAGTTCAAGACCAGCCCGGCCAACATGGTGAAACCCCATCTCTACTCAAAATACAAAAATTAGCCAGGCGTGATGGCACATGCCTGTAATCCCAGCTACTCGGGAGGCTGAGGCAGGAGAATCACTTGACCCTGGGAGGTGAAGGTTGCAGTGAGCTGAGATCGTGCCATTGCACTCCTGCCTGGGCAGCAGAGAGAGACTCTGTCTCAATTAAAAAAAAAAAAAAGGAAAAACAGCTGTCAGAACCTTCATTTGTAGTGAAGTGAAAATAAGACCGTCAAATCCTTAATGTGTTTCCTTTGCTACAAATTCTGCAATTTAATGGAGATCAAAGCTTTAAAGGATCTCAAACTCAAAATACTTACGCATAGGGAGCAGGCAGATTTCACAGATGAGTGAAACAGACCATTTGAGTCTGAAAGGAGTGGGATCTCCAACAGCTTAGGTCAGGGTGTGTACTTCCCTCATACTTAGCTCAGACAACTTTTGGCATGTAGCACCTTCAGTTCAGTAGTGACCTTCTATTGTTAAAGAAATAAAAAAAATTGGCCCAGCTCCGTGGCTCATGCCTGCAATCCCAACACTTTGAGAGGGTGAGGCAGGAGGATCACTTGCGTTTAGGAGTTTGAGACCAGCCTGGGCAACATAGTGAGACCCCATCGCTATAAAAATAAAAATAAAAAAATTAACCAGGTGTGGTGGCATACACCTGTAGTCGCACCTACTTGGGAGACTGAGGTGGGAGGATTGCTCGAACCTGGGACGTTGAGGCTACAGTGGGCCATGACTGTGTCACTGAGCTCCAGCCTCAGCAAAAGAGTGAGACCTTGCCTCAAACAAACATAAAAACATTATGAAAACTAAACACAATGCATTTCTGCATCTATTGGCTAAACAGAGCCTATAAGCTCTGAGTTTACAACCTCTTTTTCAGCCAAGGTATGATGTTTTAATTGTGCTTTGCAAGAGGCACAACCTTCTGCTCTTGGCATCATGGGTTCTCTGCTCCTGTGTAACAGGAGACTGGGACAGTGTGTCCATCCATGATGCGCAGGGCTGCTCCTGCCAGGCAGGGTTAGGATTAGGGGCTCTAACCTCTGAAAAGTGAATTTTTCCTCCCTCAAACCAAGTATTTATTTGTTTTGTTTGTTTGTTTTTGAGACAAACCAAGAGTTTTGCTCTTGTTGCCCAGGCTGGAGTGCAATGATGTGATCTTGGCTCACTGCAACCTCTGCCTCCCGGGTTCAAGTGATTCTCCTGCCTCAGCCTCCTGAGTAGCTGGGATTGCAGGCACCCGCCACCATGCCCGGCTCATTTTTTGTATTTTGGGTAGAGACAGGGTTTCACTATGTTGGCTAGGCTGGTCTCAAACTCCTGACCTCAGGTGATCTACCCGCCTTGGCCTCCCAAAGTGCTGGGATTACAGGTGTGAGCAACCATGCCCGGCCTGTTTGTGTTTTTGAGACAAGGTCTTGCTGTGTCACCTAGGCTGGAGTGCTGTGGCATGATCACAGCTCGCTGTAGCCTTAATCTCTTGGGCTCAAGCAATTCTCCCACCTCAGTCTCCCATGCAGTGGGACCACAGGCACATGCCACTGTGCCTGGCTAATTTTTTTTGAGACGGAATTTCATTCTTGTCACCCAGGCTGGAGTGCAATGGTGCAATCTTGGCTCACTGCAACCTCTGCCTACCAGGTTCAGACGATTCTCCTGCCTCAGCCCCCTAAGTAGCAGGGATTACAGGAGCCTGCCACCATGCCCAGCTAATTTTTTGTATTTTTAGTAGAGACAGGGTTTCACTGTGTTGACCAGGCTGGTCTCGAACTGTTTACCTCAAGTGATCTGCCTGCCTCGGCCTCCCAAAGTGCTGGGATTACAGGCATGAGCCACCACACCCGGCTGTGCCTGGCTAATTTTTTAATTTTTTGTAGAGATGGGTCTCCCTGTGTTGCCCAGGCTGGTTTTGAGCTCCTGGGTCCGAGCGATCCGCCCATCTTCACTTTCAAAAGTGCTGGGATTACAGGTGTGAGCCACTGCACCCTGCCCCAAAGCAATTTTTAAATGCTACAGTGTAAAATAAGCATAATAAGTCCAACAAAGTTCTGATTTTTCTCACAATGACTACTTACGTTGTTTTAAGCAATCAGATGACTTCACTAAACATCTCCTGAGGTGTGCCTGCTCTGCTGGTGCCCTAACTGCATGCCCATCTGGCTCTTGGGTAACCTGCTGCGAGGGAAGGAGGAGGCCTGCACGTGTCACCCGTGGCCAAAATTACTGGCTCTCCCTTTTCGTGGCTTGTTGGCAGTAACCAAGTAATATTTATAGGTGTGTAGCATTGTTCATGGTCTGTTGTGTTCAGGGAGAAGTTGTTGGATCAGGAAGGTGGTAAAGGCTTAAGGCAGTTTCCCCTGCATGCCGCTGTATTTGCTATTTTGTCTTGGGTGTAAATTCATTCTGAGTTTAGTCAGGGTATGAGGATACTTAGCACTAGGGAACTTCCACACAAGAGCCTGGTACTTGGCAGGGGATGAGACATAAATGATATGAGGCCCTTGTTCTTTGGCACTGAAATTAGGTGAGGAGCTCATGATCCTTCTCAGAGGGGGCCTAAGCTGTATCCACCAACGGAAACCACATGGAGAGGTAGATCCTTTCCCCCCTACGGTCTAAGGTCTTGGGAATCATTTAGGAAAAAGGAAAACAGAATCAGAGCTGCTAAGAGATAGATTCATATTACAGAGTAAGGATTTAGGAAGCTTGTTCCTGAGCCCTTTCTTGTAAGTGCTAAAATAATGCCTTTCTCAGACTTCCTTTTAGAGCCTCTATTATCTGGAGTAAAACACCGGAGTGCTTGGATGAGTATTAGAAATTGAGATTTGTCTCTGAGGCTATTAGTGGGGAACGGTACCACAAAAATATAGTTTCTGAAAGTTTTTCTTAGGTTGATTTTTTTTTTTTTTTTTTTTTGAGACAGGATCTCACCCTGTCACCCACGATGGCGTGCAGTAGCACGATTATTGCTCACTGAAGTCTTGACCTTCTGGGCCCAAGCAATCTTCCTGCCTTAGCCTCCCATGCAGCTGGGATTACAGACATGTGCTACCACACCTGGCTAATTTTTGTATTTTTAGTAGACATGGGGTTTCGCCATGTTCCTGGCCTCCAACTCCTGATCTCAGGTGATCCACCTGCCTCAGCTTCCCAAAGTGCTGGGATTATAGGCGTAAGCCACCACACCTAGCCTGGCCAGGTTTGTTTGTTTATTTATTTATTTATTTTGACACAGAGTCTCGCTCTGCTCCCCAGGCTAGAGTGCAGTGGTGTGATCTTGGCTCACTGCAACCTCCGCTTCCTGGGTTCCAGTGATTCTCATGTCTCAGCCTCCCTAGTAACTGGGACTACAGGCGCCTATCACCACGTCTAGCTTATTTTTGTATTATTTGTAGAGATGGGGGGTTTTGCCATGTTGGTCTTGAACTCCTGACCTCAAGTGATCCATCCACCTTGGCCTCCCAAAATCTGGGATTACAGGCGTGAGCCACCGTGCTCAGCCTATTTTTTTCTTTTCTTTTCTTTTTTTTTTTTTTTTTTTTTTTTTTTTTGAGATGTTGTCTCACTCTGTTGCCAAGCTGGAGTGCAGTGGCGTGATCTCGGCTCACTGCCATCTCCGCCTCCCAGGTTCAAGTGGCTCTCCTACTTCAGCCTCCTGAGTAGCTGGGATTACAGGCACGCACCATCATTCCCGGCTAATTTTTGTATTTTTAGTAGGGACAAGGTTTCACAAGGTTGGCCAGGATGGTCTCGATCTCCTGACTTCGTGATCTGCCTGCCTCAGCCTCTCAGAGTGTTGGGATTACAGGTGTGAGCCACGGTTGCTCGGCCTATTTTTAACCACTGAAAGCAAATGAGAAACAGAGTGAGAAGGATCACAAATAGAAGCCATGAGCAGAAAAAAAGGGAGAAATTGGCCTGGAACATTTTTTCTTTGTTACCAGGTGTCAGCTGTCAGAGTCCAGTCCCATGACTGTGACACAATCCATTTGGATAAGCCACTTAGCTTGGCTTAGGAATATTCATCATTTCTTATATCCCAGGGCTGTTCATAGGCTAACGTGTAGTGATTATTTGGCCAAAAACACTGATATTTTCAGAAAGTGAAGCAGATTAATGCATCACCAAATCTTTAAATGCTAATATTTGAAAATTGGGCCAGTTTGGAGGAGTGTGAGAAAAGAGGGAATGGGGTGCCCCTGTACTCATTGATTGAAACTCAAGAAGCTAGGTGGAAATGGGTGAGGTTGACAGCACAGGTATGGGTTTTGCTAGAAATCTAAATGAACATCATGAATAGAGAGTAGGGAAGCACACAGATAACCCAGTCTCGATGTTGGCTCTTCCGCCTTTAGGGATCAGGTTCATCTCCAGGTTGCCAGGGCATCAGGAAAGCACCTCGCTGGATTTCAGGGCAGGAGGAGGGGAGTCACAGGGTAAAGGGAAGAGGCTACACACAGAGCAGGAGCAGGGGCTATGGGAGTTAGGGAGGGAGCCGAGGGGGAATTTTCCCTTCACAAATGGCAGGGCAGAACACCAACATGAGGAACACAGTATATGCATGGTGCTGTCTGCAGTGACATCTTCTGGCCATTTGTGGAAGAAGTTTTCTCTGAGGCATCACCGATTCTTGAGAAGAGGAATTTAGGAATGTTGAGTTGAGGAGGTACACCGAGACTGGATATGAAGTTGTGATTGTGGTACATCACTTAACACAGTCCCAAAGGAAAGACCCCCACTTTATCTGTGAGTGTTAGTTTTCCTTCAGTGCCTGTTGCCAGTCAGCTCAGTGCATCCTGCTATTGACACGATACCCGGACCATCCTCTTCCTTCCATCTTCACTGTCCCCACGGTAGTGCGGGCTGAGTTGTACCATGGTAGCTTCTTGGTACTTTTTGTTATTGTTGTTGTTTTGAGATGGAGTCTTGCTCTGTTGCCCAGGCTGGAGTGCAATGGTGTGATCTCGGCTCACTGCAACCTCTGCCTCCCAGGTTCAAGTGATTCTCCTGCCTCAGCCTCACCAGTAGCTGGGATTACAGGCACCTGCCACCACACTCAGCTAATTTTTGTATTTTTAGTAGAGACGCAGTTTCACCATGTTGGCCAGACTGGTCTCGAACTCCTGAACTCAGGCAACCCACCCTCCTTGGCCTCCCAAAGTGCTGGGATTACAGGCGCAAGCCTGGCAAAAATGAATTATTTTTAAAGTTGAAACAGAATACCTTCCTGTGATTAAAAAAAACCAAGCAGTCTAAAAATATTACAATTATACAATTAAATCTCTCTTTTGTTTCTTTTTCTTTTTTTTTTTTTTTTTGACTTGTTGCCCAGGCTGGAGTGCAATGGCGCGATCTCGGCTCACTGCAACCTCCGCCTCCTGGGTTCAAGCAATTCTCCTGCTTCAGCCTCCCAAGTAGCTGGGATTACAGGCATGTGCCACCACGCCTGGCTAATTTTTGTATTTTTAGTAGAGACGGGGTTTTACCATGTTGGTCAGCCTGGTCTCAAGCTCCTGACCTCAGGTGATCCACTCACCTCGGCCTCCCAAAGTGCTGGAATTACAGGCATGAGCCACCGTGCCCAGCCTAAATCTCTTTTCACTGAGGCTTCTAATATGCATTTTCATTATATCATTTCCTGTAACAGAGCCTCTGTTGACCTTCCATGGGCTGCAGGAAACGGTCTGAATTCCTCAGCTGCATTTAAAGTCCTCCAGAGTCAGACTCTACCCTGCCCAGCCACTCCTCATCACCATTTCCCCCGAGCACCAACACTGTGCCAGCTGCTCTGGCCTTCATGCAGGCCTCTCCCTGCCTGTCCTAGGACCACCTTCTTTCAGCTTCCTTGCCAGGACCCACCCTTTCCAAAACTCCTTTTCTGTCTTCCTCTTCTTGGAGCCCTCTGCCCTCTTCTAAATCCTGCTAGCTTTTACAGCTTGCCTTGAATATTGGGCCACATATTGTCTTATACTGCTTAGTTATTGCTTGTGTCCCTAGTTAAACACAGAATAGTGTTGGGTGGGGCAGGGGCTGCTGGGTGGGGAGGAGACATTCATTTCTTCTGTGTCTCTCTTACCCTGGGCTTCCCTTGCCATTGATTCAGGCATGAGTATCCCCTTTGCTTCATACCTGTCATAATTTTTCTTGGACCCTCCTCCTCTGTTAATACCTCACTTTGCATGCAATCGATTTCATTCTTTTCTATCTAGAAATTATCTCAAGAGGCCATCGGGTCCAGCTTCTGCTTTCAGGCAAGTAAAGTGTTACCATTCCCATTTTACAAAGGATGCAGACACTCTGAAATAAAGGCTATTAGGAGGATGGGGGCACATCAGAGCCACCATATCCCATCCTATCCTAGAGGAATTGAATGTGAGTAGAAGTGAACAGATTATAAATAGACCTAGATAGTGTCCTCCTTCTCTTCTTTTCTTTTCTGTTGCCTGAGAGTAACCTCTGGGGTGGAGCCCAGGGTAGAGGAGGAAGGCTCCTTTTCAAACCTTCAGTTAAGGAGTTAAGGAGATAGGTGATGTCCTGGAGGCTTGCTTAGTCCAGTTCCCCAGGGCAAGATATCTAACAGGAAATTGGGGCAGAAGCTCTAGTTTAGAGGAATAGATGAGCATTTGCCTGGAGTATTCCCCATGTTAGAAATGTACTGGGGACATAGAATGGTGGGAAGGAAGCAGAATGAGAATGAGTGTTGTTGGTTGAAAGGCCATCTGACAAAGTGATGCATACTTAGACCTCTCATTGAGGACTGCAAGGCTAACGGCCCATGGACATATGACTGGCTGGCCCAGGTAGGGGTGTGGTGGCCAAGGCCCACCTGCTGCCCTTCTGGGGTGCTCTTTAATGGCTTTCAGAAGCAGAGGTATTTGCAACACCAAAATTTCATAAGCTCAAGAGCTTGACCCAGTTTAACAGAGTATACATAAACCAATAATATTTAAAATGAAAAGCCCATTGGTGTACAGAGAATGATGTATGCTTTGCAGTCTGACTAAGGCAACATCTGGAACAACTGATTTCCCAGGAAAGTTTCCCTTGAAGAGGAAACCCTAGGCAGTTTAGATCCGGGTAGACTTCACATCTTGGACTTTGGGCACAGAGAACTTCATTCAAATACTATTACATATGAACATATACTAAATTGTTTTATAAAAGTGGTACAGGAGGCTATTTGACGTATTGAGCCTCAGGGCATCACTGCAGCTTTCTGTTGTTAAAGGCCTTAACCTTCTCACTTTGTCTTTTCACTAGCAAGATTGAGTCTATCGATTTGTCAGGCCAGCTCAGTGACAAGACTGGAAATTAACTTAGAGGTATATGGGAGGGTTGTTGTCTGCAGGGTGTTGAACTGAGGCTAAAAATAGGTGGGGATTCCTGGGGCAGCCTCCTTCGTGGTCACAGGCACCACAAAAGGAAAACTCAGCAGGGAAATTTGCTTTCGAGCCCTGCCCACAAGGGAGGGTAAAAGCCCCCACCTCTGTTGCTCCCCACAGGAAAAGCTCAGGGTGACAGTGAGTTTGGTGCTTTCAAAATGTCAGGGCTCTCACAGACAGGCTGTCACCCCTTCCCGCCCCCAGACTTCTGATCAGAGGCTTTCCCTCTGGGTAAATTCACTTTCTTAGTTCAAGCTCAAATGTCTGTCCCTGACTGCCTGTAGCTATGTTTTGTCGCAGGCCTGATTAAGATAAAGGGAATGTGAAATATTGACACAACAGGGTTAATATGGGGGAGAAAAAAAACTCTAAAGAAGCAAAGCACTGTAGGTAGGGAAAGCAAAACCCATTAATCTGTCAAGCATTTATGAAGCTCTTTTTTTTTTTTTTTTGGTGCCTGGCACTATGCTGTGATATGGAGCATAATAAAAATAAATTTTTATTTATAAAATAAAAATAAATATGGCTCCTGCTCTCAAGGCGCTTCTAGGCTGGTGAGAAGACCAGCAGGTAAATGAGTAATTCTAGTAGGGAGTGATCAGAGATGTGGCCGAGGCCTGAACAAAGTGGCCTGGGAGCATGAGGCGAGGGAAGCCACACCACACTGAGAGGGATGGTCCAGGGCAGCTATTGAAAGACAAGTCAGAGTCAGGAGTGGGAAGAAGGATGTGCAGGCAGAGGGTTAAGCCTGTGGTGGGGCTGGGAGGTGTGAAAGCAGCTTCACAGGGCTTGCTGTGTGGTAGCGGGATATGAGTAGGCAGGAAAGACACAGCACACAGTCATGTGACCGAGCCGAGAAGCTGGGCCTGCACCCTGAAAGCTGTGGTGGATTACTGATCAGGTGTATGCTTTAGAAGACAGTGTGGCAAATAAACTGGAGTAGGTTAGGCATGAGGCTGGTGGCCAGTTAAAGACAGTGACTGGAGGCCAGGTGCAGTGGCTCATGCCTGTAATCCCAGCACTTTGGGAGGCTGAGGCAGGTGGATCACCTGAGGTCAGGAGTTTGAGACTAGCCTGGCCAACATGGTGAAACCCCGTCTCTGCTAAAAATACAAAAATTAGCTGAATGCAGTGGCGCATGCCTGTAATCCCAGCCACTCGGGAGGCTGAGGCAGGAGAATCACTTGAACCCGGGAGGTGGAGGTTGCAGTGAGCCGAGATATCACACGACTGCACTCCTGCACTCCAGCCTGGGCGACAGAGCAAGACTCTGTAAAAATAAAAACAACAACAACAACAAAAAAAAAAAAACAAAGACAGTGACTGGAAAGTGAGATGGCTACAGAGAAATCTAAGAACAAGGATTTTGAGGTCTGAGTGACTGATTGGATGTGAAGGAGACAAGGAAGAATCTAGGAGCTCTGTTTCTGACTTTGGTTATGTAGTGGAAAAACAGGAGGAAGAGCAGGTTGAGGGGAAGATGATGGGCTCCATCCTGGACACACTAATTTCAAGATCCTGGTAGATACAAACAGCCAATTTAATGTGGAGAGTTCTAAGAGCATGCAGTATATTGGAAGTCATTGACTTATTTGAGAAACGGACAAAGCCACCCAGGAATTGTGTGTAGAAGTCCAAACACCAAGACTGGGAACACCCAAAGAGGTGAGCTTGGCTGAGAAGCCAGCCAAGGAAACTGAGGAAAAGCATCCAGAGAGATGTGAGGAAAAGCAGAAGACAGGGCTGCCCAAAACCTGAAGACCGTGAGAAGTACAAGAAAGTGGTCTTTGTAAACCAAGTGTCAAGTATGGCAAGATTGTGTGTCTATAGGAAACTGCACAGATAAGCTAAAGCTCATGAATTCAGGCTAACTTGAGAAGAGAAAGGCCAGACTGAAAGAAAAGAAAGTTTTATTTAAGATATGATGTTTAATTACTTTTAAATACACAATTACAGGCTAACTAAAGGGCTCCTTCAGGGCTGTGATTCAAAGATTTACAATTATTTCATTAAAAGCACATAATGAAAACGTGGCATCTCTTTCATTTTATCAGTAAACAGATGGAAGTTGATGAAGTTAAGTGATGTGCTCAAGGTCACACAATGAAACAAATTGGACTAAAACCCAGATCTCTAGATATTGAGCCTGGTGCTCCTTCCTCTATATCGGTGGTTGGTACAAACTTTGGCTTGTATTAGAGTCACCTGGAGGGTTGTTAAACCACAGCTTGCTGGGCCACCCCCCAGAGATTTTTATTCAGTAAATCTGGGTTGAGGCCTGAGAATGCATTTCTTACCAGTTGCAGGTTACCTATTGCTTCTGGCCCAGGACCACATTGAGGACCACTCCTCCGTATAAGCCTCTTTATCTCTAACACTTAAAATACTCAAGGGTTCTAGAAGGGAGTTAGGTCTTTCAGGTTGCTTAATCATTTTCTCAGAAACCCTCCTTATACTATTAGTTTGCTTAAAAAGAATATTTTCTTCATGAAAACAGTCTCCTTGAACTTTATTCATTGAAAACACTCAAGCTGTTCTAGATAGACACTGTTCTGGGCATTAAAGATATAGTAAAATACTTTGTCCTCAGAGTCCAGGCACGGTGGCTCACACTTGTAATCCCTAATCCCAACATTTTGGGAGGCCGAGGCGAGAGGACTGCTTGAGCTCAGGAATCTGAGACCAGCCTGGGCAACATGGTGAAAACCCATCTCAAAATAAAATACAAATAATACAAAAATTAGCCTGGTGTGGTGTCGTGCACCTATAGTCCCAGCTACTTGGGAGGCTGAGGCGTAAGAATCACCTGAGCCTAAGAGGTCGAGGCTGCAGTGAGCCGAGATCGCACCACTGCACTCCAGCCTGGGCGACAGAGTAAGACCTTGTCTCCAAAAAAAAAAAAAAAAAAAAAAAAGGAACAAAAAAAACCTCTGTCCTCAGAGAGTTTACCTTGTGTAGGAGATACTAATAACACAAAATAAAAGAATATAATATGTTAGCAAGAGTGCTAAGGAGGAAAAAAGAAATCAAGGAAAAGTGTAGAAATGTAGGGCAGGAGAGCATGTTGACATTTTAGGTAGGGTGGCCAGAGTAGACAAGAAGGCAACCATGAAGTAAATACTTTTTTGTTGTTGTTGTTGTCTGGCTAGAGTGCAATGAGGTGATCTCGGCTCACTGCAGCCTTGACTTCCTGGGCTCAAGCAATCCTCCCACCTCAGCCTCCCAAGTAGCTGAGACTACTACAGGCATGCACCTGCAAGCCTGGCTAATTTTTTTTTTTTTTTTGTATGTTTAGTAGAGACGGTGTCTCACCACATTGCTCAGGCTGGCCTTGAACTTCTGAGCTCAAGCAATACACCTGCCTCGGCCTCCCAAAGTGCTAGGTGTACAAGCGTGAGCCACCATGCCTGGCTGAAGTGAAGACCTGAATGAAGAGCGTGAGCTGTGTGGCTGTGCAGGAAGGAGGGGCCAGGCGGTCTTCAGTGAGTGCAGAGGCCCGGAGAAGGATGCACCTTCAGGGACAGCAGGGAGTCAGCATGGGGGAAGTCGTGTGAGTCAGGGGAGTAATAGGAAATGAAATCAGAGGTAACAGAATGCCAGATCAATGCTGGGACCTTAGGAACTGATTTTGACAATATTTAGTAAATTCCCCTAGAAAATATCACTCCATTTCTCTTGCTTTAAAACATATTTTGAGGGAACTTTAGGTCCCAGCCTTGAGTGGGCCCCAGAAGCTCCCAATCCTAAAGGGTATAGAAGTTCCCTCCACAAAGTGGCTGATCAGTGTGCCAAGTTGCGTGTTTTCCCAAAGCAACAGAGTACAGACCCATATGGAGAGACGTATATGGAAGGAAATAGGTTTCTTTGGCCACCTTTTCTGTATAAATGTGCCCTACTCCATCCTCCCCCAACCCACACCCCAACTCCTATCCTCAGCTTCTTCACTAAATTCCAAGTGAATTGCCCTGGCAATGTCTACCACATTTTTTCTGTATTACGAATTTCATCGTCTACACTTCTGGGAAAAATTAACCCCACCCTTATGACTTGTGAGCTGTGGCTCAGACCTTCAGTCCTTTTTATGGTCAAGCTTTTGGGTCTTGGCCCACCCACAACCACCTGTAATGGGAAAAAAACCTCATTAAAACATTAAAGGACTTTTTGTCATCCTGGAAGGTTACTAAACTTATATTCGAACAAATAGAAATCTTCAAAGTATAATAGTTGCCACAGTCAAAGGCAGATTACTAGGCTGAATAGATCATTGGTCTAAGAAAGTTGTGGAAAAAAAATCATGTCCTTTGCAGCGACACAGATGCAGCTGGAGGTCATTATCCTAAGTGAATTAGTGCAGGAACAGAAAACCACATGCTGCGTGTTATCACTTATAAGTGGGAGCTAAACACTGGGTCACATGGACATAAAGATGGTAACAGTAGACACTGAGGACTACAGAAGGGAGAAGGGAGGGAGGGGGGGAAGAGACTGAAAAACTAGCTCCTGGGTACTATGCTCACTACCTGGGTGACAGGTTCCATTATACCCCAAACCTCAGCATCACTTATTACACCCTTGTCACAAACATGCACATGTACCCCCTGAATCTAGTACTTGACTATGTTGTCTTGGAACCTGGAGCTAGGTCCTGCAAAAAAAACTTGGAACTATAAAGATGCAGTCCTGAACTCTAAGAGATTATATTCTAAAATAAAATGTCTTAGACCTCTGAGGATGTAGGGGTATTTATGAAATTAATGTTTTCCTATTGGTACGTGAGAAATACTTTCTAGCAGAAAAACTACCAAAAAATGCAAGCCTCCCTCACATTTTGGTTTTAAGCCTTCAGAGACTACATTTATTATCTTGAACAGAATATAATTTTGAAGTCATATTGGCAAATTGTCAAGTTATCTGTGGGTACAAATTATAAAATACTGGATATAAAACCAGACCAGACACAGTGGCTCTGGCCAGGCACAGTGGCTCACACCTGTAATCCCAGCACTTTGGGAGGCCAAAGCGGGCGGATCACTTGAGGTCAGGAGTTCAAGGCCAACCTGGCCAACACCGTCTCTACTAAAAATACAAAAATTAGCCAGGCATGGTGGTGCTTGCCTGTAATCCCAGCTACTTAGGAGGCTGAGGCTGGAGAATCGCGTGAACCTGGGAGGCGGAGGTTGCAACGAGTCCAGATAGTGCCAGTGCACTCCAGCCTGGGTGACAGAGCAATACACCATCTCAAAAACAAAACAAAACACAACACAACACATGAGTTTTCACTGATGACTTTTCCAGATTTGAATTGGCTCTTGGGGGCCCACATAGAGCAGAGGGTGAATTTCTATAGGTGAACTTGCCAACCTCTCTAGAGCAGGCCCTGCTGCTCCACCTAGAATAACACATCACATGCAGGTTACTTCAAGATCCTAGCTGCTTCTGCTCCTAGGATCTGACAGCTGTTTGGGACAGGGACATTTTTTGCTGTTATTGATCTCTAAACTCTTAGACTGTAAGAGCTAGAAGTGACCTTTAAGGTCATTTAATCCAACTGTTCCTTTTATACTTGAAGCAAGTCTTTAACATCCTTGCCAAGGGCTCCAGCAATTTTGGTCAAACACCTCTATCTAGTGTTTACACTTAGGAATAATCTTAGGTGAGAACAAATATCCTGATTCCATGTACTGAGGAAGGCTTTTGTGCAGGAGGTAAGTTTTGGTGTGGTTAATATATTCAATTTAAATGTTATTCAGTTCAATTAAAAAAGATGAAAAGGAAACTTGGCTAATGCTTTTTTTTTTTTTGTCAAATGAAACAATATTGTGGATGAATAATCAAGAATATTTCTTTGGAATACAGATAAATGGTAAACACTAATCCTAAATATCCATCATATTTGCCATCCTAATTAAAAAAATCCCAAATGCCAGACCACAATAGCAAAATGCTTAATAGTGCTGCCTACCCCAGTAAGCCATCATGGCTTGTCTCCAACAACACAAACAGATTTTATGGCCCAGTCTTTACATGAATCACTCTGTGAAAATGATAGCAAATGTAATAACCCCAGACAGCTGCAATTATCTAAGTGTCTCCCTATTAGCCATTTGAATGGCTGAAGCCTTATAATCAAATTAGAGTGAATGCTAATTGAAATCTAATAGAGCTTATATCCATGTGATTAGATATCAGAATTTGATTCCAATATTGTTAAATTACAGACAGGGCCCATCAAGTCATACTAAAATGCGGTAACCTCAATGACAAAAGGAGATGGATTCTTTCAATAAAGAGAGCAAGCCGGAACCAGTTTGTATGGTGTTACCGCCACCTACTGGGACTTAGTGGAACCGCAGAGACAATTTTTCCTTTGACGTGGGCACAACTATTCTCTTTTCTCTTTTTTTTCTTTTTTTGACGGAGTCTCGCTCTGTTGCCCAGGCTGGAGTGCAGTGGCGCAATCTCAGCTCACTGCAACCTCTGCCTCCCTGGTTCAAGCGATTCTCCTGCCCCAGCCTCCTGAGTAGCTGGGACTACAGGCGCGAGCCACCACACCCGGCTAATTTTTGTATTTTTAGTACAGATGGGGTTCCAGCATGTTGGCCAGGATGGTCTTCATATCCTGACCTCGGGATCTACCCGCCTCGGCTTCCCAAAGTGCTGGGATTATAGGCGTGAGCCATTGCACCCAGCCTTTTCTTTCTTTTTTGAGGCAGAGTATCCCTCTGTTGCCCAGGCTGGAATGCAGTGGTGTCATCACAGGTCATTGCAGCCTCAACCTCCTGAGCTCAGGCGATCCTCCCATCTCAGCCTCATGAGTATCTGGGACTGCAGGTGTGTGCAACCACACCCAGCTAATTTTTGCGTTTTTCGTAGAGACAGGGTCTCACTATCTTGCACAGGCTGGTCTCAAACTCCTGGACACAAGCGATCCATCTGCCTTGGCCTTCCAAAGTGCTGGGATTACAGGCATGAGCCACCGCACCTGGCCTACATAGACACTTAAATATTTGCCTACTGGATTTGGCCCAAAATTAGCCTGATTATTTATTTATTTATTTATTTATTTATTTATTTATTTATTTTTGAGACAGAGACTCACTCTGTCGCCCAGGCTGGAGTGCAGTGGCATGATCTGCACTCACTTCCACCTCTGCCTCCTGGGTTCAGTCGATTCTCCTGCCTCAGCCTCCTGAGTAGCTGGGACTACAGGCACATGCCACCATGCTCCGCTCATTTTTGTATTTTTAGTAGAGATGGGGTTTCACCATGTTGGCCGGGATGTTCTTGATCTCACGGCCTCATGATCTACCCGCCTTGGCCTCCCAAAGTGCTGAAATTACAGGTGTGAGCCACCACGGCCAGCCAGCCTGATTTTTTAAAATTATAATTTTATTTTTTATATTTTTTATTTCAATAGTTTTTGGGGTACAGGTGGTTTTTGGTTACATGGATAAGTTCTTTAGTGGTGATTTCTGAGATTTTAGTGCACCTGTCACCTGAGCAGTATACAATGTACCCAATATGTAGTCTTCCATCCTTCACTGGCCTCCCAGCCTTCCCCTACAAGTCCCCAGAATTCATTGCATCATTCTTATGCCTTTGTGTCCTCATAGCTTAGTTCATGCTTTTAAGTGAGAACATAAATTATAATTTTCTTTACTCCAGTGTGTATTCCTAAACCATGCTGAATTGTTAATAAGGCAAGAATATAAACATATAAATGAAAAAGTTTGAATAAAACTTACTGGAAAAGCAAAGAAATATCATTTGAAACATTTAACAAGGGTTAAATACATCTGAAGTGATAAAAAGCTTACTTCAATGCCAGCCTTATGGCTAGTGACAGGCAGAACAATGCCGCCCCCCGCCACCCTCTGCCCCCGGATGTCTTAGTCCTAATTCTCAGAATTTGTGATTTTGTTAGGTTATATGGCAAAAGGGAATTTAGGCTGCAGATAGAATTAAGGATATTAATCAGACGACCTTGAGATAAGGAGATTAGCCTGTCTTAGCCAGGTGGGCCCAGTGTAACCATAACAGTACTTATAAACAGAGGAGGGAGGCAGAAGAGAAACAGGGAAATGGCAGTGTGAAAAAGACATGGCCTGATGTTGCTGGCTTTGAAGGTGGAGGGATGAGGCCACAAGCCAAGGGATGCAGGCAGCCTCTAAAGTGGGAAAAAGATCAGGAAACTGAGTCTTCTCTAGAGCCCCCAGAAGGAGCACAGTTCTGCTGCCCCCTTGATTTCAGCCCAGTGAGACTCATTTTGGACTTCTGACCTTCAGAACTGTTACATAATACATTTGTATTGTTTAAGCCACTAAATTTGTGGTAATTTGTTATGGCAGCAATGGGAAAACTTATACATGGATTGACAGAAGGGAAGCTGAAAGTGAAGAGGCAAGTAAAGATCAAGGCACTGTTACACACGGGCAAAGCAGTAGACATGGAATCAGAAATTCCCAGTTACTGTTAGTATCTCTGTAACTCAATTACTTAACCTCTCTGTGTGTCAATACTTTCATCTGTATGAAGGGCTGGTACTTCCTCAGATGGCTGTTGTGAGGAGGAAATGAATCGATGCGAACCCTTAGCACAGTGCGTTTGGAGAGCCCTAACACATGTGCACCGCTGTTGCTGCTGCCACATGCCATCACTACGACTGCCACAGGGTTAATGGTGGTTTTTTGTTGTTGTTTAATGAGTAGGTGTTTATTTACAAAATTATGTGTACCATATATACATAATTCAGACAAAATTCACAAATGAAGGATTACAGATTAAAATTACATTAGCTTTTTGCATATAACAAGGTTTTATTTAGCACATTCAATTAAACGCATGCCTCTAATCACATTGCATTTTTGGTGGTTGCTGCACAGTAGATGACAGGCCTTGGCTTACAGAAGTGAAAACAGACCATCTCAGTGTAAGCAATTATTCTTGAAATTTTGATTGGCAACTTTGGCTCTAGGTTAGTAAAATTAAATTTGCTTCTTATTAATCATGACTATTGGGTACCAATTTAGGGTGTCACTCTTTCATTAAGTTTTTGGAATAGGTCAGAATATACAGAACTACACAATATTAAACATGGTGCTAGGCCAGGCGTGGTGGCTCACATCTGTAATCCCAACACTTTGGGAGTCCGAGGTGGGAGGATCACTTGAGGCCAGGAGTTCAAGACTAGTGTGGCCAACATGGCGAAACACTGTCTCTACTAAAAATACAAAAATTAGCTGGGTGTGGTGGAGGGTGCCTGTATTCCCAGCTACTCAGGAGGCTGAGGCCGGAGAATCGCTTGAAGCTGGGAGGCAGAGGCAGCAGTGAGATGAGATTGTGCCACTGCACTCCAGCCTGGGCAACAGAGTAAGACTCCATCTCAAAAAAAAAAAAGAAAGAAAATGGTGCTAATGTTTGCAATTGAGAATCTCCGCAATGTAAATTTTTTACTTGATAGTTCTAATTAAAAGTGTCAGTTTTCACATTCTATATATAATTCCTATAATTATACATCATTTAAATTTTTTATTTTAAAAAAATTTATGTTCATAAGAAGTTGCAAAATAGTATAGAGAGTTCCCCTATGTCCTTCACTCATCTTTCTTCAGTGCTAATATTATCAAAACCAGCAAACTGATGCTGGTACAATGTTAACCATAACTACAGATCTTATTCAGATTTCACAGTTCTTACACATACTTTTTTTTTCAGTATACAAGTTCTATGAAATTTTTTCATATGTATAGGGTTGTGTAACCATTACCATGATCAGGATACAGAATTGTGCTGTCACCACAAAGAAACTCCTTGTATTACCCCTCACAGTCACACTGTCCCCTGTCCCTAAGCCCTGGCACTGACTGATCTGCTCGCCATCATTATAATTTTGTCATTTTGAGAATGTTACATAAATGGATTTATATTTCAACTTTTGAGATTGCCTTTTTTTCAAGCCAATTCACTCAGTGTAATGCCTTTGAAATCTATCCACGTTGCTATATGTGTTAATAGTTTGTTCCTTCTTATTAATGAGTAGTGCACCATTATATGGGGGTACCAGTTTATCCATTCACCTGTTGAAGAATATTTGTTTACAGTTTTGGGCTCTTACAAATGAAACTGCTATAAACATTCATGTACAGGTTTTTGTGTGAATATAAGCTTCATTTCATTTCATTTCTTTCTTTTTTTTTTTTTTTTTTGAGACTGAGTTTTGCTCTGTCACCCAGGCTGGAGTGTAGTGGTGCCATCTCAGCTCACTGCAACCTCCCCCTCCCAGGTTCAAGCAATTCTCTGCCTCAGCCTGCTGAGTAGCTGGGATTACAGGTGCCCACCACCACGCCCAGCTAATTTTTTTGTATTTTTAGTAGAGATGGGGTTTCACCATTTTGGTCAGGCTGATCTTGAACTCCTGACCTTGTGATCCACCCACCTCAGCCTCCCAAAGTGCTGAGATTACAGGCGTGAGCCACTGTGCCCAGCCCATAAGCTTCATTTCTTTAGATAAATACCCAGTTTTGTAAGGTTTTAGGAGTTAAGATCATTGGTGGTAAAATACTTTGTAAATGGCAATGCTCACTTCAAACTTAAGGTGGGTTATTCTGAGTTATATTAAGAATGATAAACAGTGACAAAAGGCTGAAAAATTTGGGGAGAATATGTGGTAAGAGTTGGCAGCAAAGGGAACCAAATTTTGAGTTTTTTACTTTGTAGAAAATAAAATGCTGTTAACGGAAAGTGTGAGACATAGGGGCAGCCTTTTATACAGTGGAAATGTGGGATTGAACTAAAAACAAAAGACTGAAATATCTTGGTACATTGGCAGTGCACCAGCCACTGAAGGATGTACACGATTAGTGGAGAGAATATTAATAGGAAGAAAGAAGAACAGAGACAGAAAGGCAGATTCATTCATTCATCTAGCAAATATTTATTGGGCTCCTACTATTGGCCATGCATTGTTGTTGACCCTAGACCCACCCAGGAACAAGTCTCTGTGTTATGAAGCTTATATTCTAGATAGAGTGAAAGACAATAAACAAGGTAATATGTAAGGGAACGTCAGAGAGTGATAAATACTATATACAAGTGTAAAACAGGGAAAGGAACTGGAGAGAGACTGGAGATGCTATTTTGGAACATATAGTCAGGAAGGCCTCTGTGTGGAGGTGATAGTTTTAGAAGTTTCTGGGGAGCTGAGATCATAGGAAGGAAAGAATTGAGCCAAGACTTGGTTCAGAGGAAGTTGTTGGAAGACAACATAGGAAATTATGACATCTGAACATAAACAAGACCAAATGCACAAAATGTAAGGACAAATATTAAAGTACATTAAGATGCAAAGCATCTCTATGACAAGTTACCTAAAAAAAGAGTTAAGCTGTAGACTTTGGTGCTTTTTTTTTTTTTGAGATGGAGTTTTGCTCTTATTGCCCAGGCTGGAGCATAATGGCGCAGTCACTGCAACCTCCGCCTCCCGGGTTCAAGCGATTCTCCTGCCTCAGCCTCCTGAGTGAGTAGGTGGGATTATAGGCATGTGCCACCATGCCCAGCTAATTTTGTATTTTTAGTAGAGACGGGGTTTCATTGTGTTGGCCAAGCTGGTCTCAAACTCCTGACCTCAGGTGATCTGCCTGGCTTGGCCTCCTAAAGTGTGGGGATTACAGGCTTGAGCCAATGTGCCCGGCCAAGACTTTGAAATGATATTTAGGAGTGTAAATTAGCACAGTCAATTTCAAGATAATTTGTTATATACATTCATAGGAAGAAGGAAATTTTTGGTTTTGGGGGTCAGGGACCAAGTCATTATCAGGGTATGCTGCATTTCTTTTACTTTATATAACTGTGTCTTTCTGTGTTCTACAGAGAAACAGCTTGAAAATGGGGTACTATCCAAATGTCAGTTAGTGTTATTATTGATGATTTTGTGACTCCTACTGTGCCTCTCATGCACTATGATGGTAAAATGTATCCGTTCTCTAAAGAAAGGCACTATGGCTGCAGTGAGCCATGGTCATGCCACTTCACTCCAGCCTGGGCAACAGAGCAAGACCCTGTCCCAAACAAAGCAAAACAAAACAAAAGCAAAACACTATCCTTATCCTTTTTCTTTTCTTTTGACAATATAGGCAGATAATAATGTTCAAGTTTTCTTGGAAGATCAGGAAAAAAAATAGTGAAATAGATCATCTTTATTCCTGCATTATTTTTGTGCAGAGAGGGATGTTCCCATTCTACCATCCTCTGCAGCTTTTCTCTAGACAGGATGTCTACTTTTCTACTGACTACCTTTTCCAGGGTAGGAGGGTAGGGCAGGGCATTGGAAAGAGGTGAGCTTTAGGTCAGTTTTAACAAAACACAATGTTATAGATACAATTGAAGCCCCTTTTGAAGCTCTTTGCAATCTCAATTCCCTGACTCCTTTGCCAATATGTATTCTTCCTATATTTTCATACTTTTGGTACATATGAATGTATCTGTAAATAATGGATATTAATACTATTAAGTCTTACATAAATGGTATCTTAAATGTATCCTTTTGCAAATTACTTTTCCATTCACCATTATGATTTGAGATTTACTCATATGGATTCATGTTGTTCCTTCACGTAACTTCATTGCTATATTCTACATTTATTCATCCATTTCCTTACTTGTGATAGACAATACTATGGTGAATATTTTCTGTATGTGTCCCCTTAGGCACATCCATGATGGTTTCTTCAGGGCAGTGATACTCAAAGTGTGATGCATGAACCAGCAGCATCAGTATGACCTGGGATTTGTTAGAAATGTAAATTTTTGGGCTTTAACCCATGCTTACTGAATCAGAAACGGGGGTGGGGTGGGGTGGGGCCTACCAAACTACTTTAATAAGTTCTCCAGTGATTCTGACGCACACTAAAGTTTGAGAATTACTGTTCTAGCTATAATTTTATAGAATTGCTGGGTTATAGGATATGTGTATTTACAAATTTATGAGATTTAGACAAATTGTCTTTAAAGTGATTGTGCTAATTTACACTCTATTTTTAAAAAAGCTTAAGTAATGTTTTTGTTACTTTAATACATTGAATATTAATTTATTAAGCTGAAGTAACATCTCATCTGTCCATACAGGCAGCCCTTGAAGACATTTTGTTTTACTTTATTTTATTTTTTTTGAGATGAAGTCTCACTCTGTTGCCCAAGCTGGGGTGCCGTGGTACAATCTCAGCTCAGTGCAGCCTCCGCCTCCCGGGTTCACGCCATTCTCCTGCCTCAGCCTTCCAAGTAGCTGGGACTACAGGCGCCCGCCACTACGCCCGGCTAATTTTTTTGTATTTTAGTAGAGACGGGATTTCACTGTGTTAGCCAGGTTGGTCTCGATCTCCTGACCTTGTGATCCGCCCGCCTCGGCCTCCCAAAGTGCTGGGATTACAGGCGTGAGCCACTGCGCCCGGCCAATTTACACTCTTAAATATAGTTTCTGCCCATAGATTTTAACTTTTTAAAAAAGTTGTGGGGAAATGGCGGCTTCAGGAGAGAGCGGGACTTTGGGCGGCGGAGGCGGCACAGAGGAAGCATTTATGACCTCCTACAGTGAGGAATAAAGATGGCATACAGCATACCTCATATTCATTCCAACCCTGACAGTGACACCAAGAATGTTTTCCTGGGACTGCCTGGTGCTTGTTCTCCCGGGCCTTGTCTTCAGGGGAAACAAATAGAGAAGGGAGACTTGGTTCTAACATCCAAAAACCACATTGAAAGACTGACCCGTCCTGGTTCCTCTTACTTCAATTTGAACCCATTTGAGTTTCTTCAGATAGATCCTGAAGTTACAGATGAAGAAATAAAAAAGAGGTTTCGGCAGTTATCCATCTTGGTGCATCCTGACAAAAATGAAGATGATGCTGACAGAGCACAAAAGGCTTTTGAAACTGTGGACAAAGCTTACAAGTTGCTACTGATCAGGAGCAAAAGAAGAGGGTCCTGGATGTAATTTAGGCAGGAAAAGAATACGTGGAACACACTGTGAAAGAGAGAAAAAAAAAAAACAATCAAAGAAGGAAGGAAAACCTACGATTGTAGAGGAGGATGATCCTGAGCTGTTCAAACAAGCTGTATATAAACAGAAAATGAAACTCTTTGCTCAGCTGGAAATTAAAAGGAAAGAGAGAGAAGCCAAAGAGATGCATGAAAGGAAACGGCAAAGGGAAGAAGAGATTGAAGCTCAAGAAAAAGCCAAACGAGAAAGAGAGTGGCAGAAAAACTTTGAGGAAGGTCGAGATGGTCGTGTGGACAGCTGGCGAAACTTCCAAGTCAATACAAAGGGGAAGAAAGAGAAGAAAAATCGGACCTTCCTGAGACCACCGAAAGTAAAAATGGAGCAGCATGAGTGACCACCCGGGGTCACAGGCACAGAACCTTCCCCCTGCTATCTCCCTTCCTGCTTCGAAGGACTCATTCTTTCCTCCCACTTCCACCTCAACATAGAGTAGTATTTGCTTTTTAGTCTGTTTCGTTTTGAATACAATTTAATATCGATCAGAGTAATTCTTTTGTACAATGAAATGAGGGGACTGGTTTAAAAAAAGACCTTCCTCCTCCCTGCCCCTAGAACAACCAGGATTGGAAGGTGGCACCATTGGTGCTGCCTTCTCTTCCCACAGCCTGTAACTCAGTGTTTTGTACTTCACTGAATTGTGATGGTTAGAAACTTCGTCCTAGTTTGTGGAAATCATCCAATTAAACATATTACTTAAAATGGTGTTGCTGTGACGTCAGAGACAGGCCTGGAAGGGGCACTTTGGAAGCCCCTTGGCTTCAGTTGCTCGCTTCTGGGTGTGCTCCCTTAGAAGGCCCAGATAAGACAGGGAACACCTGTGGGCACACAGAACAGGCACCTGATGCCCTGATGCCCTGTGGTGTTTGGCATGTGCCCCCTGTCTACTGACCAATCAGCATGGCATGAGGCCCACGCCACCCAAACCTTTCACTTTCCAAAGAGCTAGCCGTCCTCCTCCCAGTACCATGGTGTCCTAGCCTGTCTGCATTTGTTAGTAGTAATATTCTTTATGTATAATAAATTTTTATAACTACCCCCCCAAAAAAGTGGTAACTATTGTCATAGAGAAGCTTTGCTTTTTGTTGTTTTTTAATAATTTCAGCTTTTATTTTAGATTCAGGGAGTACACGTGCAGGTTTGTTACATGCGTACATTGCTTGATGTTGAGATGTGGAATACAAATGATCTTGTCACCCCGGATAGTGAGTATAGTACCCAGTAGGTAGTTTTTTAATTCTTGCTCCATTCCCCCCTCGCCGCTCTAGTAGTCCCCATATCTATTGTTTCCATCTTCATTTCCATGAGTTCCTAATGTTTAACTCCCACTTATAAGTGAGAACATGCCATATTTGGTTTTCTGTTCCTGCGTTAATTTGGAGAAGCTTTACATTTTTTTTTTTTTTGAGATGGAGTCTCGCTCTGTCACCAGGCTGGAGTGCAGGGGCTTGATCTTGGCTCACTGCTACCTCCACCTCCAGGGTTCAAGCGATTCTCCTGACTCAGCCTCCCAAGTAGCTGGGACTACAGGTGCATGCCACCATGTCTGGCTAATTTTTGTATTTTTAGTAGAGGCAGGGTTTCACCATGTTGGCCAGGATGGTCTAGACGTCTTGACCTCATGATCTACGCGCCTCGGCCTCCCAAAGTGCTGGGATTACTGGCGTGAGCCACCACGCCTGGCCGAAGCTTTACATTTTAATATAGTTTAATTTAATACGTGTGTTTGTTTTATGCTTTTCATCTTGTTTGTGTCCAGATGTCATAGAGAATCTTCTAATCTTCTAAATTGTCTTCTAATTACTTTAAATTTTCATTTTTCCCAATTAGGTGTTTAAACATTTAAAAATTAATCCAAGTATAGTAGTGCTTTTTTCTGACCCAGCTTGCTAAAGGGACAGGGCTCCTGACAACTTTAAAGAATCTGGATGGTCTACTAAAAGATAAATTCAAATAGTGTCATTTTAGGCACAGATTTGTTGTTGGGGGCGCGGTGTGAGAGTGGTGATGGGTAATATGTGCATGGTAACAACAACAATAAAAAATTTCAAGCCTCTTGCCATGTGGCCTGTTGTCCCAGCTACTTGGTGGGGGGTGGGGGGGGTGCTGAGGCAGGAGGATTGCTTAAGGCCAGGAGTTTGAGCCCTTGAATAACCACTGCATTCGGCCTGGGCAACATAATGAGACCCTTTCTCTTAAATCAAAACAATCAAACATCCAACAGGTTTACAATAATGAAAAACAAATTTATTTTAAGATTAATAGGGGAGAAGTTAGCACTGTGTTTTCTACAGTTTTTTAATTTATAGTGTTGGGGATTTTGTGACTTTTTGATTGACTGATTGAGACAGGCTTTGTCACCCAGACTGGAGTGCAGTGGCTCAATCATGGCTCAATGCAGACTTAACCTCACTTTTTGTAGAAACTGGGTTTCACTATGTTACCCAGGCTGGTCTTGAACTGCTGGCCTCAAGTGACCCACTCGCCTTGGCCTCCCAAAGTGCTGGAATTACAGGCGTGAGCTACTGAACCTGGCCCCTTGTGACCTTCTCTATTTTAGTGCATCATAGATGCCATTACATGTGGGTCCCATTCAACACGCAGGCTATGAAAACTGCACTATTTGAAAGTACATTGCTTGCAGATATGGGATTCTTAGTACAAATTCCAAGAAAATAGGGCTTGGGGGGTAATTTGTAGTTTACTGGGAAAGAGCCTTCCAATATTTTCAGCGGATCCCAGAAGATTCCCCATTCTAATCTTGTGGCTGGAACAATGCCGAGCACATAGTAAGTGCTTTATAAGTGTTGATTCACTGATTGATTATAGAAGGTGCTGAACTACCCAAACTTTTGACTTTGACATCTACCTAGAAGTGCTTGTCCTGCAGAGGAAAGCTGAGATCCTGGTATTAACGTATACTATAGAGCAATGATTTATCAAGTCTGCCCACCTGCTATTTTGAGTATTTAAAAATTGCAACAAACATGGTGCTTTGGAATGATTTATTAATGTACAATTTGTACATTAATATTGTTAGGCATGGATTTTAGTTCAACATACTTTGCATTAAGTTCAGTTCAAAGAGTATTTTTGTGAAATTACTGTGTGCTTCACTAACCTCTGAGGGCACAATGATGAGGGCACAATCTCTGCTTTAACTTAATCAGGATGATGCTCCCTCTCTGTATTATAAATATGGAAAACAAGGCCTATCTAATCTTAGTCCATATTTGTCTGGCAAAATTCTTACCTTATATTAAAAAAAACCACACAAAGTCTTTAATCGTATGTCTAAGCCCAAAACAATATTCCCAGTAGGCCTTATGGAATTGGGTAAAGGATTCAACAATAAGGGAAGCAATGTTTCAGAGGGCAGAAGTGAGATGCATGTTGGTTTATGGAACATGAAGGAAATAGTAGGAAGCCGTTATTAATCTAACTACACCATTCCCCATACAAAGCCTGGAAGGAGTCTCCCTGACTAGGAAGTGGTGTCGCGGGGCTCCCCTATCTACAGTTAAATGTGCTTGTGAAGGGTGTCTGTTGCCTTCTTTCTTCTCTAGTATGCACCAGCACCCTTCCACCCACCACTCAATTCTCCTTGTACTTTGGTTTTGCTTTGCCTGGCTCAATTCAGGGCTTTGCAATATAATGTCTAGAGGTTTAGTATTGTCACTGTAGAATCAAATGAGCCTGGAGGTTATTTGGTTTTAATTATCATTCACTGAAACAATCAATGTAGAGGATTTAGTCATTCAAATGGTTACCGGAGGGACATTTAGGTAATTGCAACTGTTGAATGTTCTCTCTTCTGCTAATTGTTTTTATTGAATGAGATTTATATCTAGGTATTAAAGAGAAGTTGTAGCTGTGAGTATCACAGGCCAACATTTTGGAAGGAAGTGGTGGGAAGGAGATCTGGGCCCTAAGCTTGGCCCTGCTTTTCATTTTTTTTTTTTTCATTTTTATTTTTTTGATACGAAGTCTCACTCTGTCGCTGGAGTGCAGTGGTGCGATCTTGACTCACTGCAACCTCTGCCTCCCGGGTTCAAGTGATTCTCCTGCCTCAGCCTCCCGAGTAGCTGGAATTACAGGTGCCCACCGGCATACCTGGCTAATTTTTTTTTTTTTTTTTTAATTTTTAGTAGAGATGGGGTTTTATCATGTTGGCCAGGCTGGTCTCAAACTCCCAACTTCAAGTGATCCGCTCGCCTCGGCCTCCCAAAGTGCTGAAATTACAGGCGTGAGCCACCGCACCCGGCCTTCACTCTTTTATAAATGCCTCACTTCTAGGTTTTCAAAATGTCATGTAAGTATACAGTCTAGTGTCTGTCATCACAAACATGTACATTTGGTCATGTCACTGTGCTTAGTTGCCATAACAGACACTTTTAAGATTATATAAAATAATATGCACTGCCCTAAATGGAATTTTCTGAGTGTAGTATTTTGATTGGGTTTTCAATTTCTTATGTAAGCACCTAAGGTTACCATTCTATTTAGTGCTCTTCAGGATGAAAAATATTTTGTCTTCCCACCTAGTTTCAGTGAATGAGGCCTGCAAATTTAACTGACTAAAGACAGATTAACAGGAAAAAAATGTATGATTTTTATTGATATTAATACTTTTAAATGCATGGAAGCTTCACAGAGATGATGTGAAAACTCAAAGACGTGCTCAGAACTTGAATTTTTTTTTTTGAGATAGTGTTTCACTCTGTCGCTCAGGCTGGAGCGCAGTGGCATAATCTCTGACTGCCAGGTTCAAGTGATTCTCCTGTCTCCATCTCCTGAGTAGATGGGACTACAGGCATGTGCCACCATGCCCCACTAATTTTTGAAATCCACCCGCCTCAGCCTCCCAAAGTGCTGGGATTACAGGTGTGAGCCACTGCACCTGGCCAGAACCTGGAGTTTGTATACCCTTCTTAAAAAAAGAAGATGGGTTTGGGCTTCAAGGGAAAATATTGTGGGAATTGACTAGGAAATATATGAAGGAAACTAATGGGAGATAAGGGTTATTTTAGTAGGGCTTGTTTATGAGGAGTCATCTTGGTGTGACATCTCTGGTAATGAGTCATTCTCAGTTTCCTGGCATAGAGGAGTACCTTCCTCAAAGGAAAATTTATGTCCTGTTTTTAGGCAGATAAAGGGAGGGCAGAGACCTTTTCCTCCATCAGTTGCCTTCAGCTCAAAATAATCCTTATGCCAAAGTGGCATATTTTGGGATGGCATATCCTGATCTCTTTCAGTAGCATCTCCCCATTTTTAGAAAGAAAGAAATGGAAGTATAGTAAGATTAGAGGATTTGGCTCTATTCACATGGCAAATTAGTGGCTTAGCTGGAACCAGAATCCCAATCTTCTGATCATGAGTCTTATAATTACTTTTATTATCTGAAGGTCAGGACCCAGCAGATGCTTTGGTTGGCAACAGAAGCATCAGGGTACACAGACTTTAGTAACCAATTCCTCCTAGACAAATGAGTGTTTACATTTTCAGTCTCAATGAAGGTTAAATTTTAGCATCTAACTACGTTGAAGAAGCGTTTGTACATGTTCTCCTTTTTCTTTATTAAGGAAATGTACACACACACAAAACCTTTACAATCCCATGATTCTGAAATAATGCAATTCCCACTGAAATAGTTATTTTGAGTTATCTTTGAAAGGAATTTTTTACTGGCTCAGTTATTTGTTCTCAGATAATTAGACCTCTTTCTCTACTTTTCAAGTGATTTAGTATCTTTTTTTCTGGATATGAAAGTTCTAAGTCCTCTGTTTATTAAAATTTCCAACATTACAGATATATACAACATGGTTATTAACAATATACTGTGTCTATCACACTCAGAGATAATCACTGCCAATTACTTAGTGTATTTCTCTCTAGGTTTTTTTCTATGTACATACTAAAAATATTTTTTTCACACAAAAATGGGATCATGTTATTCATACTGTTTTTTAAAACTTGAAGTAAAATCTATACAACATAAAATTTATCATTTTAGCCATTTTAAACTGTACAATTCAGTGTCTTTTAGTATAGCCACAATGTTATGCAACCAATTACCACTATTTAATTCCAGAATATTTTTGTCACCCCATAAACACCACCATACCCTATTCATACAGCTTGGCATCTTACTTTCTTACTTAATGCAACCTTCTACGTGAAGATATGTCACATTCTATTTCATAGCTCTATAGCATTTCATTATAAGCACCATAGTTATTTAAACAACTTCAATTAATGGACAGTTGCGTTATTCTGGGTTTTTTTTTTTTCTTTTTTTTTTTAGAGATGGGGTTTGTCCATGTCACCCATGTCACCCAGGCTGGTCTTGACTCAAGGAATCCACCTGCCTCGTCCTCCCAAAGTGCTGGGATTACAGGTATGAGCCACTGTGCTTGGCCTATTCCAGGTTTTTAAAATATTATAAACAGGCCAGGCGCAGTGGCTCACACCTGTAATCCCAGCACTTTGGGAGGCTGAGGCGAGCGGATCACCTGAGGTCAGGAGTTCAAGTCCAGCCTGCCAACATGGTGAAACCCTGTCTCTACTAAAAATACAAAATATTAGCCAGGTGTGGTAGTGGGCGTCTGTAATCTCAGTTACTTGGGAGGTTGAGGCAGGAGAATTGCTTGAACTCGGGAGGCGGAGGTTGCAGCGAGCTGAAACCACGCTACTGCACTCCAGCCTGGGTGACAGAGTGAGACTGTCTCAAAAATAATTAAATAAATAAATAAACAATCTATACTAAATGTCGAACATTTGCACGCTTTTGTGAGATAAATTATTAGAAATAAAAATGTTGAGTCAAAGGGCATGAACATTAAAAATGCAATAAAAATTGTTGTGTTTCTCTCCAAAAAAGTTGTACTAATTAACAATCCCAGCGAGGGTATTTCCCCATTCGTGTTTTCCAATCCTCTTGTCAACCCTGAATATTATACATTTAAAAATTTTTTCCAATCTGATAGGCAGAAATAATTGCATTATTGTTTTAGTTTTTGATTAATTATAAGGGAGGTTGAGCATCTCTTAACATTTCTAGCAATCTGTATTGTGTGTGACTTGCCTGTTCATGCTCTTTGCCCATAGTTCTACTGAGTTGTTTTCTTTTTCTTATTGATTTTTAGTTAGTTAATAAGAAATGTTTGTTTTGGAAGACTTTTTTGGTTTTCATTTTAAATCAACTTTATTCTTCCCTGCGCAGAAACAAATTTTCTTTGAGTCATCTGTGTTAAAAACTTCCAGGCCATTTAGTTAATGAACCTTTTCCTGCTGAAGAGGGCTTGGCCTGTGATGGTCAAAAGGATACTAACACCCTATTTCCCTTTCTTTTAGAGCTACCATCTCCTTTTCTCTCACATTAATTGCTTTGTGTTTTCCCTGCTTGATGTGTTTGACCTTAGGTTTTTCAAGTAGTCCTTCCTTCCTTCCTTATTAATACCCAGCTGGTTTTTTTTTTTTTTTTTTCTTTTTTTTTTTTTTTGAGATGGAGTCTCACTCTGTCACCCACTCTGGAGTGCAGTGGCATGATCTCGGCTCACTGCAACCTCCACCTCCTGGGTTCAAGCGATTCTCCAGCCTCAGCCTCCTGAGTAGCTGGGACTACAGGTGTGCACCACCGCGTCTGGCTAATTTTTGTATTTTTAGTAGAGACAGGGTTTCACTGCGTTGGCCAGGCTGATCTCAAACTCCTGACCTCAGGTGATCCACCCGCCTCAGCCTCCCAAAGTGCTGGGATTACAGGCCTGAGCCACTGTGCCTGGCCCTATCCAGCTGTATTATGTCAGAAGAAAATGAATTCCTTTGGAATTTGGAAACGTTGTATAAGGAAACCCCATTGCATTAGTACTCCTTTCAAGATTTGTCCAATTTTTGTCTCAACCAGAGTATTCTCTGATTTAAAGTTTGTTTTTTGGGCTGGGCACGGTGGCTCATGCCTATAATCCCAGCACTTTGGGAGGCCGAGGCGGGCGGATCACGAGGTCAGGAGATCGAGACCATCCTGGCTAATAAGGTGAAACCCTGTCTCTACTAAATATACAAAAAAAAAAAAATTAGCCAGGTATGTGGCGGGCGCCTGTAGTTCCAGCTACTCGGGAGGCTGAGGCAGAAGAATGGCGTGAACCTGGGAGGTGGAGCTTGCAGTGAGCCAAGATCGCGCCACTGCACTCCAGCCTGGGCAACAGAGACAGACTCCGTCTCAAAAAGAAAAAAAAAAAGGTTTGTTTTTTGGCCAGGTACAATGGCTTACGCCTGTAATCCCAGCACTTTGGGAGGCCGAGGTGGGCGGATCACCTGAGGTCAGGAGTTCGAGACCAGCCTAGCTGACATGGCAAAATCCTGTCTCTACCAAAAACACAACAATTAGCCAGGCGTGCTGGTGCGTACCTGTAGTCCCAGCTGCTCTGGAGGCTGAGGCATGCGAATCACTTGAACTCGGGAGGCAGAGGTTGCAGTGAGCCAAGATCACACTGCTGCTCTCCAGCCTGGGTGACAGAGTGAGACCCTATCTCAAAAAAAAAAGTTTATTCTTTGGAGTCCACCTGCTCTAAATGTTTTTTGGACTCAGAGTGAAGCCCTCACCTCAAAGCCAATGACAGCCATTAATTCTTTGTCAGTGTCAGAATGCTTGCCTAAATTCCAGGTTAGTTGGTCGTATGTAATTTTCCTGAGCTGCCTATAGTGGGAGCCCTTTTCTGCTTTTTTTTTTTTTTTTTTTTTTTGAGACAGGATCTTGCTCTGTCACTGAGGCTGAGGTGCAGTGGAGCTATCTTAGTTCAATTACAGGCGTGAACCACTGCGCCCAGCCTCTACTTCTTTTTATAAATTATTTATTTATTTGTTTGTTTATTTAATTTAGTAGAGACAGGGTCTTGCTATGTTGCCCAGGCTGGTTTCGAACTCCTGGCCTCAAGGGATTCTCCTGCCTCAGCCTCCCAAAGTGCCGGGACTATAGGCATGAGCCACCAGGCCTGGCCCCTCCTCCCTTTCCTCATTCAAACGACTATCCTGGGTTTCTGTGTGCTATCAGGTAGTGCTTTGCCCCAGAAGCAGCAGCAATGACCTCTGGGGCTAGATTGAGTTATTAATGAAGCCCCGTGGGATCCTTTGCAAAAGAAGAGTTGTTATAAATGGGAGGTGTGTCCTATATGGGTCTCAGGGGAGCTGAAAACAAACCAAGGATAAAAAAATGATGCCACAGCTGCTACCACCTGTGAGTAATGTGAGGGTGAAATGTTGACAACACACAGATTCCCCAGAGGAAGCTTGGGGTTGACAGAGTCACAATACTGCCATGCTTTTTTTCATGGTCTTAGCATTGATTTTCAAATTACACATTCACTTAAAGCCTAACCTGACCACTCGGGTGTGGGACTGGGTGGCTATGCAAGGCCCACAGCAGCTTTATTTTCTCCACTACCAAGCATCAGTGTGGGAACAAATCAGGCATTCTAGGTCCTTTTCAGCTACCAAGTGGCCAATGAACTTCATTCAGAGATGAGGCAAGCCAGCAGGATTTTCCTTTCCATGCATTTGACAATGTATAGAATGAAGTTTTGTTTTGTTTTCAAGAGAAAGAGCACAATATTACTCGGCACCTTTCTGTACTAGCTTCCACTTCCAAAGGGAGAGACCAAGTACTCCCTTAGTTGGTTCTTTCATATGGCTAGTTATGCCACTGGTACCTTCAGAAACATTAGCGCCCACCTCTATGGCTTCCTGAATGTTGCTAAGGTCTTTAACTGGCATGATCAATTTCTCGGGGGTCTTACATTTTGTTATATAACTAACTTTTCCTCAATTATATACATTACACATATTGCTGGTAGAAAAATCTGGAAAAGTATAAAAGAATGAAAAGCAACTGCATTCTTCTTATCAAAGAAAACCACTATTATTATCTTGATATATATATCCTTCCATGTTGTATATACATATATAGTTGATTCTCATTATCTTGGTAGTCAAGCTTTATAAAGGCATTGGGAACAATGAATTAGCAAATAGCCGTTGTTCCTAGGGGAAGTATAGAGTTAGGTTCCTGTGAACCTCTGGTCATAACATTTTCATCAACTGATCAATACATAACCTTGATTATTTGTGTATTTATGTTTAAATACACTAATCTATATTGTTGATTCATTAACATTGAACTCAAGGCTAACAGCACTATCACTCATTCCTGAATGAAACTTATCTTAACACAGGTATTTTCTCTGTAAAGCACATCACAGACTCTTTAACTGAGAAACACTTGACAGTACTTCAGCATTATGCTTGGGGGTATTTTATTTATTTATGTTTTGAGGCAGGGTCTCACTGTCGCCCACGCTGGAGTGCAGTGGCATGGTCACAGCTCACTGCAGCCTCAACCTCCTGGCTCAAGAGATTCTCCCACTTCAGCCTCCCATGTAGCTACTACAGGGATGCACTACCATACCTGGCTAATTTTTTTTTTTTTTTTTTTTTTTAGTAGAGATGAGGTCTCACTATGTTGCCCAGGCTGGTCTTAAACTCCTGAGCTCAAGCAATCCTCTGGCCTTGGCCTCCCAAAATATTGTGATTATAGGTGTGAACCACTGTGCCTGGCTGGCTTTTATTTTTTTGGGACAGAGTCTCACTCTGTTGCCCAGGCTGGAGTGCAGTGGTGTGATCTTGGCTCACTGAAAACTTGACCTCCTAGGTTCAAGTGATTCTCATGCCTCAGCCTCCTGGGAAGCTGCGATTACAAGCATTCACCCCACACCTAGCTAATTTTTGTATCTTTAGTAGAGATGGGTTTCACTATGTTGGCCAGGCTGGTCTTGACCTCCTGGCCTCAGGTGATCCACCTGCTTCGGCCTCCCAAAGTGCTGCGGTTACAGGCATGAGCCACTGTGCCTGGCCCTGGCCAGCATTTTAAACAGTGACATAATCAACAAAAAACACAAAACTGTGAAATACATGGCACTAAATAAACCATGAAAAGGAGTATTTATTTATGCTATAAGAGCTGAAACAAGAAGGCAGAGTATCGCCTTGTTTGGCCTCAGCTGGGAATGTGCACATCAGGTGACGCAAAATTTTTGGCACTCTGCGCAAGTCTGCAAATGACCACAAAAGTGCTGAAAGTATTGATTTTGGGGTCAAATAAGTTTTAGTGATTAGATGAATTTACAAATGCAGAATCTGTGAATAATGAAGATCAACTACACTGTAACATACTTTTTCACTTACCAATATATGATTTTTCTTTTTCTTTTTCTTTTTTTTTGAGACAGAATCTTGCCCTGTTGCCCAGGCTGGAGTGCAGTGGCACAATCTTGGCTCACTGCATCCTCCACCCTGCAAGGTTCAAGTGATTCTGTGTCTCAGCCTCCCAAGTAGCCGGGATTACAGGTGTCTGCCACTACACCCAGCTAATTTTTGTATTTTTAGTAGAGACAGGGTTTCACCATGTTGGCCAGGCTGGTCCTGAACTCCTGACCTTAAGTGATTCACCCACCTCAGCCTCCCAATGTGCTGGTATTACAGGTGTGGGCCACCGTGCCCAGCCCCACTATATGAATTTTAATGGCTATATATTAGTCCAAGATATGAATGTGCTATGATTTATTTAACCATTTTCCTAATCTTGACATTCCATTTGTTTTCAACTTTTTACCCTTTTACTGTCATCCTTGAATATAGATCTTGTTCATATCTGTTATTTATTTGGATATATTCCTACAAGATAAATTTGGTTCCAGTCATTTTTTTTTTCTTTTTTTTTTTTTCTTTTTTTTTTTCTGGAGACAGGGTCTCACTCTGTAACCCGGGCTGGAACGCAGTGGCATGATCACAGCTTACTGCAACCTCTGCCTCCCAGGCTCAAGTGATCCTCCCACCTCAGCCTCCTGAGTAGCTGGGATTACAGGTGCGCATTACCATGTCTGGCTGATTTTGGTATCTTTAGTAGAGACAGGGTTTTGCCACGTTGGCCAGGCTGGTCTCAACTCCTGGGCTCAAGCAGTCCTTCTGCCTCGGCCTCCCAAAGTGCTGGGGTTACAGGAGTAAGCCATTGCACCCAGCCCAGTCTTTAAATACAGAGTGTTATATAGTTATGTTTTGCATAATCTATATGTAGTCCATATTTTTATGTGCAAAGGGTTAACTCAGCAGGTGTAGGTATACAAATCCTGCACATTCCAGACATCTTCAGGACTGGCCTCTGACCAACTCCTGGGAGATAACCTCTAAACCCTTGGAATATCCTGCCTGACAAGAATGTCTGTTTGTGTTTTTCTTTTTTGAGACAGGGTCTTGCTCTGTTGCCCAGGCTGGAGTGCAGTGGTGCCATCACGGCTCACTGCAGCCTCGACCTCCCAAGCTCAATCAATCCTCCTGCCTCAGCCTCCCAAGTAGCTGGAACTACAGGTGTGTACCACCATGCCTAATTTTTGTATTTTTTGTAGAGCTGGGGTTTCACTAGGTTGCACAGGCTGGACTTGACTCCTGGGCTCGAGAGACCTGCCCACCTGAACCTCCCAAAGTGCTGGGATTACGGGCATGAACCACTGCGCCTGGCCAAGAATGTCTTTGTATAGTGATCATAGGCCATGTCAGATAAGTTACACTTGTGTGATTTATGGTGAACACCTGTTCTTGTTTACCTAGGGCCCAGGACCATACTGTATCAGTTAGGCATCTGAGGACCTGGAGACTGAGTAGCTAAGGTCAGTCACATAGGTGCTCTGTGTAATATACTGCCCTTTCCTCCCAAAAAAACCTTGGACATCTAGGCTCAGATGAGTCTCCCTGGTTAACAATACTTTGTACATATTGTCACATTGTAGCTGGGAGAATTCAGAGATCTGCTGGGAGAGTACAACTCAAAGCTTGCACTTGGTTTCTCCTGGACTCTGCTTCATGCACCTTTCTCCTTTGGTGATTTTAATCTCTATTTTTTTCTGTAATAAGCCCTAATCATTAGTATAACAGCTTTTCTGAGTTCTGCGGGTCATTATAATGAAGGATTGAAGCTAAATGTGGTTTTGGGGACCACCCCCCAAAGCAGTCTATTATATATTTATATACACATGTAGGATTATGTGCACCAAAACATATATAATGTATTTTATGGGAGATTTAAGAGGTTTTCAAGGGTAATTGGCTGTATTATACTTGATTTTTGCCTTACATTCTATTTTTAGAAACCAATCCTTATCAGCTGCAATTCCACTATTAAACATCTTTTTGAATGCTTATTGGCCATTTGAATTTCTTCCTCTGTGAATTGTCTATTCACGTTCTTTTTCTTGGCTGAGCCATTTTTGAATTTAGAAAAGAGTAAGCATATTCACATATACACAAAGGAAATCAAATTTTATTTCCCTGTTGGTACATACAGCTTGGGGTTTTCTATATGATTAGCAATTTGCTTTGTCTAAGTAATCCCTAAAATTGTTCACTCCCTCAGGAACACCAGCATTCTCCAATATCTAATTTTCTTATGTCTAGCCTCTATTTTTAAGTCATGTCATCTCTTAAGCCTTCTTTTTTTCGGGGCAAAACTTTCACTCACTGAATTTAGTTGATTTTCTTTTCTAATGTCTTTATACATTTTCCCTACATTGCCACCTTTCAAAATCAGACTTTCAGAATCTTCACATTTGATTAGTATAATAGTCTTCCTATGAATCCAGTAACTTCTACCCTTAAATCCATCCTGCAGATGCCAGATTAACCTTTGTAAAGCATTGATTTATTGTACCACTTTCTTGCTCAAAATATTCCAAGATTCTCTTTAGTTTCCCTTATTATATATGGGAACCTTTGGGGCCAGACTTGGAGATCTGGATGTTTTGAGCTTTGCCCACTTGATTTTCTCATGCAATCCACTCCCAAGAGAAAGATACTGTCTTAGTCCATTTTCTGTTGCTATAACTGAATACCTAAGACTGAGAAATTTATAAAGAAAATAAATGTATTTAGCTCAAGGTTCTGGAGGTTGGCAAGTCCAAGAACATGGTGTCAGCATCTGGTGAGGCTTTCTTGCTGCATTATAACATGGTGGAGGGCAACACATGGTGAGAGGGCAAGAGTGTGCCAGCTCCAATTTCTCTTCCTCTTCGTATAAAGCCACCAGTTCCATCATGGTGGCCCCACCCTGGTGACCTTATTTAATCCTAATTATTTCCCAAAGGCCCTACCTCCAAATACCATCAACATATGAATTTGAGGATTAAGTTTCCAACACATAAAATTTGGAGGACACATTCAAACTATAGCAGATGCTGAAATAGGACAGAGGTCCATTTCTGTGTGGTTAGTCCAAATGTGCTGAGCCAGGAAGAAGATAAATTGTGAACTAGGGGGTTGAAGTGGTAGTAGACATTAAAGCTTGGCTAAGGTGGTTCTAAAGTAATTGTTATTTACTGGTAAAATCAAGCTTGAAGAAGGAAAAGAGTGTGATCCATAACAATAGAATTGTATGTAATGGATGCCAGGCCCTGATTACAGTATGCTTTTATGTTTGGCCTTTGCTTCTAGAGGCTTCACTCCTGTTCTGAACTCTTAGTCTGCATTGTGAATTGGAGGTGGACTCCGGGTTTCTCCAAGTTCTTTCAAGGGAATTAGTGTTAGGAAGGCAATTAGGAATATGTGTAAGGCAGGCTGCAGATCTCTCAGGTATTACCCTCAGAGATTGACCCATTCTTGTGTATATTTTGCTTGGGTACACATGTATAGGACCCTGCAATGGGTGGACTGCTGTGGAGTATGTAGGGTTACTGGAAGACCTAGTAGACCAAGTATGCTCTCATAGCACCCAATCCAGTCTGGAGTCTAGACTTTAATGGCTAGGACATAAAAAATAATGTTGCTTCTACAGGAGACCTTAATGACCCACAGAACCATATCAGTAAAGTCACTGGAGAAGGAATATGATGAAAGCTGTAGGGGAGTAAAACTTTTCCTTAACCCTCCTAGGGTTCTTGGCTGGGCCTGAAAACTATGTTGACAGGACAGATTAACATGAGAAGAGCAAACACATTTATTTAATATAAGTTTTACATGACATAGGAGCCTTCATAAGGAAAGGAAGACCCAAAGAATGGTTAGCTTGAGGTTAAGCCAGTTCAGGTTAAGCCTGAGCACTTTTATATTTGATTTAATGAAGAGTGGAGTGTTGTGGGAAAATGTGATAGGACAAAGGATATGAACTAAGGATAGTAAACTGGAGGAAACATAGCAAGGCCCATTCCCTCAAATTCCTCTCAGCATCCTTCCGTCTTCTGACATAAGGATGCTCCCTTCCTCCAGTTATAGGGAGGGCACCTCTTCTGTGAGGGTCTTATGACGTGCTCTGGCGAGAAAGGGGAGGTTAGAGAGTCCTTCCTGCAATGGCTGCTTCTCAAATTCCTTCAGCTTAAAATATTCAATATGCCAAGGTGCCATATTTTGGGGTAGCATGTTTTGAACCCCATCAAACCCAACAGGACCAGGCAGGACCATATTCTTGTGAAATCTGCAACTGGGGTGATACAGGTTTAGTTCTAGAATCCATTTCTGGATGAGGATCCATTTGCCTGTCTTTCTTATCCCTGCCTTATTTAGAAAAAGATTTGAGACTGCATCAGACATGGGTTGTTGGAAGAACAGGGCCAACTTTGACTGTTTTTGACTGAACTTGAAAGGAGATCCCAGTTGGTAGAGATGTCTCAGATGTTATGGGTGCCAGGCCTCTCCCAAGCAGTGTTGAAGTCAGCCATCACTGTAGGAGCTCTTTCACCCAGAAGAGCTGTGGTTTGGGGTTAAACAAAGAGATGCATTTACAAAAGAAGTATGTTTAAGCTACGAGAGTATTTGTCTAGAGCAGATTACCAGATTTTGTCCCTGGAAATTATAATCATAGATCTAGGTTTGGGTTCAGGAATCTGGGGTGTTTCTTCAGAGAGGCTTGGGAAATACTGGCCTAGGATTTGTTTGTGAAAAAATAGTCCTGGCTGAGGTTGGAAGTATTGATCTTTTCCATGAAAAGGCATTGTGAGTTGAAGGAAATTAACATTATAGCATGAATGAAAAGTCTCTTTAATTTGCTGAAAAGCTTGACTTTATCCATCCAAGGAACCGAATGGATAATAGACCTTGAATAGATTCATCAGCAGGGTGGTGACATGGATGAAATGTGGGATGAATCCAAGGACCTTCTATATATCCTTAATGATTTGGGAAGGGGGATGCTACTTTAGGACTGTGGCAATCTTTGTTGGCATCAATCATCTGAACTTGGGTTAGCAGACAATATGTCCTAAGAACCTGTCTCAACCAGCTCCTATAACCATTTCTTCTAGTGTGTATTCACAGAGGGAGCACCCTAGATGATGTCATCTGAGGGTTTGTTATAATGTTAGATCTGGGGAGTAAATGTGTCATCTTGAGGGACAGTACAGGCATGTGTTCATACAAAAACATATCCTGGTTAAGAATCCTTGCTTTCGAGAAATCTGTGGCCTCAACTTGAGATTTATGGTAACCTGGCTACAGACTCAGCCTTGCCTAACTGCCCATAATTCTCTTGCTTTATCTCTCCTATTTCTCTAATGCTTTAGCAGACTGGCATCTGGATTGAATAGACTCCCTGACCCTGTCCTTCATCCACTATGACTTGTATGGGGCATTTTGATATTCCTTTAGTTTGGGTTGGCCTAGCAATTCTGGTAGTACTTGCTCTCAGAAGCAGTCTTGACTGGATCAGTTTATTGTCCTAGGCTTTTCCCCCTTCTTCTATTCCAGTCTCAAGAAGCCAGGTCCTAGAAGGTTAAATTGGCATTCAAGATTGTATTAGTCAGGGTTCTCTAGAGGGACAGGACTAACAGGATAGATATATATATATATATGAAAGGGAGTTTATTGAAGAGTATTGACTCACACGATCATAAGATGAAGTCCCACAATAGGCCGTCTGCAAGCTGAGGAGCAAGGAAGCCAGTCCGAGTCCCAACACCTCAAAAGTAGGGAAGCCAACAGTGCAGCCTTCAGTCTGTGGCTGATGGCTGGAGAGCCCCTGACAAACCACTGGTGTAAGTCCAAGAGTCGAAAAGCTGAAGAACTTGGAGTCCAATGTTCGAAGGCAGGAAGCATCCAGCACAGGAGAAAGATGAAGGCTGGAAGAGTCAGCCAGTCTAGTCCTTCCACGTTCCTCTGCCTGCTTTTATCCTAGCTGTGCTGGCAGCTGGGTGGGCAGATGGTGCCCACCCAGATTGAGGGTGGGTCTGCCTCTCCCAGTCCACTGTCTCAAATGTTAATTTCAGGACTGGGTGTGGTGGCTCATGCCTGTAATCCCAGCACTTTGGGAGGCTGAGGCAGGTGGATCACTTGAGGTCAGGAGTTCAAGACCAGCCTGGCCAATGTGGTGAAACCTCCTTTCTACTAAAAATACAAAAATTAGCCAGACATGGTGGTGGGCGTCTGTAATCCCAGCTACTCGGGAGGCTGAGGCAGGAGAATCGCTTAAACCTGGGAGACGGAGGTTGTGGTGAGCCGAGATTGCGTCACTGAACTCCAGCCTGGGCGACAGAGTGAGACTCCCATCTTAAAAAAAAAAAAAAAGTTAATTTCCTTTGGCAACACCCTCACAGACACACCCAAGAACAATACTTTGCATCCTTCAATCCAATCAAATTGACACTCAATATTAACCATCACAAAAATCTTCAACAGATCCTAATTTACCTAAGTTTTTTACCCACCAATCTCTCATGTGAAATCTTGGCATGTGAAGACTGGCTCAATCAATTGCACCCAGACAATGTCTAGCCCATTGTCATCCTTTTTTCACCACATATACTTGGATATCCCCTTCCCCTTCTCTGAATCTATCTGCACTCCTCTGTTTTTTTGTTTTGTTTTGTTTTTGAGATGGAGTCTCACTCTGTCACCCAGGCTGGAGTGCAGTGGCATGATCTTAACTCACTGCAACTTCCACCTACTGGGTTCAAGCGATTCTAATGCCTCAGCCTCCCAAGTAGCTGGGACTACAGGTACATGCCACCATGACTCGCTAATTTTTGTATTTTTAGTAGAGACAGGGTTTCATCATGTTGGCCAGGCTGGCCTCGAACTCTTGACCTCAAGTCATCTGCCTGCCTCAGACTCCCAAAGTGCTGGGATTACAGGTATGAGCCACCACGCCTGGCCTCCTCCGGTTTTTAGAATAACTTTTGCTTTTCATTATAAAATTATTACATGTTTACTGTAGGTAATTTGAAAAACATGGAGCAAACAATCTATAGAAAAGATAACCCAGGTTAGAAAAAGGTTGTTTCTTCCAACCTTTTTTTCCTATGTGTACAAATGTAAATGTGGGATTAGTAGTTATTGATAATATGAATATTTTGTGTGTGTGTGTATATATATATATATATATATATATATTTTTTTTATGGAGATGGAATCTTGCTCTGTCGCCCAGGCTGGAGTGCAGTTGTGCGATCTGGGCTCACTGCAACCTCCGCCTCCTGGGTTCAAGCAATTATCCTACCTCAGCCTCCCGAGTAGCTGGGACTACAGATGCATGCCGCCACGCCCAGCTAATTTTTTTTTTTTTTTGTATTTTAGTAGAGATGGGGTTTCACCATGTTGCCCAGGCTGGTCTCGAACTCCTGAGCTCAGGCAATCCACCTGCCTTGGCCTCCCAAAGTGTTAGGATTACAGGCGTGAGCCACTGCACCTGGCCTATATATTGTCTTTTTTTCAACTTAATAGTTCTTCAATCCTTCCTCTCCCTCTCCAGAACAACAAATTCCTCAATGAATCTCATGCAAGACATTTTAACCTCTTTCTTTAATACCTTAGGGGCTCCATCTTCTTCAGATATTATGCAAAAAAAGTTTGTGATGTAAAAAAATGCAGGCTGGGCATGGGGGCTCACGCCTGTAATCCCAGCACTTTGGCAGGCTAAGGCAGGAGGATCACTTGAGTCCAGGAGTTCAAGACCAGCCTGGGCCACACAGTGAGACCCTGTCTCTACAAAAAAATTAAAAATTGGCCAAGTGCGGCAGCATGCACTTGTGGTCCCAGCTACTTGGGAGGCTGAGGCGTGAGGACTGCCTGAGGCCAGGAGTCTGAGGCTGCAGTGAATTGTGTTCATGCCACTGCACTCCAGCCTAGGTGACAGAGTGAGACCCTGTCTCAAAATTTTTTTTTTTCAAATGCTAGCTCTCAAGAGAATAATAAAATTTATCTTGTAATAATAGTACAGGTAAGAAGGGGAGTAATGCATAAATATATTTAAATTTTTGATTATAAAATAATTGTATACTTTTTATGGACACTGGTCAATGTTAGGGGAGGGGAAATGGAAGAAAAAAATCTGTACAATGATCAACATTTTGAAATTTAGGAAAGTTTATATTACATGTAAGAATCCAGAGGCTGGGCACAGTGGCTCACGCCTGTAATCCCAGCACTCTGGGAGGCTGAGGTGGGTGGATCACCTGAGGTCAGGAGTTCAAGACCAGCCTGGCCATGGTGAAACCCTGTCTCTACTAAAAATACAAAAAATTAGCCAGGCGTGGTGGTGTGCACCTGTAATCCCAGCTACTTGGGAGGCTGAGGCAGGAGAATCGCTTGAACCCAGGAGGCAGAGGTTGCAGTGAGCCGAGATGGTGCCATTGCACTCCAGCCCGGGCAACAAGAGCAAAACTCCGTCTCAAAAAAAAAAAAAAAGAATCCAGAAATGTTTTTAATGCTTTATTTCTATTTGATGGTCTGTTTTCTATACATTTAAAAAATAGAATGTTATTACACAGTTTATATCCTTTATTAGTAGTATCTAATGAACATTGAAATAGTCTTTAAAAATGTAACTTTTCTTTTTTTTTTCTTTTTCTTTCTTTTTTTTTAGATGGAGTCTCAGTCTGTTGCCCAGGCTGGAGTGCAGGGGTGCAATCTCAGCTCACTGCAACCTCTGCCTTCTCGGTTCAAGCTATTCTCCTGCCTCGTCTTCCCAAGTAGCTGGGATTACAGGTGCCTGCCACTACATCCAGCTAATTTTTGTATTTTTAGTAGAGATGGGGTTTCACCATATTGGCCAGGCTGCTCTTGAACTCCTGACCTCAAGTGATCTGCCCACCTTGGCCTCCCAAAGTGCTGGGATTATAGATGTGAGCCACGGCGCCTGGCCAAAAATGTAATTTTCATAGTTATATATTCCATCATTTAAATTGAGTACTAAATATAATTAAATCATATTAATTGAAGGTAGATATCTAATTTTTTTTTTTTAACTCAGCACAGTTGTTTACTATTTGTATTTAAAATTGACTCGGCCAGGCACGGTGGCTCACGCCTGTAATCCCAGCACTTTGAGAGGGCGTGGTGAGCGGATCACCTGAGGTCAGGAGTGTGAGACCAACCTGGCCAACATGGTGAAACTCCACCTCTACTAAAAATACAAAAATTAGCTGGATGTGGTGGTTGGCGTCAGTAATCCCAGCTACTCAGGAGGCTGAGGCAGGAGAATCACTTGAACCCTGGAGGTGTAGTTTGCAGTGAGCTGAGATTGCAAAACTGCACTCAAAAAAATAAAAATAAAAATAAAAAATTGACTCAACATTTTCAGCGACAATATTCTCTTTGCTTGATCCTCAGACTAATTCAATGTCAGATTTTTCGTCACTCTTCCCAGATGCAAGAATGTCAAAGCCAGTGGTGAACCCTTAGAGATCAAGCAGACCAACCTCTTCACTTAACAGATAAGGAAACTGGGATTCAGAAGAGTCAAATGGCTTCCTGAAGGCCTCAGAGCTAGTAGTGACCCAGAGGCAAACTCTCTAAGATCTTGATGGGGCCTGGATCCAAACACTGCTTGTCTGGATCTAGAGAAGATACTATAGTTGCAGATAAAATCTACAAAACATGTCCTGAAAATCTTTATATATATCTCCTAGGCCTGTGTCTTTGTGTTCAAGATAGCTAAGTGAGATAGAAAACTATATTATCCCAATAACTTAATTTACTTTTTTATTAAAAAAAATTTGGGGGGTACATAGTAGCTATATGTATTTATGGGGTACATGAGATGTTTTGATACAGGCATGCAATGTGAAATAAGCACATCATGGAGAATGGGGTATCCATCCCCTCAAGCATTTATCCTTTGAGTTACAAACAATCCAATTACACTTTTTTTTTTTTTTGAGACAGAGTTTCATTCTTGTTGCTTAGGCTGGAGTGCAATGGTGCGATCTCAGCTCACTGCAACCTTCACTTCCCGGGTGCAAGCGATTCTCCTCCTTAGCCTCCCAAGTAGCTGGGATTACAGGCACCTGCCACCACCCAGCTAATTTTTGTATTTTTAGTAGAGACGGGGTTTCACCATGTTGGTCAGGCTGGTTTCGAACTCCTGACCTCAGGTCATCCACCCGCCTCGGCCTCCCAAAGTGCTGGGATTACAGGCATGAGCCACCACTCCTGGCCTCCATTATACTCTTTAAATTATTTAAAAATGTACAATTAAGGCTGGGTGCAGTGGTTCATGCCTGTAATCCCAGCACTTTGGGAGGCGAAGGCAGTTGGATCATTTGAGGTCAGGAGTTCAAGACCAGTCTGGCCAACATAGTGAAACCCCACATCTACTAAAAATACAAAAAATTAGCCAGGTGTGGTGGCAGGTGTGGGCAATCCCAGCTACTCGGGAGGCCGAGTTATGAGAATTGCTTGAACCTGGGAGGTGGAGGTTGCAGCGAGCTGAGATTGTGCCTCTACACTCCATCCTGGGCAACAGAGTGAGACTCCATCTCAGAAAAAAAAAGTACAATTAAGTTATTTTGACTATAGTCACCTTATTGTGCTATCAAATAGTAAGGTTTTATTCATTCTTTCTATTTTTTTTGTATCTATTACCATCTCCATTTCCCCCCCAATCCCCCATGACCCTTCCCAGCCTCTGGTAACCATCCTTCTACTCTATATGTCCATGAGTTCAAAAATTTTGATTTTTAGATCCCATAAATAAATGAGAACATGCAATGTTTGTCTTTCTGTGCATGGCTGGTGTCACTTAACATAGCGTCCTCCATTTCCATCCAGTTGTTGTAAATGACTGGATCTCATTCTTTTTTTATGGCTGAACAGTGCACCATTGTGTGTAAGTACCACCTTAAAAAATCTATTTATCTGTTGATGGACACTTAGGTTGCTTCCAAATCTTGGCAACTGTGAACAGAGTTGCAACAAACATGGGAATGCAGATATCTCTTGGACATACAGGTTTAATTTCCTTTGGATAATAACCAGTAGTAGGATTGCTAAATCATATGGCAGTTCTATTTTGAATTTTTTGAGGAACCTCCGAGCTGTTCTCCATAGTGGTTGCACTAATTTACATTCCCACCAACAGTGTACAAGGGTTCCCTTTTCTCCACATCCTTGCCAGCATTTGTTATTGCCTGTTTTTTGGATAGAAGCCACTTTAACTGGGGTGAGATGTTATCTCATTGTAGTTTTGATTTGCATTACTCTGGTAAGTGATGTTAAGCACCTTTTCATAAGCCTGTTTGCCATTTTTTTTGTTTTGTTTGTTTTTTATTTCAATAGTTTTTTGGGGGAACAGGTAGTGTTTGGTTATATGAATAAGTTATTTAGTGGTGATTTCTGAGATTTTGGTGAGCCTATCACTCGAGCAATGTACACTGTACCCAGTCTTTTATCCCTTTCCTCTCCCCGCATTTCCCTCAAGTTCCCAAAGTTCATTGTATCATTCTATGCCTTTGTGTCCTCATATCTTAGCTTCCAGGATTTTTAACTTTTTAACAATATTGGAATAAGCCATTTATTTTCTATTCACCTCAGCTTCTCACCAGTTGATCTCTCCAAGATTATTTCTATCTCATTCTGTTTTTGATTAGTATAGCAGAACCTCCAATAATGTTATTTGGTTATAACATCGATGAGAAAAATAAATGGATTCCCAGCTGGGGCCACTGTCTGTGTGGAATTTGCACGTTTTCCCCTTGTCTGCATGAGTTTTCTCCAGATACTCCAATTTCCTCCCACATTCCGAAGACACGCCTTTTAGGTGAATTGGCATGTCTAAATGGTTCCAGTCTGAGTGAGTGTAGGTGTGTGAGTGTGCCCTGTGACGGAATGCCGTCCCGTCCAGGGTGGGTTTCTGCTTTGTGCCCTGAGCTGCTGGGATAAGCTCTGGCCAGCCATGACCCTGAACTAGAATAAGCAGGTTGGAAAATGAATGAATGAGTAAATACAAATAATAATAATAATTATTATTATGAGACAGGGTCTTCCTCTGTTGCTGAGGCTGGAATGCAGTGGTGATCCATCCCAGCTCACTGCAGCCTTCACCTCCTTCCTGAGATCAAGAGATCCTCTGACCTCAGCCTCCCAAGTAGCTAGGACTACAGGCACATGCCACCATGCCCAGCTAATTAAGAATTTTTTTTTTTTTTGTAAAGATAGGGTTTCCCTATGTTGCCCAGGCTGGTCTTGAACTCCTGGGCTCAAGTGATCCTCCTGCCTGCGCCTCCCAAAGTGCTGGGATTATAGGCATGAGCCGTACTGTGCATGGCCCAAACTCTTTTGGTTACTATAGCTTTGCAATATAATTTAAAATCATATTGTGATGCCTCCAACTTTTTCTTTCTCAGCATTGTTTTAGCTATTCAAGGTCTTTTATATTTCCACACAATTTTTAGGCTTGTTTCTTCTATTTCTGTGAATGCCATTGGGATTTTGATAGAGATTGTATTGAATCTGTATATTGCCTTGGGCAATATGGACATTTTAACAATAATTTAATTTAATTTAATTTAATTATCCTGCTGAATGGGCATGGGATACTTTTCCAAATATTTTTGTCATCATTAATTTCTTTCATCAATGTTTTGTAGTTTTTGGTGTACAGATTTTCACCTCTTTTTAGAAGTTTATTCCTGAATATGTTGTTTTATTTTTTGATGCTATCATAAATGGGATTGTTGTCTCAATTTCTTTTTCAGTTAGGTCATTACTTGTGTATTAAGATGCTACTGATTTTTGTAAGTTGATTTTGTATTCAGCAAATTTACTGAATTCAGGTATTCTAAAAGGTTTTTGTGGAGTCTTTGGAGTTTTTTATGTATAGGATATTGTCATCTGCAAATAGAGATAATTTTACTTTTTCACTTCCGACTTGTATGCCTTTTATTTCTTTTTCTTATTTGATTGTTCTTGCTACTACTTCCAGTACAATGTTGAGTAGAAGTGGTGAGAGTGGGCATTCTTGCCTTGTACTGAATCTTAGTGGGAAAGCATTCAGTTTTTCCTCACTGACTATAATGTTAGCTGTGGGTTTTTCATAAATGGCCTTTATTATGTTGAGGAATTGTCCTCTATACCTAAAAGATCAAGAGTTTTTATCAAGAAAGGATGTTAGACTTTGCAAAATGCTTTTCTGTGTCAGTTGAGATGATCACATGGTTTTAATCTTATTTTTTTAATGTGGTGTATCACATTGATTTGCATAGGTTAAACCAGCCTTTCTTGCCAGGGATAAATCCTACTTGGTCACGATGTATAATCTTTTTGATATGTTGTTCGATTCAATTCAGTTTGCTAATATTTTGTTAAGGGTTTTTGAATCAATGTTCATCAGACTGGCCTATAATTTTCTTTATTTATAATGTCTTTGTCTGGCTTATAATGAAGGTAATGCTGACCTCATAAAATGTGTTTGAAAGTATTTCTTCTAGCTCTACTTTTGGAAGACTTTAAGACTTTTTTTTTTTTTTTTTTTTTTTTTTTGAGACGGAGTCTCACCTCAGCCACCCAGGCTGGAGGAGTGGTGCGATCTCAGCTCACTGCAACCGCCGTCTCCCAGGTTCAAGCGATTCTCCCGTCTCAGCTTCCCGAGTAGCTGGGATTACAGGCACCCGCCATCATGCCTGGCTAATTTTTGTATTTTAGTAGAGACGACGTTTCACCATGTTGGCCAGGCTGGTCTTGAACTCCTGACCTCAGGTGATCCACCCGCCTTGGCCTCCCAAAGTGCTAGGATTACAGGCGTGAGCCACCGCGCCTGGCCTTGGAAGACTTTAATAGGTATTGCTATTAATTATTCTCTGAATGTTTTGGTAGACTTCAGCTGTGAAACATCTGGTCCTGGGCTTTTCTTTGTTGGGACTTTTTTTTTTTTTTTTTTTTTTTTTTAGACAGGGTCTCGCTCTGCTACCCAGGCTGGAGTGCAGTGGTGCCATCATGGCTCATTGCAGCCTCGACTTCCCAGGCTCAAGCAATCCTCTAGCCTCAGCCTCCCGAGTAGCTAGGTCTACTATTAGGAACAAGCCACCACGCCTGGCTAATTTTTTGTTTTGTAGAGACAGGGTTCCACTATGTTGCCCGGGCTGGTCTCAAACTCCTGGGCTCAAAGAATCCTCCCACTTCAGCCTCCCAAAGTGTTGGGATTACAGGCATGAGCCACTGTGCCTGGCCTGTTGGGAGGTTTTTGATTACCTCTTAATTTGTCTTTATTTGTTATTGGTCTGTTCAGGCTTTCTATTTCCTCCTGACTCAATCTTGGTAGGTATTTCTTTTTTCCTAAGAATTTAACCAGTCCTCTAGGTTATACAATTTGTTGGCATATAATTGTTCATATATATATATATATTTTTGAGACAGGGTCTCATTCTGTTACCCAGGCTAGAGTGCAGTGGCATGATCACAGCCCCCTGCAGCCTCCACCTCCTGGGTTCAGGTGATCCTTCCACCTCAGCATCCCAAGTAGGTGGGACTACAGGTGCACACATGCCCGGCTAATTTTTTTTTTTTTAAATAATAGTGGAGATGGGGTTTTGCCATGTTGCCCAGGCTAGTCTCAAACTCCTGGGCTCAAGCAATCTGCCTGTCTCAGCCTCCCAAAGTGCTGGGATTACAGGCAGTGAGCCACTGTGCCCAGCCCATAATAGTCCTTCATGATCCTTTTTATTTCTGAAGCATCTGTTGTAATTTATTCACTTTCATTTTTGATTTTGTTCTCTTTGTTACACTAGCCAAGAGTTTGATTTTATTTTTGCAAAACCTCTTAGTTTTATTGATTCTTTACATCGTTTTTCTCTTCTCTATGTATTTGTCTGATTTTTATTATTTCCTTCCTTCTGCTAATTTTGAGTTTAGTTTGTTCTTTTTTTCATGCATTGAGGTGTCTTAAATTATTTATTTGTGATCTTTCTTCTTTATAAACTTCTCTCTTAGAACTGTGTTTGCTATATCACATAGGATTTGGTTTGTTGTGTTTCCCTTGTTGTTTGTCTCAAGACATTTTCAAATTTCCCTTTTGATATCTTCTTTGACCCATTGGTTGTTTATGAGCATGTTGTTTAATTTCCACATATTTATGAATTTTCCAAATTCCTCCTCTTATTGATTTCTAGTTTTATACCATTGTGGTCTGAAGCAGTACTAGATATGATTTCAATTTTCTTAAATTTGTTACCACTTGTTTTGTGGCCTAACATGTGGTCTATCCTGAAGAATATTCCATGTGCACTAGAGAAAAACGTGTATTCTGCTGCTGTTGGATGTAAAGTTCCATATATATCTGTTAGGTCCATTTGGTCAAAAGTGCAATTCAAGTCCAGTATTTCCTTATTAATTATCTGTCTGGTTGATCTATCCATTGTTGAAAGTGGATTATTTAAGTCTCTCTCTGTTGTGGTATTGCTATCTGTTTCTCCCTTCAAGTTAATTAGTAGTCACTTTATGTATTTAGGTGCTCTAAGGTTGGGTGCATATATATTTATAATGGTTATGTCCTCTCAATGAATTGACCCCTTCATCATTAAATTATTACTTTCTTTTTCTCTAACGACAGTTTTTTGTTTTTTGTTTTTTTTTTTTTTGAGACAGGGTCTTGCACTGTTACCCAGGAGTGCAGTGGTATGGTTGTAGTTCACGGAAGAGTCAAACTCCTGGGCTCAAGCGATCTTCCCACCTCAGTCTCTCGAGTAGCTATGACTGCAGGTGTGCATCACCATGCCTGGGTAATTTTTAAATTTTTTTGCAGAGACAAGGTCTTGCTATGTTGCCCAAACTGGTCTTGAACTTTTGGCCTCAAGTGATCTTCCCCCGCTAGACTTCCTAAAATCCTAGGATTACAGGTATAAGCCACTGACCCTGGCCCTTATGACAGTTTTTGACTTTTAGTCTATTTTATTAGATATAAGTATAGCCACCTCTGATCTCTTTTGGTTACTATTTGCATGGAATATCTTCTTCCATTCATTCACTTTCAGCCTGTGTGTCCTTAAAGCTTAAGTGAGCCTCTTGCAGGTAGCATATGATTGGATTTTCTTTTTAAAATTTATTCAACCACTCTGTCTTTTGATTGGAGAATTTAATCCATTTACATCCAAGGTTATTATTGATAGTCAAGGACTTATTATTGCCATTTTGTTTCTGTTTTCTGGTTGTTTTGTAGTACCTTCATTCCTTTCTTCCTATCTTGTCTACCTTTGTGGTTTGATAATTTTCTGTAATGCTAAGCTTTGATTCCTTTCTCTTTATCATTTGTAGGTCTGTTGTAGTTTTTGTTTTGTGGTTACCATGATGCTTACATCAAACATCTTACAGTTATAATCAATTATTTTAAGGTGATAATAACTTAACTGCCATTACATACAAAAGCTCTAGACTTTTACCCTCTCTACCCACAATTTATATTTTTGATGTCACAATTTACATCTTTTTATAATTTTTTTTTGAGACAAAGTCTCACTCTGTCACTCAGGTTGGAGTGCAGTGCCATGATCTTGGCTCACTGCAACCTCCGCCTCCTGGGTTCAAATGATTCTCCTGCCTCAGCCTCTCAAGTAGCTGGGATTACAGGTGTGTGCCACCATGCCCGGCTAATTTTTAAATTTTTTTTTAGTGGACACAGGGTTTCACCATATTGGCCAGGGTGGTCTAGAACTCCTGACCTCAAGCAATCTGCCCACCTTGGCCTCCCAAAGTGCTGGGATTACAGGTGTGAGCCACCACATCCAGCCTACATCTTTTTATATTGTGTATTTCTTAACAATGTATTGTACCATTAGTAATTTTTGACCATTTTGACTTTTAACCTTCATACTAGAGAAATGTATGATTTACACACAACCATTACAGTATTAAAGTATTCTGGATTTGACTATGTATTTACCTCTACCAGTGAGTTTTATACTTTCATATGTATTTATGATAGTAATTATCTTCCTTTCATTTCCACCTGAAGAACTTCCTTAGGCATTTCTTGTGGGGCAGGTCTAGTGGTGATAAATTCCTTCAGTTTTTGCTTATCTGGTAAAGACTTTATTTCTCTTTCATTTCTGAGGGACAGCTTTACTGGGTATAGTATTCTTGGTTGACCTTTTTTGTTTGTTTACTTTGTTTTGTTTTGTTTTGTTTTTCCTTTCAGCACTTTGACAATATCATCTCATTCTCTTCTGGCCTGCCATTCCTGGATCCTTGTTGCTGGTGCACCAGCCTCACAGAGCCTGGGCTACTACCAGGTTCTACCACCGCAGGGTTCAGAGTCACCACTGCATGGTAACTCACCTCCAGAGCCTGAACTGCTGCCATGCCCTGTTCATTCTCAGTCCCAAATTGCAGCTGTGCCCTTCTCCCTGGGCCTGAGCCTCTGGAACACCCCTTCTTTCCCAGAGTCATGCTGGTGCTATACCCTGTCCCCCAGGGTCAGAACCATAGCAACATTCTAGCCCCCTGGGCCTGAGTGGCTGGGGTATGCCTCAGAGCAACAGACCCTGGTTGAGTGGGAGAACTGCATGCATTTGGGCCTTGGAAAGTGAACCTGTGCCTCAAGTCTCAGGTGCTACAGTAGTTTCACAAGACCCTGGCTTGGGGGTGGTGCACTACTGGGTAGGTATGTTAAAGTGGCAGCAAAGCCTCAGGGATGGAGGGGGTGCAATGGTTACCTACACCCAGAACAGGATACATTATAGCAGTGGTTCCCATTCCAAGATGGTGCAGATTAATGGCAGCATGGGCCACATGGGGCCAAGGCGCAGCATTGGCTCCTTCTCTGGGAGTAGCTCAGTGTGTGAACTCCAGGGAGCTCCCTCAGCTGGGCTTGATCCTGTGAAGACTGCTGGAGACTCCAGTAGTGAAGACTGCAGGTGTTTGCAGTGGTGATGGGGGCTGCTAGAGTCCTCTTGCTTACCTTTACCCCTGCAAGAAGAAGTCTCTTCTGGTACCAAGATGATTCTGACTAGGGGTGTGGGGTGGAAGACCCAAGGTATTCCCTTCCCTATGGTGCTATCTTGGATTTCTGTGCTCTACAGGTTTTCTGCTGCTTTTTGCTGTTGCCATTGTTCTCTGGAGCTCTCCTTGAGTTATTTTGGTCAATATGTATGTAGTTGTTTATTCATTGTTTTGGATTTTGTTGTGGTAGGGAGACCAATAGGAACTTCTAGTTGGCCATCTTGCTGATGGCACTTTCCTCATAAATTATTTTTTTAAAGTGATGCACTGCCACACCTCTTCTCACACATCGCTTCTCTGTGAGTCCTCATCATCATGAACTCAGCTCTTCATATGAGGTGGGGTTGGGGACAGCGAGAGGGGAGAATGATGAAGGGAGTTGGATAAACTTCCTGAACTGGGCAACCTTTGTGCTATGGTCTGCTGTCACTCTGCATTTGCTCACTTGCATTTTCTGATGATAACTCTGACTGGCTTAGAAATGTCAGAGGCAGCTGTGGTTGAATCAAACTAAATAGTGAGGCCTCTCTCAGTGGACTGTTTTTCTTGCTTTCCTCTAGGGAGACACACTTTAGATGTGCCTGAATTGCGTTTTTTGGCAGATTGTTACAGTAGAATATTGACTCTCTGATCTGAAGCCAGGCTTGTCCCAAAGACTGTCTGCTTTTCTAAGAGCTAATAATGAGAATTGATCAATGGCTGTGGTGGGGAGAGGAGGTGAAGGGAGGAAGAAGAAAAAACCCTGATCACTGTTCAGAGAACACTAGATTCTGAAGCTGTTTGGCAGTTTATTTCTACTATTTTGCCTGATTTTTTTCTAATCAGAAATAAGGCAAGTTTTTAGTGGACATGGTACAACTGAATTAAGACAAAGCAAAGCAAGCAAAGTAAATCTAAATGCTGTTCTTTCCTTTCTGTGAATTTCCCTATTCTTTAGTTCTTATAATCACCATATCCACATTGGTCAAGTGATTACAACTAACCCTATAGGGAATTACATCATTTTTCAATATAATGGAATTTCATTATTGCAATAGGAAGCCTGGGAAGAAGGAAGATTGGGTCCCAATTCATCCCCTGGGGAAAGCAAGATAAATACCTAGGCTTCTGATTAATTATTATTCCCCACCCCAAAACAAAGAGCCAAAGGAAATCCATATGCAGAAAAGAGGACAGGTGAAGATGCAAAGACATAATGATTTCTTTTTTAAATTGAAACTTCCTTTCTTTGATAAGTGTTCTCCTTCCTGTGAGAGTTTGGTCAGTTTTGCTTTATTTTAAAGCAGTGCTTCCCTACTGCCTGTCCAATGCAAGCCTGTTTGTTAAAGGTAACTCATCCCATCTGTCCTGCTGCTCACCCCCAAATTCTGATAGGGCTCTTTAAAGTGGCATGCCCTTGTTGGGAAGCACTGCATCTTTTATGTATCACCACTACCTAAAATAATTTTCTTGAGCTTTACTTTCTTTACATTATGTGAACAATATGTTGCTTTCTCCCAGATATAAAATTATAATATTGTTGATCAAGTGCTTTTTCAAATTACACATGCTTCTCTTCTTTGCTAGCCCTCCACATCCTAAGATGATGATAAGCCCGCCAGTATACTTCTTAGAGGAAAATACTGTCTTGAAGAAACTTTTTTTTTTTTTAGTTTGTATGTGTGTGTATGGTTTATAGACAAAGTTTCTGTTTTTATATTCTTTCTTGGAGTCTATGCCACACATACATACATATACAATACTTAAAACTTATTGGGCACTTTATATCTGTGTACATGGAATGATTTAATTTAATTCAAATTAAATAATTGAATATTTAATTAAGTGTATTTAATCTAATACACACAACCATCCTAGGAGGTAGGTATTATTATTGTCCCCATTTTAAGATGAAGAAACAGGCACTCAGAAATAAGCTCACTTACCCAATGTCACATAATTAGTAAGCGGTAGAGTCAGGACATAAACCCAGAGAGACTGACCCTAGAGCCCATGCTTTTGACCTCTCTACTATCTTGTGTGGTCTACAACTAGGGAAAAACCCATTGTGCAGACACTAATAATTTAGATCAAATAAAATAGCATAAATAACATTAAAAGAAAATTTTCTTTCTGACCAAATATTTCAAGCTTAAGTTGTTGGCTAATACATTTCAAGCATTATTAATTAAACACATTCCTGGTACAGAAAACATAATAAAATGGTTGGAAGTCTTTCAGAACTTCTTGAAGTGGAATTTGGTTATATGAATTATACTGTAACTTTTTTTTTTTTTTTGAGACAGAGTGAGTTTGGCCCTGCCACCCAGGCTGGAGTGCAGTGGTACGATCTCAGCTCACTGCAACCTCTGACTCCCAGGTTCAAGCAATTCTCCTGCCTCAGCCTCCCAAGTAGCTGGGACTGCAGGCTCATGCCACCACACCCAGCTAACTTTTTGTATTTTAGTAAAGACGGGGTTTCACTGTGTTGCCCAGGCTGGTCTTGAACTCCTGACCTCATGATCCACCCACCTTGGCCTCCCAAAGTGCTAGGATTACAGGCATGAGCTACCATGCCCAGCCTGTAACAATATTTTTGTCTTGCTCTGTCAGCCAGATTGGAGTGCAGTGGCACCATCAGATCTCACTGCAGCCTCAAACTCCTGGGCACAAGTGATCCTTCTGCCTTAGCCTCCCAAGTAGCTAGAACTATAAGCACGTGTCTGGCTAATTTAAAAAAAAATTTTGTAGAGATATCTTCTTGCTATGTTGCCCAGGCTGATCTCAAACTCCTGGCCTCAAGTGATCCTCCCATTTCAGCCTCCCAAAGGATTACAGGCTGGATTACCGGCATGAGCCACCATGCCAGGGCTCATATAAAATTTTATTGAAGATGTGATTATAGTAAAATTACCTGTACTTTTTTTTTTTTAAATTTAAGAGACTAAACTGTTCAGCATTATGGTATTCACTCTAATGGGATTTTTTTCTTTTCTTTCTTTTCCTTCCTTCCTTCCTTCCTTCCTTCCTTCCTCCCTTCCTCCCTCCCCTTCCCCTCCCCTCCCCTCCCTTCCCTTCCCTCCCTTCTTTCTTTCTTTCTTTGAGACTGAGTCTCACTCTGTTGCCCAGGCTGGAGTGCGGTGGCGTGATCTCCACTCGCTGCAACCTCCACCTCCTGGGTTCAAGCAATTCTCCTGTCTCAGCCTCGCAAGTAGCTGGGACTACTGGTGCATGCCACCATGCCCGGCTAATTTTTGTATTTTTCATAGAGACAGGGTTTCACCATATTGGTCAGGTTGGACTTGAACTCCTGACCTTAGGTGATCCACCCACCTCAGCCTCCCAAAGTGATGGGATTACAAGCATAAGCCACTGTGCCTGGCTCTAATGGGATTTTAAAATACCCAATTACTTAAGCCTAGAAACCTTAAAATTTTGAAGTGAACAATTATTTTGGATTTAAACATTGAGTCAGTAAAATTTTATAAATAAATGTTTAAAATAATGATTCAGATTTCATTATAGTTGAATGGTAGAAAGGATCACAGAGACCATGTGTGCATGTGACTGAAGATTAGAGGGTTCACAATAAGAATTACCCTCTCATATCTGGCCCCATCTGCCTGGTTCCCACCCTGCACCTTAATCACTGTTACCAGTTTTCTCTGAATCTGTCCAGAGTTTTCACATATACAAATAGGTATGAATGTATATTCCCCTCCCGTCTTTTTACATAAAAGATAACATTATTTTACACTGAAAAAAACAGGCTGGGTGCGATGGGCTCATGCCTGTAATCCCAGCACTTGGGGAGGCCGAGGCGGGTGGATCACGAGGTCAGGAGATCGAGACCATCCTGGCTAACATGGTGAAACCCCGTCTCTCCTAAAAACACAAAAAAAATTAGCTGGGCATGGTGGCACGCATCTGTAGTCCCAGCTACTCAGGAGAATCGCTTGAACACGGGAGGCCGAGGTTGCAGTGATCCAAGATCGCGCCACTGCACTCCAGCCTGGGAGACAGAGCGAAATTCCATCTCAAAAAAACAAAAACAAAAACAAAAACAAACTTTATATATTCTGAAGATTTTTTTCATATCAGTATATAGAGCTTTCTTATTGTTTTTGTATTTTATTGAAGATCTGCAAAATATCCCATTTAATAAATGTAGCATAATGTATTTAGTTAATTTATTATTAATGGACATTTAGATTGTTTTCCAGTCTTTTACTAATACATTGTTTCAGTGGATAATAACCTACACGAGTATATCTATAGGATAAATTCCCAGAAGTGGATTTACTTAGTCAAAGGACTTACACATTTATAGTTTGGATAGATTTTGCAAATTGCCCTCCATAAGTGTTTTACTAATTTATTCTTCCACCAGCAATGTAGGAGAGTGCCTGTTTCCCCACAGCTTTGCCAACAGTGTGCATTTTCAAACCTAATAGCTGAGAAATAATTATGTCAGTGTAGTTCTGATTTGCAATTCTCTTATTAGGAGTGAGGCTAGGTATCCTTTTCCATGTCCAAAAAATGTTTTTATTTTCTGTGAGCTGTTCCCACTTTTAGCTCATTTTACTGTTGAATTGGGTTGATAGTCTTTTTCCTATTTCTACTTACAGGTGCTCCTTCTAGATAGGGGAGATTTGCCTTTTGTCTGTGTAAAGAATTATAAGCATTTCCCTCCAATTTATAATTGTCTTTCAATATCACATACAGTATTTTTTGCCATGTAGAATTAAAAAATATTTTTATGTAGTTAAATTTATCAATATTTTCTTTAGTGACTTCTGGATTTCAATTCATAGTAAAAAGGGGCCTTCCCTACTCCAAGGTTATAAAGGAATTCTCCTTTCTTTATTAGTAGTTTTGTCTCTTTTAAAGTTTTATTTTATTTATAATTGACACATAACTGTACATATTTATGGGGTACAGTGTGATGTTTCAATGCATGTATACATTGTATAATAATCAAATCAGGGTAATTTGCATATCCATTACTTTAAACATTTGTCATTTCTTTGTGATGATAACATTCAAATACCTCTTCTTCTTTCAGTAGTTTTGTAGTTCTTTTTTTCCTTTCCTTCCTTCTTTCCTTCTTTCTCTTTTCTCTCTCTCTCTCTGTCTCTCCCCTATTTGGGATATTCCTAGTGTATGGTATGGATAATATTTTAGGAAATCAGCTTGTTTCTATGCATGTGTTTTCTTTTTATACTTCCCCCATTTAAAGTAAATAGCTGGTTCAGGGTCTCTATAGAACAGAAGGCAGAGATATTATGCAAGACTTTCTGGTTTCTGTTTCCAAAAACTTAAGCCCCTGGGAAGATTTAGAGAGTTTGTAGAAAAGAAAAAAGGGAGAAGGAGATTTTCAGGTATAGGTAGAGTGCCCTAGGGAAGTAGGGCAAGGAGGTGGGGTTGGTAGAAAGTGAGGCTTTCCCCCACTACTTCTCTCCAACACACACATACACACACACACACACACAGATACATACCCCCACCCCAACACCACGTCAAAAATATCCCCCCCAATAGGAGGAAAACAAGAGACAAGTCTGTAAGTTCTTGATATGGTTTGGATTTGTGTCCCTGCCCACATCTCATGTCAAATTGTAATTCCCAGTGTTGGAGGAGGGGCCTGCTGGGAGGTGATTGGATCATGGGGGCAGATTTCCCCTTGCTGTTCTCATGATAGTGAGTGAATTTTCATGAGATCTGGTCGTTTAAAAATGTGTGGCACCTCCCCCACCTCCTTCCTGCTTCTTTGGCCATGTAAGACATGCCTGCTTCCCCTTCGTCTTCTGTTGTGATAGTAAGTTTCCTGAGGCCTCCTCCTAGCCATGCTTCCTGTACAGCCTGTGGAACTGTGAGTCAATTAAACCTCTTCTTTTTTTTTTTTTGAGATGGAGTCTCACTCTGTCACCCAGGCTGGAGTGCAGTGGAATGGTCTCAGCTCACTGCAACCTCTGCCTCCTGGGTTCAAGTGATTCTCCTGCCTCAGCCTCCAGAGTAGCTGGGATTATAGACATGTGCCACCATGCCAGGCTATTTTTTGTATTTTTAGTAGAGATGGGGTTTCACCATGTTGGCCAAGTTGATCTCAAATTCCTGGCCTCAGTTGATCTGCCTGCCTCAGACTCCCAAAGTGCTAAGATTACAGGTATAAGCCACCATTCCCAGCCAATTCTTTTCTTTATAAGTTACCCAGTCTCAGGTAGTTCTTCATAGCAATGCGAGAACAGGCTAACACAATTCTAGAGCATCAATGTCCCAGTTTTGGCTTCTTGGCAGCACCTAGAGAGGAGTAGGATCTGTTGCCTCCAGGCATATGGGATTTAGTCAGTTGCAAAAAAAGATTCCCAAGTCCAAAATATGTTGATGAAGTAGAAGGAACTACTGATGCTGAAGGTGCTGTTTAGACAAGACAATGGAAGACTCAGGGATAACCTATGTACAGAAGTGATTGATTGCTAGAACCGGCACACCCCAATTTGCCCCATGTCAAAATGCAAAAGATATAAGAATCTTAACCTAACTCAGAAGAGATGGGTGAAGGGCTTTAAAAACTAACCTTTTTTTTTTTCCACTAGCCCAGGAGAATAGGGGAAATTCATTTTTACATAAAGTGATATTCTTATTTACCTGACCATACTCACTACATATTGTCTTAGTCTGTTCTGGCTGTTATAACAAAAATACCATAAACTAGCTGGCTTATAAACAACCCATTTATTTCCCACAGTTCTGGAGGCTGAGAAGTCCAAGATCAAGGCACCAGCAGATTTGGTGTCTGGTGTAACTGCCAAGTGAGTTCATTGTGTCTTGCTGCTCATATAATCAAGGCAGGGGAATTGCAATAGAGAAAGAGTTTAATACATGTAGAACCAGCTAAACAGGAGACCAGAGTTTTATTATTACTCAAATCAGCCTCCCTGAAAATTCAGAGGCTAGGGTTTTTCAAGGATAGTTTGGGAGGCAGGGGACGAGGGAATGGGTGCTGCTGATTGGATTGAGATCACTCATAGGGGTATGGAAAACAGTCCTCACGTGCTGAGTCCACCCCAGGTAGGGGCCACAGCAAAGTTGCTGGTCCAGGTGGAGTCATCTGGTAGTCAGAAATGCAAAACTCTGAGAAGACATTGAAAAGGCCAGTCTTAGGTTTTACAATTGTGATGTTATTTACAGCAGCAAATGGGGAAGTTGCAAATCTTCCTGAAAATGCTATACCTCCAGAAAAATGGCTGGTAATCATTGAACTATCACTACATCTTAGCAGAATTTAGGCCCCTCTCATCCTCTGTACTTGGTGGCTTAGCACTAGTTTTACAAAGGTGGTTTAGTTTGGGGAGGGGCTATTATCACTTAAACTATAAACTAAATTTCTGCCAGCATTAGCTTGGCCCATGCCTAGGAATGAATGACCAAGGGCAGTTTAGAGGTTAAAGGCAAGATGGAGTTGGTTAGGTCAGATCTCTTTCACTGTCATCATTTTCTCACTGCTATAATTTTTGCAAAGCCGGTTTCACTGGTGGGGGTCTGCTTTCTGGTTTATAGGTGGTACCTTCTAGCTATGCCCTCACATAGTAGAAGGGAAGAACTCTTGTTTCTGTAACCCCTTATAAGAGCACTAATCCCATTCATGAGGACTCTGTCCTCATGAGCTAATTATCTCCCAAAGGCCCCACCTCCTAATACCATCACCTTGGGGGTAGGAGTTCAACATATGAATTTTGGCAGGCCACAAACATTCAAACCTTAGCATATATAGTATGGTCTATAATTTAGGTATGTACTGTTTGTGATTAAACTACTACCTTATTACTCACTAAAGCTGCCAACACTTAAAGTAAAAGATTAGAGAATTCCACTTTTGAGACGTCATGAACTTAGTTCCAGCTTTGTGGGACCTCATATACCAATGTGTCCTTGAATGTTACTGGGCCACAGGTTTGTATTTGTTTTTTATTTTTGGCAGGGGGAGGTGGGTGGTGAAGGAAAGATCAGGTGTACAGAACTGAATTAATCAGAATCATCACTTCTTGGCACACAACTATGATTCTGTGTAACGTTGCTCTCCTGTTTGATTTTGTTATTTTTCCCTTCATTCTCTGTCTCATTCCCATTCTCTTCAAAGGTATCCAATCTAGAGGCTTTTCCCATGCTCACCCATAAAGCCTTGGAACAGCCCAACTGTCACTTAAAAAACTATCTGCTGTTGACTAATATAGATGTTTGTGAAACAAGAAACAGGAGTATAACAAGCAAGTTACAAAAGAGTGTAACGGGAGTTAGATAATTTTCTGGTGGACTTTCTTTGCCTATAAAAATGAAGTTAGTAATAACATGCTTTATATCTAACATAATAATATATAATAAAGAAAGAAATTATTTTGCACCAGGCACAGTGGCCCATGCCTGTAATCCCAACATTTTGGGAAGCTGATGTGGGAGGATCGCTTGAGGCCAGGAGTTTGAGACCAGCCTGGTCAACACAGTGAGACCCTATCTCTACAAAATTTTTTTAAAAAAATTAGCCAGGCAGAGTGGCTTACGCCTGTAGTCCCAGCTACTTGGGAGGCTGAGGCAGTGGGGGTGGGGGGGAGTGGGGCACAGGGGGATCACTTGAGTCCAGGAGTTCGAGACTGCAGTGAGCTATGATGGCACCACTGTACTCCAGCTTGAGTGACAGAGTGAGACCATGTCTCAAAAAACAAACAAACAATCAAAAAACCCAAAACCCCTTTTGGCTCTCTGAGCAGCACCATGGCAGATGGCAAGCACAAGTACCTTAGAAAAGCGGCAAAAAGGGAGCCAAGAAGAAAGTGGTTGATCCATTTTCTAAGAAAGATTGGTACGATGTGAAAGCACTGGCTATGTTCAATATATGAAACATTGGAAAGATGCTGGTCACCAGGACTCAAGGAACCAAAATTGCATCTGATGGCCTCAAGGGTCATGTATTTGAAGTGAGTCTTGCTGATCTGCAGAATGATGAAGGTGCATTTAGAAAATGCAAGCTGATTACTGATGATGTTCAGGCAAAACCTGCCTGACTGACTTCCGTGGCATGGATTTCACCTGTGACAAAATGTGTTCCATGGTCAAAAAATGACAGACCATGATTGAAGCTCATGCTTATGTCAAGACTACTGATGGTTATTTGCTTCAGTTATTCTGTATTGGTTATACTAAAAAATGCAACCAATAGATATTCACCACCAACAGGCTCGCCAGATCTAGGAGACGATGGAAATCATGACCCAAGAGGTGCAGACAAATGACTTGAAAGAAGTGGTCAATAAATTGATTCCAGACAGCATTGCAAAAGACATACAAAACGGTTGCCAATCTATTTATCCTTTCCATGATGTGTTCATTAGAAAAGTAAAAATGCTGGCCAGGTACAGTGGCTCACACCTATAATCCCAGCACTTTGGGAGGCCAAGGCAGGTGGATCACGAGGTCAAATTGAGACCATCCTGGCCAACATGGTGAAACCCCATCTCTACTAAAAATACAAAAATTACCCAGGCATGGTGGCATGCACCTGTAGTCCCAGCTACTTGGGAGGCTGAGGCAGGAGAATCGCTTGAACCCAGGAGGCAGAGGTTGCAATGAGCCGAGATCATGCCACTGCACTCCAGCCTGGCAACAGAGTGAGACTCCGTCTCAAAAAAAAAAAAAAAAAAAAAAAATTAAAAATGCTAAAGAAGTCCAAATTTGAATTGGGAAAACTCACAGAGCTTCATGGTGAAAGTAGTGGTTCTGAGAAAGCTACTGGACATAAGACAGGTGCCAAAGTTGAATGAGCTGATGGATATGAACTCACTGGTCCTAGAATCTGTTTAAAGTTCAGACTTTTAATAGTGGCAAATAAAAAGTTCTATTTGTGGAGAAAAGAAAAATGATTTTATAATGTTTATTATTTTAAAGAGAAAAGTTCTGTAAGTATTACATCATGTTTAAATATAGAATAAGCTGAAAAAAGCAGAAATCTTTGCATATTAATAGAAAAATCTCAGAAGTCTTTATTTATTGGCAAGTCAGCTACTCTAAGGTTGTGAGGGTAACTTACTGACCTGAAAAAACACATTTTAAACCAATGTGAGATGTGGCTAATTGACTAATCAAAGTAGGAAAGACCCAGATGACTTTTTAGAATAATTCAGATCAGAGTGGATATTGACAGGGCAGATGGTGAATGGCATTGAAAGACAATGCCTTAATTTACTTACACTTTGTTTTCTAGTTTCTGTAATTTTAATTAAAGTGAGTAGAAATAAAATTTTGTCTAAGCATTTTTTCTTCCCAATATGTAAGGTGTTGACACATCATATCACTGAGTTGGAAAGATAAAGACAAGGGAAAGGATTAGAATTTGGTGTGAATTAACATATCACAGGGCTCTTGGGTCTGTAAAAGGTGAGGAAACAAACACATGTGTTAATGTAACTCCAACTGCAAAGGAAGGCTGTCAAGGCATGTGGGTTTGCTTGGCCAAAAGCTGTTGATTCCAAAAATGTAATTTCATTTGTTGGATTTTATTGTAATTAACACAGGGAGTTGCACTAGCTCAGAACTCTTATCTTTATTATCTTGGGAGAAGAATTATGAAATGTGTGCACTTACAAAATAGAATTCGTATTTTGCAGAGGGCTATAATGCTAATGGGTCTTGGGAACCTTCTGGGATTATGAATTCAAGTTTACAGTTAGGGTTTCTGCTTTGCAATCTCAAATGTGGTTTACCTGGAACAGTTAGCATTTCATCTTAAATGGTATTTAATAGAACTTGGGAGCTCTTCAGAGCAGGAACTTCAATTTTTGTTGTTGTTGTTACCTATTGCAAAGCACTAAATTCACTGCTAGAGAAAACTAGCAGTTACTTTTATGTGTACATCAAATCGTTCTTTACAATCAGATAGAGATCATCTCTAACATTTAACAAACAATTCAAAAAGGCACAAAGTTTACCACATTAATGTGTGTAGAGGATTCACAACTTTAATAATTAAGCAAAATCTTTGATACTTGTATGAAGAGAAGGTAGACAGGATAAACAACAGGAAAACTAACTTATGGATTTCTTTAAATAGTGGATAGGGACAATTCATTCCCTCAGATATTTGTAATAAAATTTTAGAACCAGAAAATATCTACCTAGGAATACTAACGCTCAAACTTTAGCATGAGATTGATCTGCAGGTCTGAGCTCAGCTAACAACTTGTATACTGTCAAAGCAGAGACTGCCCTTTCAAACCTCTCCTTGGGAAACTAATTAGCAGAATAATAAAAAGGCAAGATCAACTCTTGTCTTCCTTGTTGGGGATATAAAAAAACGGTAGTTCTAATTAGCAATAATTAAAATTTAATTAAGAAGCTCTTTGCAATCCTCCTCCCTGCTTCCTGAACTAGTGCTTGCCAGCTCTTGGTTGTGGAGCTGTTTTTATTCCCGTGGTGCTGAATCATGGCTTAATCACAAAGCCTTAGATCACAGCTTATCCAGCCCTGAGCACTCATCACCACAGCCTTCCAAGAGTAACAAATATATATTCTAGATTTTTTAACCCAAGCGATTACTTTTTTCAGTTTTATAATCATGAATTATGACTTTTTACTTTTAAGCAGCTGATTATAGATGCCATTATAGATGATTATAGATGAATAAAAATTGCTTTTTATTTTTAAACTTATCTTTATATTTGTTCCCCTAGTTCTACCCCTTGTTGCAACAAAAGGATAGGAGACCTCCAAGAATATTAAATATTTGAACCCAAATTTCTACTTCTGTGCTTTAAAGTAAAGCAGGTAATTAGCTTAAGTATAAAAAACTAAAACATTGGTAAAACCCCAGATTTTAAAAATAAAAGTATTTGATTATATAAAAATAAAACAGTACATTGTAGATGAAGGTTAAGGAAAATAAATATAGTACTTGATGATCCTTACAAAGTGTATATGATATTCTAAGTATTAATCTGAGTTTAGGATGTTTCAAATTGTAAAAGGAATCCCACTTAATTGTGCATTTTAATGTGGTTACAATGGTGAATTTCATATCATATGAATTTTATCTCAATAGAAAAAGGAACTCAAACTCTGACTTTGTCCTAGTTTTGGGTATGAGGATTAATCATAGTTTACAAAGAGAAAAAAAAGCCCCAAGATTTGATAGTTCATTATGAGCAAAAGAAAAAGGAAATAATCAAGAACAGAGGGAAATTAGTTTTTTTTAAAAGCCACTGAACTAAGAAATACAACCGTGGTTCTTTAATTATTAAGGGAAGGGCTCTGAATTTGCTCCATTATCTTAATTATGTTTCTGGAGCAAACATTATTTCAATGTGATAAAAGATGACATGACACTAAAGGTAAAGCCTGAGCAGATGTTACATGAGTAACAAGCCAATAGGCCCACATTCTGGTAATTTCTTCCCCACTAGACATGTTCTCATTAATCTGTGATTAATAGGATTCAAGTATAGTAAATGATGATGATCTATTGTCTGTCTTTGTCGAGCACCATGGACGGAGTAATTTGTCAGCTCAGCTTTTGTGTGACTATTTAATAGCAAAGAGGGAGAGAGAAAAGACGCTAATCTTCTAATTGGCATCTATAGAGAAGGTCTAGGAGAATACTGCCTGTATGGAAATAGCCAGTGTAATTCCTATGCCTAAGGAAAGCAAATGCAGACTCTATGTATCTTTTATATAATTAATTGTGCCTTCTATTGAACAGAAGTTGGGGATGAGGATAAAGAAAAAACGGCAATAGAACAGTCTTAAGAGATCATAAGGTAACATTTATTAACTTATAACATTTATTAACTTAGATATGAGGCTTTTTCAACTATAGTGACTTGCCAAAAAAGTGGGCAAAAGAAAAAAAAATAACTTCTTTTGGTTAAAAAATAGTTGCTCAGATGGACCAAAATAACAATGTATAAAATAAAAAGCCAGCATCATCGTCAGTACCACCACTAGCAACACAGAATGCCCTGATGTTATGATGGTAAAAAATTTAATACATCAATAAATCAATAAATAAATTCAAAACAGATGTTTTCAATGAAAATAATTTGATGATTAGTCCTGTCAAGTCTACCATAAAAACTTCGTCAAATGGCTATACCTTGGTGAGAATGATGTGTGAAATTGCTCTTTCCCTTTTTCTCCCTCTCCCTTTGTATCTTTAAAAATTTTTGGCCGTGCATGGTGGCTCACACCTGCAATCCCAACACTTTGGGAAGCCGAGGCAGGTAGACTGCTTGAGCTCAGGAATTCAAGAGCAGCCTGGGCAACATGGTGAAACCCCTCTCTACAAAAATTTCAAAAAATTAGCCAGGTGTTGTTGTGGTGTGCACCTGTAGTCCCAGCTACCCAAGAGGCTGAGGTGGGAGGATCACTTGAGCCTGGGGGATTGAGGCTGCAGTGAGCTGTGATCATGCCACAGGGCTCCAGTCTGGGCGACAAAAACAAACAAAAAACAAAAAACCCGTCTCAAAAAATTTTTTTCTTCTGCACTCTTTTCTATATTTTAGGTTCTAGGTAGTTTACTGGTTGGTGGAAATGAAAAGGACAAGGTCTCACTGGGAGAAAATATTTGCAATGTATACAACCAACAAATAATTAGTATATGCACAGTATATAGAGAAAGACTACTGATCAACCTTAGAGAGAAATTGGTGAAGAATAAAAACAGGCAGTTGACAGAAGAGGAAATCCAATAGGGTCCATGAACATATGAATAGATGTTCAATATAACTAATAATCAGGACAATTTAAGTCAAAAGAATAAGATGTCATCCTCGCCCATCGGATTAGCCAAAATTTAAAAAATGGACTAGATCACATGGGGACTTAAATATGAGTGGGAGTAAAAATCAGACAACCATTTTAGAATGCAATTTGTCAATATCAAGTAATTCATTTTCAATTTATCAGTATGTATAGCAATTCTACTTCTTCAACAATATCCCAAAGAAACCCTTGCACATGTGCACAGAGATATCTAGAAGAATATTCATTACAGCATTGTTTATAATAGTGAAAAATGAAAACTACCTACATATTCACCAGGGATGTGTTCATACTATAGAATGCTATATAGCAGTTTGAATGAATACATGAATGATTATTACCAACATGGATAAGCCTTAAAGCTCAGAGTAAGTTAAGAAAATTTAGCAAATTTAAGAATATTCAGGGTATGCCACTACTAAAATAGTTTTAAAGCATATGCAAAACAATAAAATGCATATATATTAATATATGGATACATACATATGTGATAAGACTGTAAAAACATGCATGGGAATGACATAACACCAAATCCTGGATAGTAGTGATTATCTCTGAGAAGGGAAGGAAGAAAATGAATTTGGAAGGTTTCAACAGTATTTCTAGTGTTTCATTTTTAAAAAATGCAATAAATGTAACAAAATGTTAAGATTTGGTAATGCTGGATGATAAGTCTTTGTTACATTATTCTCTATGTTTTTATTTTTTATTCTCTATTTTTGAGAATATTTTGAAATAGTTCATAGTTTCAAAAGTGGAAAAATGCACAAGGTAAGGAAAAAACATATGGTTTCTAATTTCCAGGTGCTACTATTGTGTCAGGTGAATAGACAATTCACAAATAGCTGTAATGTAGTTTGATAAGTGTTTCAATGTGGCCACAAAGTGCTATATGTAGATATAGATTCACACACACACACTCTTTAAGATATATATATGTGTGCTGTTAAGACATATGACCAAATTCTTTTGGTATCAAGTAGTTGAACCAAAAAATATAATTGACTTTTAAATGTCTTTTCAAATTCAGACAGAAAAAATGTGGTGGTAGCGGCAGTAGTAGCAGTAGTGTAGTAGTTTCTTCTTCTTCTTCTTCTTCTTCTTTCTTCTTCTTCTTCCTCCTCCTCCTCCTTCTTCTTTCTTCTTCCTCCTCCTCCTCATTCTTCTTTCTTCTTCTCCTTCTCCTTCTTCCTCTTCCTCCTCTTCTTCTTCTTCCTCCTCTTCCTCCTTTTCCTCTTCTTCCTCTTCCTTCCTCTTCTTCCTCTTACCTCCTCTTCCCTCCTTCTCCTTCCCCCTCCTCCTCCTCCTTCTTCTTTTGGCAAAAGGGCAAAGATTAGGCTGTAGTTTCTAAGAACAGCATTAAAATCTCTAACTTTATGCCTTTCATGAATTTGAGAAGCTAATTTATTTGGCCTCAAATAGTTAAAAAAAAAAGGTAGTTGGTGGGGTGGGGGTGGAATGGGGTTTTGATAGAGAATCTTTTAAGGTCTTTTCCAGTTTGAAAAATTTAAGATTCTATTTTTTTTCCTGAAACATTAACCCCAATTTATATGAACAAGATTTTCCAAGATTTTTCCCCAAGTTAGTAATAAAAATACATTTATTCATGAAATATTATAGTTGTTATCAAAAGGCAAAGAAAAACTTTTATGAAATTAGAAGCAAACCATTCTTTTTTTTTTTTTCTTTTTTTTTTGAGATGCAGTCTTGCTCCATCACCCAGGCTGAAGTGCAGTGGCAAGATCTTGGCTCACTGAAACCGCCATCTCCCAGGTTCAAGCAATTCTTCTGCCTCAGCCTCCCGAGTAGCTGGGATTACAGGTGCGTACCACCATGCCTGGCTAATTTTTGTATTTTTACTAGAGACAGGGTTTCACCATGTTGGCCAGGCTGGTCTCAAACTCCTGATCTCAGGTGACCCGCCCACCTCACCCTCCCAAAGTGCTGGGATTACAGGCGTGAGCCACTGCACCCAGACTCTTTTTTTTTTGAGATGAAGTTTCGCTCTTGTTGCCCAGGCTGGAGTGCAATGGTGCGATCTTGGCTCACTGCAACCTCTCTCTCCTGGGTTCAAGAGATTCTCCTACCTCAGCCTTCCGAGTAGCTGAGATTACAGGTGCCCGCCACCATGCCTGGCTAATTTTTGCATATTTAGTAGAGATGGGGTTTCACCATGTTGACCAGGCTGGTCTTGAACTTCTGACCTCAGGTGATCCACCCGCCTCAGCCTCCCAAAGTGCTTGGATTACAGGCGTGAGCCACCGTGCCCAGCTTTTTTTATTAAAATTTTTTTTTTTTAGAGACAGAGTTTCACCCTGTCACCTGGGCTGGAGTGCAGTGGGGAGATCATAGCTCACTGTAACCTTTAACTCCTAGGCCCAAGTGATCCTCCTGCCTCAGCCTCCCAAGTAGGACCACTACTCCTGGCTAATTTAAAAAAAAAATTTGTAGAGATAGAGTCTTGCTCTGTTGTCCAGGCTGGTCTTGAACTCCTGACCTCAATTGATCCTCCTGTCTCAGCCTCTCAAAGTGCTGGGCTTATGGGCATGAGCCACTGTGCCAAGCCATTCTTGATGGGAAGCTAAAAGAAACAGCTAATTTGTTGTGATTAGATTTTGAGAAGGAGATCTAGAGATTCAGAGAATATATATATTCTTTATTCAAAGTACATGGAGAGAGCTGGAGAGAGATGCATCAGATTTTAGACTATGAGATCTGCAGATATAAATTTGTATAATTGGGACTTCTGAGATAGGTAGAAATATTTTAGCTTATATGTTACATTTCTGAACCTAACAGGATTCTACATCAAGGATGATTATTTTTAGATCAGGCAATGAGCTGAACTTCTTTGGTCCCACATGCTGAGCTGCAAATATACTCCCTAGTGACTTTTTATCACTTAAGGTATTCTGCAAAGTATTCTCTAATCTTCCTAAAAATACTAATCCTGAGTACAACATGAAGGGACCAGAAAGCAAAAATGTATCTGTTTGTCAACAATGTAATAATTATTGTCTCTGCTCCTTGATAATAATCTGGCTGGTAATAAACCTTTGATGGCCTCTGATCCTGGCCCTTCAGGATGTTGATTTCTGGTTGGAAAAGTTAATTCTCCTGGAGGATAACAAGATAGAAAAAGACAGTCTTCTATTTACATTCCTCTGGCAGCCAGGTTTAAACATTAAGGTATAAAACCTCCCAAATCTCCTCAAACTGTGTTTGTTTTTGTTTGCTACAGCCTAAAAAGGAATCCTTCCTTTTTTCTTTTATTTCAGAAGCCTTTTCCATTTTGGTTGGTATGGATTATAATGTTAAGAAAGTACTGCGGATTATTTGGGTTTAGTTGGAAGAAGAGACTATTTTCCATCTATTTCTTTCTTTAATCTCTTGTTTTTTTGGCTCTTATCCTCACCACTCTACAGAAAATATTCTAAAATTAACTGCTCCTGGCTAAACCTAATAGTCTTTTTTTTCCCCTTGGCACAGTTTTTTTTTCCTTTTTATTTTGAAATAATTATAGATTCATAGGAAGTCATGAAAATTAGTAGAGACAGATCCTGTACACCCCTCCCCCAGTTTCTCCCAATAGTAACATCTTACATAATAAAATCTTATATCATCTTATATAAAGAAATTGAGATTTTACCAGTTTTACATGCATTCATTTGTGCATGTGAGTGTATGTGGTAGTTCTATGCAATTTTATCATATGTGTAGGTTTGTGTTAACACTACCACAGTCAAGAAACAGAACTGTTCTATTGCCACAAAGATCCCTTATGCTACCCCTTTTTACAGTTATACCCACTCCCTTTCCTCTCTACAACCCCAGGAAACCACTAATATGTTCTCCATCTCCATAATTTTATCATTTTGAGAATGTTGAATAAATCGAATAATATAAATAAGTAACCTTTTGAGGCTGGCTTTAGTCTCTCAGCATAATTCTCTTGAGAGCCATCCAAGTTCTTGCATATAATACTAGTTCATTCATTTTGATTGTTGAGTAGTATTTTGTAGTTTGTTTAACCAATCACCATTTGAAAAACATTTGGGTTGTTTCCAGTTTTTGGCTATTATCAGTAAAGCTACTACGAACTTTCATGTACAGGTTTTTGTGTGATGAATAGTCTTTTGAAATCTTGAACTCCTCTCTGCTTTCACCATTATTGCTATTCTGTTCTTATGCAAAACCAAACCCTCATTGTTTGTCAAATATTGTTTCTCTTTACCTCTTATGCTACCTGACCTGCATCAGAGGTTCTACAAGGCTCAGACCTTGGTCCTCAAAGGGAAGCTACTTTTGAGGAAAGGTTATGTACTCTCATAGCTTCAAATGCCATTTTTTGTGCCTTATAGATCTATATCTATAGACAACTAGCTATATGGTACGTCTACTTGTATATCATGCCAGTACCCCACCCTGAGAGCCTTCCTACTCTCACCATTCTCCTAGTTTTCTATGATCATAGTCTTGTAATTGCTTTTGATTCTTCCTTTTCCTTAGCTTTCCACGTTCAATTATTTACCAAACTCTGAGGTCACCTTTTGATGAGCATTCACAAAGGAAACAAATATCTAACATTCTTTGCCCACTAAGAGAGATCTATCCACATATCTCTTCTCCAGACCTCCTTGTCACCAATTTTTCCAGTCATGTTCCTTCTAAGTCACTGATCATCCAGCCAACTATTGGCTGTAGCCCATAAACCATATAGACTGATACTGTTGGCCATTTCTCCTTCTAAGCAAAATGAATAACTAGGTACACTGCTCAAGGTACCTTCTGGGAGGATTTACCTTCACTGCTGTCCTTCAGGGTGTCCCAGAAGGGACTGTCTTGTGTAGTTGTCCACTTGTGGGTTGTATTACATATTGGGCAGGATCATCTATAAATCAGGCCTGAGTTTTCTCTTCCTCAGTAAACTGTAAGGAACTCTCCATAAGGCTGTAGAGAAGGGGTCTTTTACTGCAAAGAACACTCAGCAGAATTCAGGGGTTCAATGCTCCCAGTTTCATCGGGGTCTTCTCACATGTTCCCATTTCAATTATTCATTTTGGAAAAGATGAAAATTACTTGACATAACCTGTTTATCACGGAAAGTGTGAGAAAATTTGTCCTCAGTCACTGTCAACATGAATACAAATTACAACATTTCTGGAGAGATGTATGGCAATATTTATCGTAATCTTAAATTGGAGTAATCTCTGATTCAGTAATACTTTCAGGAATAGTGTCCTAAATTTTCCCAATAATTTATAATAGCAAAATAAAAATGGAAATGTCTCAAATGTCCACCAATAGAAGCTTAGATGGGGGAAAAAAGGTACATCTATACATTGTATACTATCAACAATTAAAAATGGGTAAGTAGATCTCATCTATTGATATGGGAAAATATTTAAAGTGTTGTCTAGTGAAAAATGACGATAGTTTAAAAAGGATAAAGTCTTGTGTGTGCATGTGTATGTGCTTTGAGAGATTCTGAAAGGAGCAGTGGTTTACCCTAGGTGCTGGGAGTTCTAGTACATTATACTTCATTCTTTATATTTTATATATTATATTCATATTTTTCTGTCCTACCAGAATGTATCATTATTAGAATCAGAAAAAAACTATTTTCACTAAAAATTTAATTGCAGCCATCACTAAAGAAAATCTCAGGCTAGGCGTGGTGGCTCATGCCTGTAATCCCAGCACTTTGGGAGGCCAAGGCAGGTGGATCACTGGAGCCCAGGAGTTCAGGCCCAGCCTGGACAACATAGTGAGACTCTGCCTCTACAAAAAATAAAAAAATTAGCTTGGCATGGTGGCATATGCCTGTGGTCCTGGCTACTCAGGAGGCTGAGGTGGTAGGATCACTTGAGCCTGGGAGATCAGTGCTACAGTGAGCCGTGAGTGCACCACTGCACTCCAGCCTGGGCAATACAGTGAGAGCCTGTTTCTCACACACAAAGATAAAATCTCAAAGATTATTCACAGTATACTCCTTAATATACAATGCAGACGCAAGATAACAGTTAATGCCATCTTTTGGTCACCTAAATAGTGACTAAACGAATTTTGTACGTGTTCGAACATTTCTTCCTGTGTTACTATAATTACATGCCCATATAATATAGAATGTCTTACCCTGCAGTACCCCACTGAAGAGTTTTATTACCATGAAGTGACATGATGTAATATAGTAGTCAGTTCTAGGTCTCTCTGGCTGGGAAATCTTAGGCAAGTTACTTGGCCTCTCTGAATCTCAGCTTCCTCATTTGTAAAAACAGTATCTGTACTACCCAATTCACAGAGTTGTAAGGATCAAATGAGATGTATGTGACAACATTGTCTAAACTCTAAAATGCAGGTGCAGTTCTATTATTCGCATCATGTTTATTAAAATAAGTAAAACTACCATTAACAATTAACGCTACAGGGGGATGAAATGTGCTCTAAGATAGGTCCAACATATATAAACAAGCTATGTGGCTGAGATCATCTTTCCTTTGCTACGACTAAACAAATAGCTTTATATAGTATGCCAGGCTGAAATGTTCTAAAGTGCCAGCTCGTTTCTTTTTTAAGAAACCACTAACTAATATACTAGTAAACCGGCAGCTCCTCTAAAAAATAGTGTTACCTTTCTGCAGGAACATCCGATTTTTCTCTTTCTGAAACTTCCAGGCTGGGCATGGTTGGCTCATTTCTGTAATCCGAGCACTTTGAGCCCAGGAGTTTGAGACCAGCCCGGGCAACGTAGTGAGACCCTGTCTCTACAAAAATAAAAACAAAAACAACAACAACAACAAAAAATTCCAGAAGCTCTTTTCCTTTTTTCCATCAATTCCTGCCACTGCTCAAGTGCTCAGGTCCAAAGTGCACCATATCAATATATAGTCGTGCGCTGCACTGCATAATGACGTTTCAGTTAACAATGGGCCACATATACAATGGTGGTCCCATAAGATTATAATGGAGCTGAAAAATTCCTATCTTGTGACATCATCACTATTGTAACATCTAGCACAATGTATTACTCATGTGTTTGCGGTGATGCTGGTGTAAACCAACCTACTGCACTGACAGTAGTATAAAAGTACGGCACATGCAATTATGTATAGTACATAATATCTGATAATGATAATAAATGACTATGCCACTGGTTTATGTATACCATCTAAGTTTGTGTAAGTACACTCTATGATGTTTGAACAATGACAAAATCACCTAAGGACACATTTCTCAGAATGTATCCCTGTCGTTAAGTGATGTATGACTGTACCAGTGTCACTTTCAAGACAGAATGAGAACTGAAACTTTTGTCTTTTTACCCCAGTTGACTTATCTCTAGTTGGTAAAGTTATTACCAGAACCATGAGTTGCATTTTTTTTTTTTTTTAAGACAGAGTCTCACTCTGTCCCCCAGGCTGGAGTGCAGTGGTGTGATCTCGGCTCACTGCAACCTCTGCCTCCTAGGTTCAAGTGATTATCCTGCCTCAGCCTCCCGAGTAGCTGGGATTACAGGCATACACCACCACGCCTGGCAAATGTTTGTTACCATGTTGGCCAGGCTGGTCTTGAACTCTTGACCTCAAGTAATCCACCACCTCAGCCTCCCAAAGTGCTGGGATTACAGGTGTGAGCCACCGCGCCCAGCCGTGATTTGCTTTTTAATGTTATAATTATGTATTTTCATTTGTAAGAACTGCAGATCCAAATGTGAACAAACTGATTTTAAAGTAATTATGGCCATAGCTATGCTTCCTATTACATATCTTTTGCTGAAGTAACCAGGAGGTAGGGCTGATATGGATGATAGTTTAGCCCATGTGGATGAAATATTAAATGCCTTTATAGGAGCTGGTTTAAGATTCTGAGTTTTACATAAGAATAAGTGAGGCTGTACAGAATGTAATCTTGTTTCAGAAATAGCATCTTGTGAAATTACTGTTATTAGATATTGTTATTAGATATTCAACAGTGTCAGTCTCATTTGAATTGGGATAAGGCAAGAGCATAGGGATAAGGTAAGGTCAGATAATTGCTTTTCTGGTACTAAAGTCATATTCTAAATCAATAATTATAGTTTGCCTTTCAGTGAACTAAGGCTTCGGATTACAAGTTGATTTTTCTTTTGTGGGGATGAGGAAGATAGGTACTATCACATTTAAAATGATATCAAGCCTAGAACTTTGGAGAAAGTGAAATGGGGAGAATAATCTTTAAATCTAGAATGAGAATCAAATTTTAGACTCTGACATTCTTTCTACTGAAAATTATAGAATCACATTTTGATAGTTTGAACCAAATAAAACACAAAAGCAATTGCTAACTGTTGATAGGTAAAGGAAAAGAATGTGATTCAATCCACTAGGAAGATTTTGATCCAAAAATGAAACAGTTTTTTTCTCCCCTGCTAGTCAGGCAGAAATCTAATTACTCTTGTTTGATCTACTATGGAGAGGTAAATGTGAGAGGTATAGATTATGGACAGTTTTATGGATTTTAATCTTAGAAATCAACAAGTGAAGGTTTTACACTTGCACATAGTTACTTAACTGGTGTTAAGAATAAAACCTAATCAATAATTTTTGTTTTACTGTGATTTGCTCTAGTTCCAATTATGATGTTGGCTATTTCATAGTCCCTTTGTTTATATGAATGCTTTAAAGATAATCTCTCTCTAGTTGAGTTTAACGTGGGACTAGTTTTCATTTCATACAATGTCTCAGAAACAAAACCAGAATAAAGGAAACTTAATAAAGACAAGTTCTAGGAAAATTGGGAACATAAAGAGAGATGAACTGAAATGAGTCTCTTTTCCTTTAAGTTGTGTCAATCCTCATTACTGTTTTGAATAGTTCAATCCAACAAAGCATGAGAATGAGATGGACCATATGTACATGACAGGTGTAAGGTGGAATACTCTTGCTTTCCTTTGCAAAATGGTGCAGTGAGAAGACCTAGGTTCTGGACCTGGATCTGGTCCTTAGGAGCTGAATGACCCGGTATTGAAAGCCTGATATAACAAAGGGCTGAGATAGCATTCACTGATCCCTCATTCTAGGCGTGGTGCTAAGTACTTTATACATATGCTTCCTTTTCATCATCAAAACAATTCTGTTAAGTAAATGGTATTATCCTTTTTTTTTTTTAACAGATAGTAGGACTGAACTTCTGAGAGGTTAAGCGACATGGCACAGATTACACAGAAGAGAAAGATTTTGAAGATCAGATGAAGTAGTTACCTTGGAATACTGCAGAAGAAGGTATCCAAAGGTTTAGGGGTATTGGAATGTTAGAGTTATGATGTAAACCTGCTCACTCACCCAAGGAGGGTCCAGAGGGTACACCTTTCACCAGGACTGTCAGAAAGAAATTTGCGAGGGCACCTCAGCATCCCCTAAGTACTCTAACTCAAATCATCAAAACAGAGAGTCACAGTTCCTTTGTAAAAGTATTTTAAAAAAGCAATTTGAAAATTGACAAATGCTATAAAAATTTCAACTACTGTTACTATTATTATTTTAGTCCTCAGCAAGGAAAATAAAAATTTGTTCTTTCTGAGTGCTCTTTCCAGACAGGCTTCCACTTATTCTGCATCAGTATAATAACTGCCTCCCAAAAAAGGGCATAATTAGTGTTTGCAGTTATTCCATTGGCCCTATTGCCACAATTGGTAGACACAGTTATTTTTGCCAAGTTGATGACTGGTCCAAGAGGAAAACAAAAGGAAATCAACTTTTCTTACTATTCTGTTAGGACCTAATAAAATCTCAGTGTGTTAAGAAAAGTCATACACTTTATCATATGTGTGGGAATCACTGGGCTCTGATGACTTGCATCATAATAGGTCTCTTGGGAAGGGTCACTCTTTACTGATGACTTCACTGCCTTGTCTCTTTTTATGCACACAAGCAGGGCACACATAACCTATTTGTCAATTTCACAAGCACTCAGCTGTAAACAACAATGATTCTTAGATTATCTTGGTAGTTGGTGTGTCCTGAGAGATAAGACTGTTTTTTTCCCCAGCTGCCTCACTCCTGAATGACCGGCAACTTCTTTAGAAGAGGCTGCTGCCCTTTCCCTTACATAAAGGTTATCAAAATACCCACCATCCAATTCTCTGTTTTCCCTGTGGCCATAACTACTATTAAAACAACCTTCTTATGGGAATATAATACCAAACAGTAGGGAAAAAGAGGCAAAACTTCATTCCCACGTTCTGACTAGGACTATGTGGTTTGTTACATCTTTTCTCAACCAAATGTTACTAATGATACTTTCTAGCCTATTTTGCCTCCCAGGAGTCAAATCATCAAATACAGCATTTTGTTAGTTCTCACGACCCTGATGCATTCTGATCCCCATTTATTTAGTGGTGAAGACTGAGGGAATTCTCAGCAGGCCAATAATAGAAAGCATTAGGAAAAGCTCTGGACTGAGAAATCTGATTACATGCCATTCTACTGTATTTTGCATGTCACAAGTGACCTCTTTTAGTGTCTAAAGTTTCTTTCTCCATAAAAAAAGAATGTACCTTTTTAGGGCTCTAAACAAAATGAGTGAAATATATCTAAAGTTGTATATGTGATCCACATCAGCTCACAATTGTTCTGCTACAATGACATGCCAACAGATTTCCTCCTCCTAAGTTTCTTTTTAAAACTCTGGTTGCTTGGAAGCAGTATGGACATTGACAACGACAGGCCTTAAGAGCTATCTGGTCCCATTTTGAGAGCTGGGTCTTGCTTATTCTTATCCAAAAGACTTGAGAGCAGGGCCTGATGAAGTCTCAAAGTATGGAGCAATCTTATTGATTGAAGCCAGAAGGAGAGGGTCAATCCAAAATTTGGAGGAAGGCCACACAGGCATACCACTACTTTCACAGGATCTTTAAATATGTTGTTAGGTTATTATATAATATTATCTATAAATACAAGATTAAATTATCATTAAAGAAAATATGTTTATCTGAGGCCCCATAACAACTAGCCACGATTTTTTTCTCTAAAATTAAAAATTATTATTATTATTATTATTTTCTTTTTATTATTATTATTATAGTTTAAGTTTTAGGGTACATGTGCACAATGTGCAGGTTAGTTACATATGAAAAATTATTTTCTTATTTGTATTCTGTGTCTCAAAGTAACTATGACTTTTTAAGATAATAATTTTTTATTTCTTGCATGAATAACATTGCAGTAGTGACAGATTAAAACACTTAAAAATCTTACCTCACACCAAATCAATAGTTTTGGTTCACTTTTCTATGTTCATTTCTGTACTGGACTATATCTATATATAATTTTATGCAATTGAGGCCACTGCATAGATATAATTTTATATGCTTTTTTTTCCTTCAGAGAGGAAAAAAATTTGACATTTACGTAGGATCTACTAGGGTAGGGCACTATTTTAGACTCATTAATATACTTTATATCTTTTATTTCTCAGAAAGGTATATATATTATTATTCTCTTGTTTATGTAGAGAGATTAAATAACTTTCTGAGATCACATTGAAAGGCAATGCGGCCAATAATCAAAGGGATTCAAACTTGTATTTTTTTTCATTATACAATGCTGCCTCATTTAATTTTTTCCCTATACTTTACTACAAAGTTTTTTTGTTTTGTTTTTTGTTTGTTTGTTTTAGATAGAGTTGCTCTGTCACCCAGGCTGGAGTATAGTGGTGCAATCTAAGCTCACTGCAGCCTCCGTCTCCTGGGTTCAAGCGATTCTTGTGTCTCAGCCTCCCAAGCAGTTGGGACTACAGGCGCATGCTACCACGCCTGGCTAATTTTTTGTGTTTTTAGTATAGAAGGGGTTTCACCATGTTGGCCAGGCTGGTCTCGAATTCCTGGCCTCAAGTGATCTGCATGCCTCGGCCTCCCAAAGTGCTGGGATTACAGGCGTGAGCTACCATGCCCTGCCTACTACAAAGTTTTAATTTTAATAGCCTCTTAAAATTTAATTAGATTGTAAGCTCCCTGATTAGGTCTCATTTCTATCCTCAGCACTCAATAGATGTTCAATAAATATTTATTCAATAATGCAAACCTCTATTCACTCAATTCATTCTCCTTTCCCTATTCCTTGGGATGAAAAGCTCAGGGACACTGAGACCTATATCATATATTTTATCCCTTATATTTATTTGGCTTCTTTTCATTTAGTCCTCATAACAGCTCAGTAGGATATGTACTATTATCACCCCCATCCATTTTACATATAAGCAAACCACAGCACTGGAAATAAACTTGAGGGTTGGGGACTCCAAAGTCCAAACTTTTAATTATTACACTATTTTATTCTACATAGATTTATTATTCAAAGTTGCAAGTAAATCATATGTTTATATGCCATATGTAACTTCAATTCACCCAAACAGCTTGTTTTACATAGGAATTATGTCATGAATTTTTTTTTCTTTTTTTGAGACAGGGTCTTACTTTGTCACCCAGGCTGAGTGGAGTGGCATAATCATGGCTAACTGCAGCCTCAACCTCCTAGGCTCAAGCGATCCTCCCACCTCAGCAACCTCCCAGAGTAGCTGGGACTACAGGCATGTGCCATCACACCCAGATAACTAAAAAAATTTTTTTTTAGAGATGAGGTCTCGCTATGCTGCCCAGGCTCGTCTTGAACTCCTGGATTCAAACAATCCTCCCACCTCGGCCTCCCAAAGTGCTGGGATTATAAGCGTGATCCACTGTGCCTGGCCTGAAATAGTTTATAAAGCAAAATAATACCTCCCAAATTTATTTAGCTGACTCCAGATTTTCTTAGACATTAAATTTTCTTACAGTAATAGCCATGAGTTTTTAAAATTGAGGAAATATTGAGTACCTACTGTGTGCCAGATATTTGGGATAGAATGGTGGGTAAATTGTACATAGTTTTTAACCTCTTGGAACTTATAGTCTAGTGTTGTGTGTTATGTCTAGGCTTCGAGAATCCTTATCTTATCATCTGCGCATTTTCTTTATGCTCCTATAGCATCCTGCCTTTATTATATACTTTAAAATTTATTTTATTATTTTTAAATGTATCCCTTGAGTCATACTTTATTATATTAAGATATAATAAAAGTATAAAAATATACTAAAATATGCATCTGTCCATCATACAGTTGTAAATAGGATATTACCCATAGAATATTTCCAATGAAACCCTCTCCCCAGTTGTATTCAATTCCCTTTCCTATAGAAAGGAAAGCATTATTCTGATGATAGCCATTAGCTATTATGGTAACATGTGTGTGTGTATATATATATATATATATATATATATATATATATATATATATATATATATATATGTGTATGTCATGGGGCCTCAGATAAAGATTTTTTTTTTGAGATGAAGTCTTGCTCTGTTGCTAGGCTGGAGTGCAGTGGCATGATCTCGGTTCACTGCAACCTCCAACTCCCTGGTTCAAGCGATTCTCCTGCCTCAGCCTCCCAAATAGCTGGGATTACAGGCACACACCACTGCGTCCAGCTAATTTTTGTATTTTTAGTAAAGACGGGATTTCACCATGTTGGCCAGGATGGTCTCGATCTGACCTCGTGATCTGCCTGCCTCAGCCTCCCAAAGTGCTGGGATTAGAGGTGTGAGCTACCGCACCCAGCCCATATTTTCTTTAATGATAATTTAATCTTGTATTTATATATAATATATATTAAAATTTGTCATTTTAACCATTTTTAAGTGTTCATTTCATGGCATTAATTACATTCACAGTGTTGTGCAACCATCACCACAATCTGTTTCCAAAACTTTTTCATCACCCCAAACAGAAATTCTGTAACCAACAAGCAATAAGTTCCCATTCTCTCCTCCATCCAGCCCTTGGTAATTTCTAATATATTTCCTGTCTCTATGAATTTGCCTATTCTACATATTTCATATAAGTGGAATCATAGAATATCTTGTCTCTGTCTCTGAAAAAAAACGTGTTTTTTTTTTTCTTTTTTTTTTTTTTGAGACAGAGTCTCACTCTGTCACCTGGGCTGGAGTGCAGTGTTGTGATCTTGGCTCACTGCAACCTCCACCTCCCAGGTTCAAGCGATTCTCCTGCCTCGGCCTCCCAAGTAGCTGGGATTACAGGCGTGCACCACCACACCGGCTAATTTTTGTATTTTCAGCACAGGTGGGGGTTCACCATGTTGGCCAGGCTGGTCGTGAACTGCTGACCTCAAGTAATCTTCCTGCCTCAGCCTCCCAAAGTGCTGGGATTACAGGCATGAGCCACTGTGACCAGCCTAGCATAATGTTTAAAGTTTCATCCATATTGTAGCATGCATCAGAACTTCACTCCTTGTTAAGGCTGAATAATATTCTGTTCCAAATATATATATTCATTTTGTTTATCCCTTCATCTGTTGATGAAAACTGTATTGTTTCCATCTTTCGGTTCTTGTGAATGATGCTGCAGTGAACACTGGCATACAACTATCTGAATCTCTGTTTTTAATTCTATTGGCTATGTAGCTAGGAGTGGAATTGCTGGGGTGTATGGTAATTGTATGTTTAGCTTTCTGAGGAACTGTCAGACTGTTTTCCACAGCAGCTGCATAATTTTACATTTCCACCAGCAATACATAAAGGTTCTAACTTTTCCACATCCTTGCCAACACTTGTTATTTTCTGTTTTACAAAAAGAATTGTAGTGATACTGATAGGTTTAAAGTGATATTTTGTTGTAGTTTTGATTTGCATTTCCCTACTGACTAATGATATTGAGTATCTTTTCATGTGCTTATTGGCCATTTGCATATCTTCTTTGGAAAAATATCGATTCCGTTCTTTTTTTTTTTTCTTTTTTTGAGACAGAGTTACGTTCTTTCACCCAGGCTGGAGTGCAGTGGCCCAATTTCGGCTCACTGCAACCTCTGCCTTCCAGTTTCAAGTGATTCCCCTGCCTCAGCCTCCCAAGTAGCTGGGATTACAGGTGCCTGCCACCACGCCTGGCTAATTTTTTTTTTTTTTTTTGTATTTTTAGTAGAGACAGGGTTTCACCATGTTGGCCAGGCTGATCTCGAACTCCTGACCTTGTGATCTGCCCGCCTCAGTCTCCCAAAGTGCTGGGATTACAGGCGTGAGCCACTGTGCCCAGCCTCAATTCAGTTCTTTTGTACGTTTTTGAATTGGGTTGTTTTTTTGTTGTTGAGTTATAGGAGTTGTGGGTTTTTTTGTTTGTTTGTTTTTATTTTTATTTTTTTGAGATGGAGTCTCACTCTGTCACCCAGGCTGGAGTGCAGTGGTGTGATCTCAGCTAACTGTAACCTTTGCCTCCTGGGTTCAAGCCATTCTCCTGCCTCAGCCTCCTGAGTAGCTGGGACTACAGGCGCTTGCAATCACGCCTGGCTAATTTTTTGTATTTTTAGTAGAGACGGGGTTTCACTGTGTTAGCCAGGATGGTCTTGATTTCCTGACCTCATGATCTGCCTGCCTTGGCCTCCCAAAGTGTTGGGATTACAGGCATGAGCCACCACACCCGGCTAGGAGTTTTTAAAATATTCTGGATATTACATGCTTATTAGATGTATGACTTGCAAATATTTTCTACCACTCTGTTGATTGTCTTTTCATTTCCTTGATAATGTCCTTTGATACACAAACATTTTTAATTTTGATGAAGTCCAACTTTGTTTTTTCTTTTGTTGCTCAGGCTTTTGGTATCATATCTAAGAATCCATTGCCAAATTTAAGCTCATGAAGATTCACCCTTTTGTTTTCTTGTAAGAGTCGTATGGTTTTATCTCTTAAATTTATTTTGGATCATTGTTCCATTTTGAGTTAATTTTTGTATATAGTACGAGGTAGGAAGCCCATTTCATCCTTTTGCACATGTATATCCAGTTGTCCCGGTCCCATTTGTTGAAAAAAACTATGTTTTCCCCATTGAGTTGTCTTGGTAACCTTGTCAAAAATCAATTGACCATAAATGTAAGAGTTTATCTCTGGGATCTCTATTCTACTCCATTGATATGCATATACACACACACCCCCCAATATAAATACATATATATATTTATAAATTAAAAAAATATAATTATAAATAAATATATATTTGGCCAGGTGTGGTGGCTCACGCCTGTAATTCCAGCACTTTGGGAGGCCAAGGCAGGCGTATCACCTGAGCTCAGGAGTTTGAGACCAGCCTGGCCAACGTGGTGAAACCCCATCTCTAGTAAAAATACAAAAGTTAGCTGGGTGCGGTGGCATGTGCCTGTGATCCCAGCTACTCAGGAGGGTGAGGCAGGAGAATCGCTTGAACTCGGGAGGCGGAGGTTGCAGTGAGCGGAGACTGCACCACTGTACTCCAGCCTCGATAACAGAGTGAGACTCTCTCAGAAAACAAAACAAAACAAATATATATATATGTATATATTTATCCTTATGCCAGTAACACACTGTTTTGATTACTGTAGCTTTGTAGTAAATTTTGGAATTGGGATGTGTGAGGTCTCCAACACTGTTCTTAATTTTCAAGACTCTTACGGGCTATTCAAGGTCCCTTGCAATTCTACATAAATTTGAAAATCAGCTTTTCCATTTTTGCAAAAAAAGGCGGTTGGATTTTTTTTTTTTTTTTTTTTTTTTTTTGAGACAGGGACTCACTTTGTTGCCCAGACTAGAGTATAGTGGCATGATTACAGCTCACTGCAGCCATGACCTCCCCCACTCAGGTGATCATTTCACCTCAGCCTCCCAGGTAGCAGGAACTATAGGCGTGCACCACCACACCCTACTAATTTTTAAAATTATTTTGTAGAGATGGGGTTTCCCCATGTTGTCCAGGCTGGTCTCGAACTCCTGGGCTCAAGCGATCTTCCTGCCTTGGCCTCCCAAAGTGCTGGGATTACAGGTTGAGAGCCACTGCAAAGCTGCTGAAATTTTGATAGTGATTGTACTGAAACTCTAGATCACCTTGGGTAATACTGACTTTTTTTTTTTCCTTCACACAGGGTCTGGCTCTGTTGCCCAGGCTGGAGTGCAGTGGCATGATCTCAGGTCACAGCAACCTCTACCTCCTGGGCTCAAGTCCTCCCACCTCAGGCTCCTGAGTAGCTGGGACTACGGGCATGTGCCATCACACTCAGCTAAGTTTTGTGTTTTTTGTAGAGATGGAGTTTTGCCATGTTGCCCAGGCTGGGCTCAAACTCCTGGGATCAAGTGATCTGCCTGTTTCAGCCTTCCAAAGTGTTGGGATTACAGCTGTGAGTCACTATGCCTGGCCACATTGATTTTCTTATGTTGAGCCATTCTTGCATTTCCTAGGATAAATCCCACTTGGCTATGGTATATAATCATTTTAATATACTGTTGGATTAGGTTTGCTGCTGTTTTGTTGCTGATTTTCACATTACATTCATAAAGTTGTTTGGTCTATAATTTTCTTTTCTTGTTATGTCTTTATCTGGCTTTGGTAGCAGGGTAGTGCTGGACTCAAAGAATGGACTTCCTCTTCAATTTTTTGGAAGAGTTTGAGAAGAAATAGTGTCAATTCTTTTTTAACTGTTTGGTAAAATTAATCACTAAACCATCTGGTAGTAGACTTTTCTTTGCCTTTCATCATATTTGGGAAGTTTTTAGCCATTATTTCTTCAAATAATCTCTTCGTATTTTTCTCTATCTTCTCCTTCTGGAACTCCCATAATGCATATTATGGTCAGCTTGGTGCTTTCCCACAAGTCCCTTAGGCTCTGTTCAGTTTTCTTCATTCTTTTTTTTTTCTTTCTGCGCCTCGGACTTGATAATTTGAATTATCCTATATTCAAGTTCCCTGATTCTTTCTTTTGCCTGCTTAAATCTGATATAGTGAATTTTTCATCTCAGTTATTGTATTTTATAGTTCCAGAACTTCTGTTTGGTTCCTTTGTGTAATTTCTATCTTTGTTGATATTCTAATTTCATTCATACATCATTTTCCTGATTTTCTTTAGTTCTTTGTCCATGTTTTCCTTTAGCAATTTTAGCATATTTAAGACAGTTGTTTTTAAGTCTTTGTCTAGTAAGTCCAGTATCTGGGCTTCCTCAGGGATAATTTCATTGGTTTATTTTGTTCCTTTGAATGGGCTATACTTTCCTGTTTGTTTTGTTTGTTTGTTTGTTTTGTTTGTTTTTTTGTCGCTCTGTCACTCAGGCTGGAGTGCAGTGGTGCAATCTCAGCTGACTGCAACATCTGCCTCCTGGGTTCAAGTGATTCTCCTGCCTCAGCCTCCTGAGTAGCTGGGGTTATAGGCGTGTGCCACCATGTCTGGCTAATTTTTGTATTTTTAGTAGAGATGAGGTTTCATCATGTTGGCCAGGTTGATCTTGAACTCCTGACTTCAAGTGATCCACCCACCTTGGCCTCCCAAAGTGCTGGGATTATGGGCATGAGCTACCGCGCCTGTCCACTTTCCTGTTTTTTCTTTTGTATGCCTTGTGATTTTTATTGAAAATTGGACATTTGACTATTACAATGTGGTAACTCTGAAAATCATATTCTCCCCTTCTCCAGGGTATGAACTTCAGTTTTTCTTTCTTTTTTTTTTTTTTTTGAGACGGAGTCTTACTCTGTTGCCCAAGCTGGAGTATAGTGGTGTAATCTTGGCTCACTGCAACCTCCACCTCCCAGGTTCAAGTGATTCTCCTGACTCAGCCTTCCAAGTAGCTGGGATTACAGGCGTCCACCACTGTGCCCAGCTAATTTTTGTATTTTTAGTAGAGACAGCGTTTTGCCATGTTGGCCTGGCTGGTCTTGAACTCTTGACCTCAGGTGATCCACCTGCCTCGGCCTCCCAAAGTGCTGGGATAACAGGTGCGAGCCACCATGCCCAGCCTTGGTTTTTCTTTTTATTGAAGGCTGTAGTAGTCTGGTTGTTTAGTGACTTTTCCAGATTATTTTTGCAAAGATGACTGTATTCCTTGTTGTGTGTGATCATTGAAGTCTCCATTCTTTCAAAGATTTCCTTGAAGGTCAGGAACTAAAAAATAAATGAACTAAACTAAAATAAATACCACCCTCCCCCCAAAAAAATAGTAAAGAAAAACAAAAATATATATACAAAAAAACCCTAACAACTCTCCCAGTCTTTGCAGATTAGCTCTGTGGTGGGGCATTCCAACACATATATAGGCTTGCACTGAAGCTAGGGATCAGTCTGAGGTGAAAGCTTCAGGTCTTCTTAGGTCTTTTCTGAGCATTTGTCTAAATTTGCTTGTATATTTCTCATATACATAAGTACTTCTGAAAGTCCTTATTTCTCACAGAATCTCCCTCAGATTTTCCTCCTAGGACTTAAGTGGTCTGCTGTATCTATAATACTTTACTCCAGGCATCTGTAGTTTGTTAGTTTGCCTTGTAGTTTTGAACACTGTGTGGCTTTTATGGCCTGAGTCCTGAGTTAGGTGAAACACAGACACACTTTGAGACAGTCCTTCAGATAGCCCCCAGAGAGGCTGGAATAGACATACACAACACTTTGCAAATAAGGTCTGCTTTGTTCCTCTGGAACCAGGATTCAGGATCCACACTAGGACAAAGGCTGCTGCTGTTCCAACTCTGCTACCATCTAGGCTGGAGGCAGAGCAAGAGCAAATAAATTCCACAAATGTTTTCTATTGCTTTCAAGTTGCCTTTTTTCTTGATTCAATATTCATTTGGTTGATGTAAACCTTTGACTATTTTCCAGTATTCTGACAAAGTTGGTTTTTAGCATTTCTGCTTGTTTTTCAGTATTTCTATGGGTGGACAAGAGAGCTTAGAGCTGCCTACTCCACCATTTTTGCTGACATCACTGCCATTAACTTTTAATTCACAAGAACTTTTGGGTTACAAAGCACCTCAAATTTCTATAGTGACTCAGTGTTTCTGGAGTATTTTGAGATCTACTTATTTGTCCAATTTAGTTCTACTCTTGATGACGGATATTGTTCTTAATGATGACCATAATTTCCGTATTTAGGTTCCTGTAAGTCAGTAGTTCTCAACCTTGGCTGCATATTAGACTCACCTGTCGTAGTTATACAAAATAGAGATGCTGAGGAGGAGGCAGAGCAAAATGGCCAAATAGCAGCCTCCACCAACTGTCCTCCCCACAAGAACGCCAAATTGAAGAACTATCCACACAAAAAAACACCTTCATAAGAACAAAAAATCAGGTGAATGATCACAGTACCTGTTTTTCACTTCATATCACTGAAAGAGACATTGAAGATAATGGAAAAGATACTCTTGAATTGCCAATGCCCATCCCTTGGAAGCAGCCATGTGGCACGAAGAGAGAATTTGTGTACTTGGGGGAGCACAGTGATTGTGGGACTTTGCATTGGAACTCAGTGCTGCCCTGTCACAGCAGAAAGCAACACCAGGCAGAACTCAACCGGCACTCATGGAGGGAGCATTTAGACAATCCATAGCCAGAGAGGAATTATACATCCCAGCAGTCAGAACCTGAATTCCAGAAAGCCTCGCCATTGTGGGCTAAAGTGCTCTGGGGCTCTAAATAAATTTGAAAGGCAGCCTAGGCCAGAGGGACTGCAATTCCTAGCAAGTCCTAGTGCTGTACTGGGCTAGAAACCAGTGGACTTGGGGTGCATATGATCTAATGAGACGCCAGCAAGGGTGCCCAAGGGAGTGTTTGCGCCACTCCTCCCCCAACCCAACGCAGCACATCTTGCAGCTCTGGGAGAGACTTCTTCCCTTTGCCGGAGGAGAGGAGAGTAAAGAGTAAAGAGGATTTTGTCTTGCAACTTGGATACCAGCTCAGTCCCAGTAGGGTAGGGAACCAGTCAGAGTCCTGAGGCCCCCGTTACAGGCCCTAGCTCCTGGATGACATTTCTACACACACCTTGGGCCAGAAGGGAAATTGCTGCCTTGAAGGGACAAATCCAGTTGTGGCAGGGTTCATCACTTCCTGAATAAAGAGCTATTGGGCCCTGAATAATCAGCAGTGGTATCCAGGCAATACTCACCATGGGCCTTGGGAGAGACTCAGAGACAACATACTGATTTCAGGTGTGACCCATCACCTTCTCAGCTGTTGGCTATGGGGAGAGACTTCTTCCACTTGAGAATAAGAGAGGGAAGAGTAATGGGGACTGTGTCTTGCAGCTTGGGTACCAGCTCAGCCACTGTGGGGTAGAGCACCAAGTGGACTCTTGGTTTCCCCAATTCCAGGACTTGGCTCTTGGATGGCATTTCTGGACCTGCCCTGGGCCACAGAGGAGCCCACTTCCCTGAAGGGACAGTCCTGGGCCTGGCAGCATTCACCACAAGCTAACTGAAGAGCCCTTGGGCCTTGAATGAACATCAATGGTAGCCAGGATGTACTCACCATAGGCCTCAGGTGGTGGTGGCTATACAGAGAGACTCTTCTGTTTGGGGAAAAGGGGAGGGAAGAGGGGAAAGAGTTTGTCTTGTGGCTTGGGTGCCAGCACAGCCATAGCAGAATAGAGCACCAAGTAGATTCCTAAGGTTGTCAACTCTAGGCCCTGGCTTTCAGATATATCTCTGGAACCACTTGGGACCAGGGGAACTCATTGCCCTGAAGGGAAAGACTGAAACCTGGCAGGCTTTGCTCCCTGCTGACTGGAGAGCTCTAGGGCCTTGAGTGAACATAGGTGGTAGCCAAGTAGTGGTAACTGAAGACCTTGGGTGTGACCCAGTGCTATGCTGTCTTCAGGTCTGACCCAGCAGAGTTTCAGTGGTAGTGGCCACAGGAGTGCTTGTGTCACTGCTACCCCAGCTCCAGGAAGCTCAGCACACACACACACACACACACACACACACACACACACACACACACACACACTATTTGTTTGGGAGAAAGTAAGGGAAGAGAACAAGAGTCTCTGCTTGGTAATCCAGAGAATTTTTCTGGCTCTTATCAAGAACACCAAGGCAATACCTCCATGAGTCTGCAAGATCCACAGTGTTACTGGGCTTGGGGTGCCCCCATTTCATGAAATTACAGCTGCAATGACCAAAAACTTAGATCCAATACCCAAGTCCTTTCAAATATCTGGAAAGCCTTCCCAAGAAGGACAGGCACAAACATGCCCAGACAGTGATGGCTATAATAAATACCTAACTTTTCAATGCCCACACACTGATGAACATCTATAAACATCAAGACCATCCAGGAAAACATGACCTCACCAAATAAACTAAGGCACTAGTGACAAATCCCAGAGAGACAGAGATATGTGACCTTTCTGACAGAGAATTCAAAATAGCTGTGTTGAAGAAACTTGACCAAATTCAAGATAACACAGAGAAGAAATTCAGAATCTTATCAGATAAATTTAACAAAGCAATTGAAATAATTAAAAAGAATCAAGCAGAAATTGTGGAGCTGAAAAATGCAATTGCCATACTGAAGAATGCATCAGAGTCTTCTCTTTTTTTTTTCTTTTTTTCTTTTTTTTTTTTGACATAGAGTCTCACTCTGTTGCCCAAGCTGGAGTGCAGTGGTGTGATCTTGGCTTACTGCAACCTCTGTCTCCCAGTTCAAGCAATTCTCCTGCTTCAGCCTCCCGAGTAGCTGGAATTACAGGTGTGTGCCACCATGCCCAGCTAATTTCTTTGTATTTTCAGTAGAGACAGGGTTTCACCATGTTGGCCAGGCTGGTCTCGAACTCCTGAACTCAAGTGATCCACCTGCATCAGCCTCCCAAAGTGCTGGGATTCTAGGTGTGAGCCACTGTGCCCAGCCTACATCAGAATCTCTTAACAGCAGAATTAGTCAAGCAGAAAAAATAATTAGTGAGCTTGAAAACAGGCTATTTGAAAACATACAGTCAGAGGAGACAAAAGAGAAGAGAATGAGGCACGCATGCAAGATCTAGAAAATAGCCCCTAAAGGGCAAATCTGAGTTATTGGCCTTAAAGAGGAAGTATAAAGAGGGTCAGGGTAGAAAGTTTATTCAAAGGGATAATAACTGGTAACTAACTTCCCAAACCTAGAGACAGATATCAATATTCGAATACAAAAAGGTTGTAGAACACCACACAGATACAACCCAAAGAAGACTATATTAAGGCATTGAGTCATTAGACACCCAAAGTCAAGAATTAAGAAAGGATACTAAAAGCAGCAAGAGGAAACAAAAAAAAATAACATACAATGCAGCTCCAATACATCCGGAAGCTGACTTCTCAGTAGAAATCTTACAGGACAGGAGAGAGTGGTATGACATATTAAAAGTGCTGAAGGAAAAAAAATCTTTATCCTAGAATAGTATATCCATCCAGTGAAAATATCCTTCAAACATGGAGGAGAAATAGGGACTTTCCCAGACAAACAAAGCTGAGAGATTTTATCAATACCAGGCCTGTCCTACAAGAAATGCTAAAGGGAATTTTTCAATTTTTTTTTTTTTTAAGATGGAATTTTGCTCTGTTGCCCAGGCTGGAGTGTAGTCGTGCGATCTTGGCTTACTGCAACCTCCACCTCCTAGGTTCAAGTGATTCTCCTGCCTCGGGCTCCTGAGTAGCAGGGATCACAGGCACCCACTACCATGCCTGGCTTATTTTTATTTTTATTTTTATTTTTCTGAGACACAGTCTCACTCTATTGCCCATGCTGGAGTGCAGTGGCACAATCTCAGCTCACTGAAACCTCCACCTCCTGGGTTCAAGTGATTCTCCTGCCTCAGCCTCCTGAGTAGTTGGGATTACAGGTGTGTACCACCATGCCCAGCTAATTTTTTTGTATTTTTAGTAGAGACAGGGTTTCACCATGCTGGCCAGGCTGGTCTTGAACTCCTGAACTTGTGATCTGCCTGCCTTGGCCTCCCAAACTGCTGGGATTACAGGCGCGAGCCACGGTGCCCGGCCTCGGCTTATTTTTGTAATTTTAGTAGAGACGACGTTTCACCATGTTGACCAGGCTGGTCTCGAACTCTTGATCTCAGGTGATCCACCTGCCTTGGCCTCCAAAAGTGCTAGGATTACAGGCGTCAGCCACTGTGCCTTGCCTAGGGATTCTTCAATCTTAAAGAAAAGGATATTAATGAGTAATAAGAAATCATCTGACGGTACAAAACTCACTGGTGATAGTAAGTAGACAGAAAAACACAGAAGATTATAACACCGTAATTGTGGTATGTAAACTACTCATATCTTGAGTAGAAAGACTAAAAGATGAGCTTATCAAAAATAATAATTACAACAATTTTTCAAGATATAGACAGTATAATAAGATATAAATAGAAACAACAAAAAGTTAAAGAGCAGGGAAAAAAATGTCAAGTGTAGAGTTTTTATTAGTTTTCTCTTTGCTTGTCAGTTTGTTTATGTAATCAGTGTTAAGTTGTCATCAGTTTTAAATAATGAGTTATAAGATAGTATTTGCAAGCCTCATGGTAACCTGAAATAAAAAAACATACAACAGAGACACAAAAAATAAAAGCAAGTAATTAAAACATACCACCAGAGAAAATCACTGTAACTGAAAGGAATACAGGAAAGAAAGAAAGACAGAAGGAAGAGAAGACCATAAGACAACCACAAGACAAAAAACAAGGTGGAAGGAGTAAGTCCTTACATATCATAATAACATTGAATGTAAATGTACTCCAGTCAAAAGATAGAGTTGCTAAATGGATAAAAAACAAGACCCAACGATCTGCTGCCCACATGAAACACACTTCACCTGTAAAGACATACAGAGATTGAAAATAAAGGAATGAAAAAATATATTCCATGAAAATACAGGAAGGTTACAGAATGGAAAACAAAAACAAACAAACAAAAAAAACAAAACAGCAGGAGTAGCTATACTTATATCAGACAAAATATATTTCAAGACAAAAAACTATAATAAAAAATGTCATTATATAATGATAAAGGGGTCAATTCAGCAAGAAGATATAATTGTAAATACATATGCATTTAACACTGGAGCACCCAGACATATAAAGCAAATATTATTCAACCTAGAGAGAGAGACCCAACACAATAATACCTGGAGACCCCCCAACTTTCAGCATTGGAAAGATCACCCAGACAAAAAAATCAATAAGGAAACATTAGTCTTAATCTGCACTATAAACCAAATGGACCTAATAGATATTTACAGAACATTTCTTCCAATGGGTACAGAATACTTTCTTCTCTTTAGCAGATGGATCATTCTCACAGACTATATGTTAGGCCACAAAACAAGTCTTAAAAAAATTCAAAAAAATTAAAATTACATCAAGTATCTTCTCTGACCAAAATGGAATAAAACTAGAAATCAATAACAAGAGGAATTTTGGAAATGATACAAACACATGAAATTAAACAACATGCTCCTAAATGACCAGTGGGTCAATGAGAAATGAAGAAGAAAATTTAAAAATGTATTGAAACAAATGGTAATAGAAACACAACATGCCAAAACCTATGGAATACTGGCCAGGCACAGTGGCTCACACCTGTAATCCCACCACTTTGGGAGGCTAAGGTGGGCAGACCACTTTGGGAGGCTAAGGTGGGCAGATCACTTGAGGCCAGGAGTTCAAGACCAGCTTGGCCAACATGGTGAAACCCTGTCTCTATTAAAAATAGCTGGACATGGTGGCACATGCCTATAATCCTAGCTACTTGGGAAGCTGAGGCAGGAGAACTGCTTGAACCTGGAAGGAGGAGGTTGAAGTGAACTGAGATTGCACCACTGCACTCCAGCCCCAGCAACAGAGTGAGTGAGACTCCATCTCAAAAAACAAACAAACAACAACAAAAACAACAAAAAAACAAGACCCGTGGGACACAGCAAAGGCACTAAGAGGGAAATTTGTAGCTATAAGTGCCTAAATTTTAAAAAGTAGAAACACTTCAAATAAACAACCTAACAATGCATCTTAAATAACTAGAAAAGCAGAAGCAAACCATACCCAAAATTAGCAGAAGTAAAGACCAGAATGCCAATAAATGAAATTGAAATGGAGAAAATAATAGAAAAGTCAACAAAGTAAAAAGCTGATTTTTTGAAAAGATAAACAAAATTGACAAACCTTTAGCTAGACTAAGAAAAAAGGAGTAGACTCAAATTAATACCAGAGATGAAAAAGGAGACATTACAGCTGATGCTGCAGAAATTCAAAGGATCATTAGTGGCTACTATGAGCAATCAAACAGGAAAATGTAGAAGAAATGGATAAATTTCTAGACACATAAAACCTACCAAGATTGAACCATGAAGAAATCTAAATCCTTAACAGGCCAATGAGAAATAACGAGCTTGAAACCATAATACGAAGTCTCCCAGGCTGGGCATGGTGGCTCATGCCTGTACTCCTAGCACTTTGGGAGGCCAATGTGGGCGGATCACCTGAGGTCAGGAATTTGAGACCAGCCTGGCCAACATGACAAAAACCCATCTCTACTAAAAATACAAAAATTAGCTGGGCGTGGTGGTGGGCACCTATAATCCCAGCTACTCAGGAGGCTGAGGCAGGAGAATTGCTTGAACCCAGGAGGTGGATGTTACAGTGAGCCAAGATAGTGCCACTATACTTCATCCTGGACAACAGAGTGAGACTCTGTCTCAAAAAAAAAAAAAAAAAAAAGTCTCTCAGTTCCTCCCCTCTTCTTTTCTCCCCTTCCTCTCCTAAAAAAAAAAAAAAAAAGGAAAAAGAAAAAGTCTCCCTGCAAAGAAAACCCCAGGACCCGATGGCTTCACTGCTGAATTTTACCAAACATTTAGAGAAGAACTAATACCAATCCTACTCAAACTATTCTGAAAATAGAGGAGGAGGAAATACTTCCAAATTAATTCTACAAGGTAAGTATTACCTTGATACCCAAACCGGACAAGGGCACAGCAAAAAGGAAAACTACAGGCCAATATCCCTGATGAACACTGGTGCAAAAATCCTTAACAAAATACTAGCAAACTGAATTCAACAATACATTAAAAAGATCATTCATCATAACCATGGGGGATTTATTCCAGGGATGCAAGGATGGTTCAACATAACACAAATCAATCAGTGGGATCCATCATATCAACAGAGTGAAGGACAAAAACCATATGATCATTTCAGTTGATGCTGAAAAAGCATTTGATAAAATTCAGTATCCCTTCATGATAAAAACCCTCAAAAAGCTGGATATAAAAAGAATATACCTCAACATAATAAAAGTCGTATGTGAACAGACCCACAGTTGCCATCATATTGAATGGGGAGAAACTGAAATACTTTCCTCTAAGATCTAGAACACAAGGATGCCTACTTTCATCAACATAGTACTAGAAGTCCTAGTTACAGCAATCAGACAAGAAAAGAAATAAAGGGCCAGGCACAGCCATTACTGGCTCACACCTGTAATACCAGCACTTTGGGAGGCCAAGGTGGGTGGATCACTTGTACCCAGGAGTTTGAGACCAGCCTAGACAACATAGTGAGATCCCCATTTCTACAAAATATTAGCCAGGTGTGATGGCACATACCTGTAGTCCCACCTACTTGGGAGGCTGAGGTGGGAGGATGAATTGAACCTGGGAGGTCAAGGCTGCAGTAAATTATGAACATGCCAAAGCACTCCAGCCTGGGTGGCAGAGTGAGACCCTGCCTCAAATAAAATAAAATAAAATAAATAAAATAAAATAAAATAAAATAAAATAAAAAAATAAGTAAAGGGCATCCAAATTGGAAAGGAAGAAGTCAAATTATCCTTGTTTGCAGATAATATAATCTTACATCTGGAAAGACTTAAAGACACCACCAAAAAAGTATTAGAACTGATAAACAAATTCAGTAAAGCTGCAGGATACAAAATCAACATACAAAAATGAGTAATATTTTTATATGCCAACAGTGAAAAATCTGAAATAGAAATCAACAAAACAATCCCATGTACAATAGCTACAAATAAAATATCTAGAAATTAACCAAAGATGTGAAAGATCCTACAATGAAAACTAAAACATTGATGCAAGAAATTAAAGAGGATATAAAAGATGGAAAGATATTCCATGTTCCTGAATTGCAAGAATCAATATTGTTAAAATGTCCATACTACCCAAAGCAATCTACAGATTCAATGCAATCCCTGTCAAAATACTAGTGACGTTCTTCACAGAGATAGAAAAAACAATCCTAAAATTTATATGGAACCACAAAAGATCCAGAATAGCCAAAGCTATCCCAAGGAAGTAGAACAAAACTGGAGAAATCACATTACCTGACTTTAAACTATACTACAGAGCTATAGTAATATAGTAGTATAGTTTTTAAACCATTAGAGTATACGGCATGGTACTGGCATAAAAGCACAGATCACCGGAACAAATAGGAAACCCAGAAACAAATCCACACACCTACAGTAAACTCATTTTCGACAAAGGTGCCAAGAACATATATTGAAGAAAGGACAGTCTCCTCAATAAATGGTGCTGGGAAAACTGGATATCCACATGGAGAAAAATGAAACTAGACCTCTATTTCTTGTTATATACAAAAATCAAATCAAAATGGATTAAAGACTTAAATCTAAGACCTCAAACTATGAAACTACTGAAATAAAACATTGGGGAAACTCTCCAGGACGTTGGACTGGGCAAAGATTCTTGAGTAATACCCCAAGGACAGGCAACCAAAGCAAAAATGGACAAATGGGATCACATCAAGTTAAAAAGCTTCTTCTGCACAGCAAAGGAAACAATCAACAAAGTGAAGAGAAAACCTACAGAATGGGAGAAAATATTTGCAAACTCTCCCTCTGACAAGGGATAAATAACCAGAATATAAAGGAGCTCAAACAACTTTATAGGGCAAAAAAAAAAAAAAAAAAAAAAAGCCCTAATAATCCAATTTAAAAATAGCCAAAAGATCAGAATAGACATTTCTCAAAAGAAGACACACAAATGGCAAACAGGTATATGAAAAGGTGCACAACATCACTGATCATCAGAGAAATGCAAATCAAAACTACAGTGAGATATCATCTCACTCCAGTTAAAATGGCTTTTATCCAAAAGACAGGCAATAACAAATGCTGGTGAGAATGTGGAGAAAAGGGAACCCTCGTACACTGTTGTTGGGAATATAAGTTAGTATAACCACATGGAGAACAGTTTGGAGGTTCCTCAAAAAACTAAAAACAGAACTACCATATGATCCAGCAATCCCATTGCTAGATATATACCCCAAAGAAAGGAAATCAGTATACTGAAGAGACACCTACACTCCCATGTTTATTGCAACACTATTCACAATAGCCAACATTTGGAAGCAACTTAAGCGTCCTTTAGCAGATGAATGGATAAAGAAATATGGTTCATATACACAAGGGAGTACTATTCAGCCATAAAAAGAATGAGATCCTTTCATTTGCAACAACATGCATGGAACTGATAGACGTTATGCTAAGTGAAATAAACCAAGCACAGAAAGACAAACTTCGCATGTTCTCACTCATTTGTGGGAGGTAGTGAGTAGAATGATGGTTACCAGAGGCTGGGACGGGTAGAAAGGAGTGGGAAGCAAGTTGAGATGGTTAATGCGTACAAAAATATATTTTTGTACATATATTCATATGTACATACTCCAATACCAAATACCAAATACTCCCATAAGAGCTAGTATTTGATAATACAACAGGGTGACTACAGTCAACAATAATTTATTGTACATTTAAAAATAACTAAAATAGTATAATTGGATTGTTTGTAAAACAAAGAAAGCATAAATGTTCAGGGGATGGATACCCCATTTATCCTGATGTGTATGTCTGTATCAAAATATCTCATGAGCCCCCTAAATATTTATACCTACTATATACCCACAAAAATAAAAATAAAAAAATAGAGATGCTCATAACTCTTCTCAGACTTGGGGAATCAGAAACTGAGGGTGAGTAGCAAAAGGAAAAAACTAGCAACTAGATCTCTAGAGTTCAATTATCAAGGATAATATATATTTTTGACATTGAGTAAACCATTATGGATGGCATTATAGTAAAGTGTAAGCATAGATCCATCTTGAATAATGAAATTAAAATTTACTTATAGGAATTCTAATATTTTTATTTTTATGTATTTTTCCTCAATAAAGGCAGACCATGCTATTTAAAGAAATGATAGACTTTGACAACAGGAAGGTACACACCTGATTAGTTTTTCTAATTACGTGCTTATTACATATACATATATGTATCTCTAGTTCTATCCATTTATATACATAATTAGGAACATGTTTTTTCTAAAAATAGAATATTTAATGTAATGTTTAATTTTTCATTATTACACCTTAATAGGAAAAAATGGAATACTAAAATTTATCTTTAAATATATAGTTTCATGGTCAGTAGTATTAAGACAATACTGTTTATTTATTTAGGGCTCATAACCTTAGGATTTTTAACTTTCAGGAAATACCAGCCTAAAGTAAATTATTAATTCAAGGATGCTAGATAAAGACTCTTCATGAAAAAGAAACGCTATACCCTGCTGTGTTGCAGGCTCTCAAACTGTCCCTCAAAACGTTCCTAATACTGCTCACTGCACTAATTTTTTTTTCCTTTGTCGTCTCCCTTTCTATAGTCAGAAGCTATCTAGTCCCTCCCTCTTTAGTCTCCAGGGAAAAGGTGTTAGCTCATTTACTTGTCATTATTGAGCTTCTTTCTTTCCCACAAAAGCCAGTCTATTTATCATTCTTCTTTTTAGGCTTGGACAAAAAAGAGAAAACTTTATACTTTTTTTTAAGCAGAGGCACATTAATATTAAATCCCTTAAGCAGGAATTTCAAGGAGAATGTCTCAGAACAACATTTAAACCAACATCATAAATGCTTCCTCCTTTTAATAAAAGAAACTCTCTGAAATAATGCTGTCCTCAAGAGGGTCATCTGATAGTTTTGGTACTATCTTCTCATTTCTACTATCTTTCTACAATTGTTGTTGTGAAAAGTATTAGAGAAATAGATAGATGCTCTACACAAAATCTTCACAATATGGTCAACTTCCTTTCCCCCTCAAGCCCACCTTTCATGCATGCACACATCTATGCTTTGTTTTTAACTTCTTATATTCAATTTTTATTCTTGTTATTGAATGAAGCTCTGATTGGTTTACTATATGACAAATATTCTTTGCATTTTAAGAATCTCAGGTAGCTCTCTATCTTTTTTCACATTGGTTAGAGAGGCAGGGATCAAAGTACAAAACTGGGACAGTCACTGCTTATGTTTGTGCTTTATCTCATTAAGTGCTGATCACCAGGAAGGCAAACAGCCTGTCACGAAATTTGCCTTGCAAAGAATATAATAAAGAAATCTTATGAAAAGAGGCTGAACAGAAGGTATGTTTAATCTGTTGTAATGTTGGTTAGCCCCAGTTTCAGACCAAGAGTGATGATACTTGGAAAAAAAATTGGGAGTCTGCCTGCGGGCAACATTTACCCCGATGTAGAGATTGCTACAGAAACCTAACTGTGGGAAGTTTTCAACACATAAGTAAGGATTTATTAAAGGAATTAATATCTTTGAAGGCTCAGAAAGCAATCCTATTTTCCTACAAGATGGATGAAAGGCAGAGATTTCAAAACATTTGCTAGAAAACATCAATAGCCAATCCTGCTGATTTAATTTTTTCAATCCCTCAGGCATCAAAAGAAGTTGTGACTTGTCTACATTGCCTCGAAAGCAAAGCAATATTGTAAATTAAAAATGACTGGAGCTTAGCTGGCTGCATTTCATTTTTAATTAGTTGAATTTTCAAATATTTATCAACATTTCTTAAGCTCAGAAGCTAAAGAACTTCCCCTCACATTTTTTTTCTGAAGAAGGTTGGTGATATTCACTTACACGTCAAGGAAAAAGTCGTTAGATTTAGCTGGCTATCACAAATACTAGAAGAAATGGTATTTAGTCATCTCCATTTCTCTTCTTTTTTATTCTTGAGCAAGCAGAGACTTCCTATTCTTTTTAACCAGTTGGGAACTCACAAAACATAAACTCAGAGATTGATGGTAAAAATGAAAACAGATTCTGACAACATGTTACATCCCAATCACAAAAGTGTAACAAAGGCAAAAAATTTAATCCTCATTAGTGTAGTAGTGAGAAACAAAAAACCAAATTTTTTTTTTTTAAAGCAGCTGATTTTGCTTTAGGCATTTCGTCGAGGTGTGTGGTTAATTCATAAGCGGCAGGGGCAAGGTAGCCCCAGATTTTGGAATTGGTTTGCCTCTGAGAATAAAAATTAAAATGAAAAGAATAAAAATGTAATAGATGAGGCTAATCATCTATTCAAAAATATATATTTTATTGACTACTCTTTTATGTCAGGTACTATTTTAAGCACTTGGGATAAAGTGGTGAACCAGAAGTCAAGGTCCCTGACATCATGAAGCTTATATTCATTTATAGAAATATTTAGTCCTAACCAATACTCTGTGAATGGTAGAGTTCTAGGAGCATCTAAACTCTTTTCAAGGTAACAAGTATATTTTCAAGAAAATGTGTCTGTATTAGTATATCTAAATCTTTAACCTTGTCAATTATATTTAATCTTACCTGAAAAATGTGTTAAAAAAGGAGACTAGAAAAAGGAGAGGCCAAGAGCAGGAATTTCTCAGTGTGTCTTCAGCATGGCCCTGGGCAGAGGAAGCAACTTCCACTCCCCTTAGCAGCTTCCAATCCCCTTTGCAAGTCTATTCTCAACAGTGAAGATGGATACATCAGACAAGCTTGATGCCATTAGTAATGGTGATCCAACTAACTCTCACTGCCATGAATCCAAAGTGATCAAGCAATCTTTGGTTACAGTGTGGCTTCCCATATGGATTTTCCCACAGAGAGAGGATGTGTTCTTTACAGCCCCAAGGACCCCAGTCCTTTTAAAGCTATAGTTCTTAAATCAGTCAGCATTAAATTCTTAATTAATTAATTCTTAAATCGGTCAGCATTAAACTTAAATTCTTAATTAATTAATTCTTAAATCAGTCAGCATTAAACTTAAATCAGTCAGCACTCTAGTTTATATTTAAGTATCTCAGGGGCTTGATTATGAATCTGAACATTTTTGACTATTCTGACAAAACTGAATTTCTAGAATGATAAAGTTTTAGCTCAGACCCTCGAACAGTATTTCGCCAAGAAAAGTTAAAATTTATGGCATGAGAATCATCTAGGGAGCTTGTTAAACATACAGATTCCTGAGACTCATATTGTACTTATACTAAATCAGAATCTTTAAAGATGAGGCTCAAGATCTGCATTTTACCAAGGCTTCCAAATGATTCTAATGTACTTTAATAAAGCTGGAAAGTCACTGTCTGAGAAGCAAGGGATCGCATCTAATGAAGCTCTGTTTGGGCATTTGGCCAGTTTCCGACATATCATCTCCATCTTTATACATTGTAACAAAGTGTTTCAGCGAATTCCTGTCAAGGCTTGGTGTCTTTCACAATCCGGCCTCACTTTTCCAGTCTCATTTCTCACCTTTCCTCTCAATCACTTTATGCTTCAACACTCTGAATACACGATTTTCATGGCTCTAGGCCTCTACATTACTTGAGGGTTTTTCTTTTTGGGGGAGAAGAGGGGGTGGACGACAAATAGCATCCCAGTTCCTTGCCTGAGTTCTAAACCAACTGAAGGAGGCAGTTTGAGAACAAAATATCACTATTATTACCAACAATGCCTAGATTGGAGAATGTGGCTTATATATGGAAACTAAAAGCCTTCTTAATTCTGAAGCCCAGAATTAGACATACTTACCCATCCTGTCTCAGGAAGAACAGGATAACTACTGGCCTCATCTCTCATAAGCAACCAATTATTTCTAAGCTTATGTAAGGCCAAGAGCAGACCAGGTCTATCAGACAGAGGAGGGAGGAAGGAAGTGGCTGAGGCTGAGTCAAGCATACCAAGTTCCTGCTCCCTAACTCATTAGTTAAAATAAGCAATTCCTCTACAACTGGGAAGAAATGATGAGTGAAGGGATGGAAAGAGTCCAGGACCATTGCTCTAATGGATGTCCCTTGACAAGAAAGGAAACAACTGGAGTGGAGAGTAATGCACCCCCATGACAGCATGCCCTACTGGTGCTTGAGGTACCCTATTACTCTCCAATCCTTTCTCTTAGTTTGACTACCTTATTCCTACTCATCTTTCAAGATATAGCACAAATGTTCACTCCTCTGTGAAGCTTGAGGAACTGAGGGGAGTACTCCCACCTTAATGCTGTCATAGGACTTTAAATGACTTTTATTATGGTACTTTTCATGTAATACACTTAGCTATTTTCTTTCTCTTATGAGTGCAGGGATTGTGACTTATATGTCTTTATATTTCCATAGTAGGTGTCCGATGAATTTTTGCTGAATGACTGTGAAAAAGAAGGTACATTCAAATATTTTTAAAGCTTAGTATTTTTAAGCCTGATTATAGCACCAAGACCAACAAGAAGACTAGTATTTTCCTTTATAGGATTTTCTTTTCTGAAAAAATTGACTAACAAATCTGGTCAAGGCTGATATTGCCTATTTAAGCCCCATCATAGAAACCCAATTGGCATCATCTTATTAACATGGCATATATGACTGATGATCTGATCCTAAAACAGGCCTTCTTTCAGTTACTGTAGCTTTACCTACTCAGGATAAACTAGTAGGTAATAATCACTTAAAAAAATTCTCCAATGAAGTAGAAACTACTAATAGAGAAGTTATTTCAGGTAAAACTTGAAATTTCAAAGTTCAATTATAAATTTATATTATGATTAATGATTTGCATGCATGTTTTATAATGGGAATGTTTCTCTTTCTTTTCTTTCTTTCTTTTTTTGAGACGGAGTCTTGCTCTGTTGCCCAGGCTGGAGTGTAGTAGCAGGATCTCAGTTCACTGCAACCTCCGCCTCCTGGGTTCAGGCGATTCTCATGCTTCAGCTTCCCGAGTGGCTGGGATTACAGGCGCCCACTACCATGCCTGGCTAATTTTTGTATTTTTAGTAGAGATAGGGTTTTGCCATGTTGGCCAGGCTGGTCTCGAACACCTGACCTCAGGTGATCGACCCGCCTTGGCCTCCCAAATACTTTCTCTCTTTCTCTCCAAGTATATATGTTGTCTCTAATTGTGTAAAGAAAGGATAAAAGGCATTTTACTTTTAAATTTCAACACTACAGGCCAGGCATGGTGGCACATTCCTGTAATCCCAGCACTTTGGGAGGCTGAGGTGGAAGGATCACTTCAGGTCAGGAGTTCCAGGCCAGCCTGGGTAACAGAGGGAGATCCCATCTCTATAAAACATAGAAAAAATTAGCCTGGCATGGTGGTGCACGCTTATAGTCCTAGCTACTTGGAAGGCTGATGCAGGAAGATCACTTGAGCCCAGGAGTTAGAGGCTATAGTGAGCTATGATCATGCCACTGTACCCTAGCATGGGTGACAGAGTGAGACCTTGTCTCAAAAAAAAAAAAAAATTCAATACTATATGTCTTTATAGCAGGGATGATTTATAATTATGAAATGGAGATATAATTATGAAATGAAACATAAGATTTTCAGCTTTAATTGATAGCACCAATTTGTAGATCCTTGTAAATAACACAAAAAGTTATTTGTGTGGTACTCTTAATTTTAAGATGAACATTTGACGTTAGAGAATATATAACTGTCCCTGTGTAAAACTGGCTTGTTTTCAAACTTACCTTTTGTTTCAATTATTAGTTGTGGTAAATCTCCCAAATGATTTGTAAATAGCATGTATTAAGTGGTAAAATGCACTGAGCTAGGATCTGCTCAAGGCTAAATCTCTCCCTGTTCATTTCGAATAACACAAAACAAAAAACAAAACAAAACATACCAAGTAGAAAGACCAGGAGCGGTGGCTCATGTCTGTGATCCCAGCACTTTGGGAAGCCTAGGTGGGCGGATCCGTTGAGCTCAAGAGTTGAAGACCAGCCCAGTCAACAAGGTGAAACCCCATCTCTACCAAAACCAAAACAAAAACAAAAAACTCCACAAATATTAGCCAGACGTGGTGATGCACGCCTGCAGTCCCAGCTACTGGGGGGCTGAGATGGGAGGATCACCTGAACCCTGAGAGGTTGAGGCTGCAGTGAACCGTGATTGCACCACCACACTCCAGCCTGGGTGACAGAGTGAGACTGTGTCTCAAAAGAAAAAAAAAAAAAGAGAGAGAGAGGAAGATACAACTACTTAAAGAACATCCCAGCAAGAGATATATTTGACCTGTTCTGTTAAAGAGATCCAACGGATTTGGGAGTGGATAGGACAATCAAATAATTTTCAAAATCAGCCTTTAATGTCATTTTAATACATTTATTTCTATTGGTATAATCCCAGACGTTCTTTAATTCTGTTTCAAACAGGTGTCTGTTAGTGTACTTTCTTCCGTTTAGGACCTACCATAAACTTAAAAATTGAGCTGTTTTGTCAATCAGCATCTGTTAAACTCAGGGTCTATATTTCAGTAAATGTGCTTCTGTTTAACTATCTTTTTACGGTCATAAGAGAAATAAACATATAAAATAAATGCATGTCAATGCATAGCTGTGCAGGAGTACAGATGTTTTATTAATGAAAATGAATCCAGCTTTTTGTAAGTCATGGCAGCAATATAACATTTCATTGTTTGCTTCTGTGCTAGACAGTCCCTGCTGTTTCCACATAGAAATTCCTGTAATGCTTAATGGACATCTGGAAGAATTCAGCCAATTAATCGAATTCATGTAGGAACTAGGCTAATGGCTGTCTGAAAGGCAGATTACATTAAATCAAACTTGCAATATGAATGAAAGCACTTAATCATACATGCAACATTCATTAGATGCGACACAGCAAGTGTTTTGATTACTTTAATGAAAGATCAGGTAAAGTGCATCAGCTGAACAGATTGAAAAGACAGCATGCTTACAAATGTTTGATTATGCTGAATATCAACAGAAACAGTGCCAGTAATTTATAGCAAAACATATTTGTAAGTGTCTAGAGCTGGTGAACTCAGTGAAATTCAAAGCCCATGCTCAAAACAATAATTAATAGCCATATATGATAAAACTTTAATCGGATGTCAGGAAAAGAGACAGATTGCCAGAAGTTTAGTAATTTATAGTCACTGGGTGCCTTCATATTTTGAATGGCTTGAAATATCTTTGAACCTCAATTTCATTTACTTTGAGGTACACAGTTCTTGAGTCATAAGGTGTTATTATACTAAAAACACTGTACTAAAAGAGGAATTAAATTTGTATGTTGGGCTTTAAAACCTCATGCCAGGAATTAAAATGCTATTCTTAATAGTTGTTTCTGCCTATTTCATGAATATTTCCACTTTTTCCTTTTTAATTATCTCATCGATTTTTCCCTAATATTCTACAGAAAGAAAGGCTAAAAAGTACATTTTCTAGATAATAGTATTATAAGTCTTGTAATATATTATAGCAAATGCTATTTGCAGCTTTTTGGATAAAATAAAAAAGATACAGCAGTGGTCCCCAACTTTTTTGGCACAAGGGACTGGTTACATAGAAGACAATTTTTCCATGGACAGGGGTGGGGGTGGGAATGGTTTTGAGATGAAACTGTTCCACCTCAGATCATCAGGCATTAGATTCTCATAAGGAGCACCAACCTAGATCTCTCACAGGTGCAGTTCACAACAGGGTTCGTGTGCCTACGTGAATTTAATGCTGCTGCTGATCTGAAAGGAGACAGAGCTCAGGTGGTAATGCTCGCTTTCCTGCCACTCAATTCCTGCTATGTGGCCTGGGTCCATGGCCCTGGGGTTGGGGACCCCTAAGATAAAGGATATATGTATCCTTTTATATTTCATATATTAAATAATTATTTTATAATTAATAAAATTATGAAATGTATATTTTACATAATTTTCCATATATATATATATAAAATTTCCTTTCGGTTCTCTTTTTTTTTTTTCCCCAGAGATGGGGTTGGTCTCATTATGTTCCTTAGGCTGGTCTTGAATTCCTAACCTCAAGTGATCCTCCTGCCTCAGCCTCCTGAGTAGCTGGGATTACAGGTGCCAGCCATCACACCCAGCTTTCTTTCTTTTTTTCTTTTTTTTGAGATGCAGTCTTACTCTGTTGTCCAGGGACCGGTAGTTGGTAAAGAAGGTGGTGGAGCAAGTGGAGAGCACAGTGGCACAGCCTCTGCTCACTGCAGCCTCCACCTCCCAGGTTCAAGTGATCCTTCTGCCTCAGCCTCCCCAGTAGCTGGGACTACAGGCGTGCACCATCACACCCGGGCTAATTTTTATATTTTTAGTAGAGACAGGGTTTCACCATGTTGGCCAGGCAGGTCTTGAACTCCTGACTTCAAGTGATCCACCTGCCTCAGCTTCCCGAAGTGTTGGGATTACAGGTGTGAGCCACCATGCCTGGACACCCAGCTTTCTGTAAGTACTTTTAATACTAGACAGGACTGACTTTAAAGGTGGTGGAAACCACTTTTTTTTGGGTTTAACAGAAGGACTTTTTTTTAACCTCTGAACTTTTTATTGGCTTCCTGTTCCCCAAAGGGTATCCTGCTTCTGCTGGCTCAGTGTCTCAGAACTTCTGTGTCATTGGTCTCAGACACTACTTTGCCATCCACTATCCTGCAGGTGGTGGTCTTGTGGATGGTTTGCATGGAGTTGCTGCTGTCCAGGGCATCATCAAGATTGAAGTCCTCCCTGTCTTCCAGCAGGCGGTGGTAGGTGGTGATCTCAGCCTCCAGCTTAGCTTTGATGTTCAGCAGGGCCTCATACTTCTGGGCCTGGTGCTGCCCCTCTGCCCGTGTGTGCCAGCAAGATCCCATTGAGCTGCTCCATCTACATGGGTAACGTGTCTCTACCTCTCTCAGGCTGTTCTGCAAGCTGAGCTTCAGATTTCTCATTGGGTCCAGGTCGATCTCCAAGGACTGGACTGTATGTCTCAGCTCCGTGAGTGTATTCTCAGCAGCTCCAATCTCGGCGAACTGCGTGGTGACCACTGTGGTGCTCTTTTCAAACTGCTGGGACCAGTAGTCTAGCTCCCCTCAGTTCTTTTGAGCCAGCTTGTCATATTGGGCCCAGGTGTCTGCCATGATCTTGCTGAGGTCCTGAGATTTAGGCGCATCTACCTCCCCAGTCAACCCAGAGCTGGCAATCTGGGCTTGTAGGCCTTTTACTTCCTCTTTGTGGTTCTTCATGAAGAGCAGCTTCTCCTTGAGAACCTCCATCTCTGTCTCCAGCTGCAGCTGAGTGACATTGGTGTCATCAGTGATCTTGTGGAGCCCATGGATGTCGCTCTCCACAGACTGGCGCATGACCATTCTGTCTCATAGTTGACTCTAAAGTCATCAGCAGCAAGATGGGCACTGTCAATCTGCAGAACGATGCAGGCATGGCTCACAGTATTTGCAAAGATCTGAGCCCTCAGATCCTTGATGTTCTTGAAGTAATGCCCCCAATCTCTGACCTGGGGTCCCTTCTTCTGCAGGTGCTCCTGCATTTTGCTCTCCAGCTTCCATTTCTTGGTCTCCAGACTCCTCACTCTGTCCAGGCAGTAGGCCAGGGAGTCGTTCAGGCCTTGCATGGTCTCCTTCTCATTCTGGATGCCCTCCACTCCTGCCAGACCCCTGGCCATCCCCACAGCCAGGCCCCCAGACCCCAAGTTGCCCCAGAAACTGGTGGAGTGGGACATGGAGATCTGGGAGCCCAAGCCCCCAGCACCTGCATAGATGTTGGCCATGCTGCTGACTGGCAGGGCGCCATAGCTTGGCGGCTTGATAGAGCCAAGGGACTGGTAGTTAGTAGAGAACATGGTGGACCAAGTGGTGAAGCTCATGCTATCCAGGGAGGAAAGCGAGAGGGCAGGACTCAGGTTTTGCTGAGGTCCAGAAGGACTGGTTTTTATCTCTCTAGAGTGATATAAGTGTGATTCTGAAAACAGGGAAATGGACATAGGATCTTTCAAGTCCTTTTTAGATATTTTCTTCAACTCAAGCCAATGAATATGCATTAAGCACTCAACTGTTTTAGGTGCTATGGGTTATATCAAGATGTGAGATAGATCGTTGTGGCTATAAGGAGTTTATAATACTCTATTCACCAAAACAACACAAAGAAAAATTAAAGCAACAGCAAAAACAAACAAGAGAACAACACACCGTAGAATATATTCAAGAAGTAGAATGTGAAGTGCAGATTTATAAATTTTGTAGAAAATTAAAGAAGAGCTAAAATAATGAGGAAGTTTGCATTTGAGCTGCTTAATTTACTTGATAAGAGATATAATTTCAAAGAATTAAAATTTCATTATTCTAGAATTGTCTTAGTCTGTTTGGCTGCTATAACAAAATGCCATGCACCGGGTAGCTTTCAAAAAACAGAATTCTTTTTTGTCACACTTCTGGAAGCTGGGAAATCCAAGATCGACTCCAGTAGACTCAGTATCCACTGAGGCCCCACTTTCTGGTTCACAGATGGAGATGGTGTCTTTTAGCTGTATCCTCACAAGATGGAAGGGATAAATGAGTTCCCTTAGGCCTATTTTATAAGGGTACTAATCCCATTAAAAGGCTCCACCCTCATGACCTAATCACGTCCTAAAAGGCCTTACCTCCTAATACCATCACCTGAGGGGTAAACATTCAGATAGAAAAATCTATGAATACTGTTTTGTTTTCTTACAGAGATTTAAAACATTGAGTGTTTCTCCAAGCACTTTTCAAACATCAAATTGTACAACATATTTTTAGGTTAAATGAGTTGACTGTTTTTACAACAGGCTAGAAATTCTTTCTCTTAATTTCCTCTCATTATACACACATTCACAGAAAGGGAAAGAAGAACTCACTGGCTCAGAATATGACCATTGTTTATAGTTTACCTACCAAATAATTCTTTTTCTACCTATGACCTCTTGAACCCTAGTAACATACTAAGAATATAACTAAAAGGAAAGCCTCATGCAATGCTACTTAAGCCTTCCTAAAACATTTAGCTCAGTTACTTCAAAATGTCCACATTGTTAGTTACTTAAACTATATAATCACACATCATATAACATATTTTTAGTCAATGGACCACATATACAATGGTGATCTCATAAGCTTATAATACCATATTTTTACCGTACCCTTTCTATGTTTAGATTGCCTACAGTATTCAGTACAGTAACATGCTGTCCAGGTTTGTAGACTAGGGACAATAAGGTATACTATATAGTCTAGATGTGTAATAGGCTATACCATCTAAGTTTGTGCACAAAGATGAAATTGCCTAACAATGCATTTTTCAGAATGTATGCACTTCGTTAAGTGATACATGACTGTAAAGTAAAAAACAGCAGCCCAGCGTGGTGGCTCACACTTGTAATCCCAGCACTTTGGGAGGCTGAGGCAGGAGGATCAAGACCACCCTGGGCAACATAGTGAGACCTCATCACTACAAAAAATAAATAAAATTAGCTAGGTGCAGTGGTCTACACCTGTAGTCCTAGCTACTCAGATGGCTGAGGTGGGATGATCGCTTGAGCTCAGAAGTTTGAGGCTGCAGTGAGCTATGATAATGCCACGGGACTCCAGCCTGGGCAACAGAGCAAGACCCTGCCTCTAACACTAACAGAAAAACAAAAGAAATGGCATTGTTGTTCTGAACTCTCTGCTCTGTCCCATTTATTTGTCCCATCTCTTATTATAAATGGTTAAATAATCTCAGAATTTCAAGTTGTTAATGTTCTGTTTGGAAATGTAATAATTATTTGTATTAGCTCAAGTAGGTAGAAATAAACTAAAAGACTTTATATTTCTCTCCACTGGCAAACCCTCACCTATTTCTTTGTCTGATTGATCAAGAACTGTCTCTTCAAATATGTTTTTAATCTCTTTTGGAGCATAAAGTTTGACGTCATTCACCATGGAGAAACCTCCTATAATGGGATTTCACTAATAATAATTCCTATATGTCAGTTTATTAGTCTTCCTATCTATCCAGTTATCTATTTGTCTGTATCTTTAATTTTTCTAAGATGTCTTCTATGAATTTTTTCCTCAAGTAGTTTACTGGGAAAAAGTAGCTGTATGTATCTACTCCCGTTTGGATTTGTGATTATCTTTTCCAGAAATTTGTGATCATATGTAAGATGCCTGAAAGACTTTTTCCATCTAAAATATAGTCTTTTATATTCCTCCAATTATTATTATTATTTTTTGAGATGGAGTCTCGCTGTGTCGCCCAGGCTGGAGTGCAGTGGCGCAATCTCGGCTCACTGCAAGCTCCGCCTTCCGGGTTCACGCCACTCTGCCTCAGCCTCCCGAGTAGCTGGGACTACAGGCGCCCGCCACCACGCCCGGCTAATTTTTTGTATTTTTAGTAGAGACGGGGTTTCACCGTGTTAACCAGGATGGTCTCAATCTCCTGACCTCATGATCTGCCCGCCTTGGCTTCCCAAAGTGCTGGGACTACAGGTGTGAGCCACCGCGCCCGGCCCAATTTTTTTTTCAAAAAGAGAATCTCAGGGTGAAGAGGCAGAGTTACTATGCATCCTTTCATCTGTGTCTAAGGACTCCCCATTTTTCCAGATTTCTGAAATAAAACATTACTCCAGTGTAGAGTGTATCATTTAGTACTAATTCCTACATAGAACCTACAGGAATAAGGTGGGGATTTTGTAATCAGATCAAATGTTTGCCTCATTGCACTCTTTCTTATTTAAACTGGCTAGATAATCCAAGGACTTGTGATATCTAGAGATCCTCTTTCTCAAAGAGCATCTCTATGACAAAAGTGGAAGGCATTTTATTTCAAACTCAGTGATCTTATTATTCTTGATTTATAATTCTTTGACCAAAGGTTTCACCCTCAAGAGTGAGATAGGATAGAGAAAGTTGTCATTTCCTGCCTAGGCAATGAAAAGACTCCTTGTTGTTCAATATATGAGGCTTTCCCTTGGGCTATTTTCAGTAGTGTTTCATCTTTATTTTGGTTAACGTAACTCTTCAGTTGCTCATTTTCAAAAATTTCCATGATGTGTTTTCTAATAATAATAATACCTTTTATTGAGGTATTATCTACATTGGGCCAGGCATGTGTAGTATTATTTACAGTAAATGATCTTCACAACTTTCCAAGGAGAGTTTTTCTTTAAGGATGAGGATGTAGAGGTTCAGAAAGGTTAGGTAAACCACTCCATGTAACACAGCTAGCAAGTTGCCCAGCCAGCTGGATCTGTCTAGCTTTAAGGCCTCTAGCTAACTAATTTACTCAACATCATCCTTTTATTGTATACTTTGTGTATTCCTTTATTTAATTTGAATTGTGTGCTTTCATTATGTACTTTGATGCTTCTAAGAGTACCTTTCTGAAGAAATAGTTGTATAATAGCAAAGGGGCTCATATCTTTAAATCTTACAATGGAATCCTCTATTAGCGCTCCAGAGAGAAGGGTTCAGTCAAGATTTGGCTTGCAGATAATAAAAATGATCCAGATTAACTTCTAGGGCCTTGTCAGGCAATTCTCAATATTGAAATTACTTTAAATTTGGAAATAATGGGCAGCAGCATATTTAGGCTCAGTTCAATTTGGCTCCAATGATTTCTGCAGTACAGCTATCTTAGAAAGTATATTTAGTTTTATTTAATTACTTTGAATCATGTATTCAATACTTACTATAACTAAAACATTTTGTTGTCCTAGTGTGGTGGCTCACACCTGTAATTCCAGCACTTTGGGAGGCCAAGGCAGGGGGATCATAAGATCAGGAGTTCAAGACCAGCCTGGCCAAGATAGTGAAAACCCATCTCTACTAAAAATACAAAAATTAGCCAAGTGTGGTGGTGGATGCCTGTAATCCTAGCTACTATGGAGGCTGAGGCAGGGAAAATTGCTTGAACCCGGGAGGTGGAGCTTGCAGTGAGCCGAGATGGCAACACTGCACTCCAGCCTGGGTTACAGAACGAGACTCCAACTAAAAAAAAAACAAAAAACAAATAACAAAACCCCCAAAAACCAACAACATTGTGCTAGGTACTTTGTGGATAGACCCAGTCACTTCTCTCAAGGGTGTTCACAATTTAATGAGAGAGAATATATTCATTAATACAAATATGTAACTGGGGGACAGAGAACATAAATATAAGGTCACAGAGTGGCATATGGTGGCAATAGTGTTCAGTAATGCCCTATGAAGTCTTAAATTATGAATTAGTATTTGGGAGGCTCCTTGGCTGTAAGATTAGACTATGTCCAGGTGTGTTACCTATAAAACAGATCATTCATGACTCAGTTCATGGAAGCAATGATTCTATGGTAGTGAAACCAAAAGGGGCTCACAAAGAAATAAAAATAGAAGAAGTTGAAGGAAATAAAACTAAATTTCAACTTTCAATAGCATAATATTTCTCCTTAACATCCAAACGATAGCAACAAAACAAAAAAGAAAATGGCCAATTTGAAAGGAACTGGAAGAATAGATGACAATACAGTTTTTATTTCCATTAACCCTCACATCTAAGGTTTCTAAAGTACTTTACAGAAGATTATACCTCACAATATCTTGATGAGTGAGGCAAGTGTTATTATCTCCATATAAAGGTGGGAAAAAGAAGGCACAGAGGTTTGCTTCTTTTATGCCAAGTGAGGCCAAATATTTTGTGGAGTATTTGAAATGAAACTTGAAAATAGAGAAGCAAAGAGAGAAGGCTGGAAGAATTTGTAATTGAGGGGCATAATTTCACACCACATAAGTGTCTAGAGAACGTTAATATAGCGAATCTTCATTTCCAGTGAAGTGGAATGAAAGCCTTGAATTGCTTCAATGCACCATGTCGTGCAAATAGCAATTTCAGTTTCAGAAAATCCTCCACTCATGGTAAAGTTGTTCAGTGAAAATGGTCATGATGAGGCTTTCTCACATAATTGTCCAATATATGTTCGTAGTTGTACCCTACACACACACACACACACACACACACACACACACCCTTACTTGAAATATTAAATATTTATGGGCATTGTGTAGACTCTTGAAATACACTAATGGATATCTAATATGTTTTACGTCCACTATGTTACTCATTCACAGATTTCTTTTTCTTCCCCCAACTTGCCTTTTTATCTACTGCTTTTCCGTGTTCTCTTTTGTTGTCACTTTCTTTAGGGGGTTCTGCCCAGGGAAGATAGATATAATAGCTTATAAGAATAAATATTGTAGTCCTAGTTTCTTATTTACTTATTTAGACAGGGTCTTGCTCCCATCACCCAGGCCGGAGTGCAGTGGCCTGATCACAACTCACTGCAGCTTGGACTTCCGCAGCTCAGGTGATTTTCCCACCTCAGCCTCCTGAGTAGCTTGGACCACAGGCATGTGCCACCATGCCCAGATAATTTTTTGCACTTTCAGTAGAGATGGGGTTTCACCACGTTGCCCAGGCGGCTGGTCTCAAACTCCTGGCCTCAAGCGATCTGCCTGCCTTGGCCTCCCAAAGTGCTGGGATTACAGGCGTGAGCCACCGCACCCGGCCCTAGTTTTTTATTTATTAAAAATCCTATTAATACATATTGATTTCCTTTAAGTAAAGACTTTAATTCCCAGTGAAAAACGTGGTGCTTATAGTTATTTGTTCTTTCACATATATCTATTTTTTTTCAAGATGGGGTCTCACTCTGTCACCCAGGCTAGAGTGCAGTGGCACGATCATAGCTCACTGCAGCCTCAATTTCCTGGGCTCAAGCTATCCTTCTGCCTCAGCCTCAGGAGTAGCTGGGACTACAGGAGCATACCACCTTCCCAGGTTTTTTTTTTTTTTTTTTTTTTTTTTTTTTTTTTGAGGCAGGGTCTCACTTTGTCACCCAGGCTGGAGTGCAGTAGTACCATGATCACAACTTACTCCAGTCTCAACCTCGCAGGCTCAAGAGATCCTCGTGCCTCAGCCTCCTGAGTAGCTGGGATCACAGACGTGCACCACCATGCCTGGCTTATTTTCATTATAATTATTTGTAGAGACGAGGTCTCCCTATTTTACCCAGGCTGTTTTTGCTGTTGTTGTTTAGCAGAGATGAGGTCTCACTATGTTGCCTGGGCTTGTTCTTATATTTTTTCAATCAAGTGGTTGAAGTTGAAACCTTTAAAAAGTTAGGTTGTCTATCAATAAGCTGCTGACCAAACTAGGAAAAACCTATTGATTTTGACAGCAAGTTAGGACTTTTTAAGCAGTAGAAATGAATTGAATGTTAATGAATATACCATGTGGCTTTTGTCTTAATTAACTAGCACTCTAATTCTTGATCCATAAAAGATTTGAGATAACAATGCTGCTTTAATTGTTAAACAAGTTTCAAAGGTTAATCACAATTAACCTTTTCAGGGAGCAAATCAGTTTCTTTATTCATAATAGATTTTATAAGAATAATAGAAATTATCAAAGCTGCATACATAAGTTTCAACTATATTTTGAAGTTACAATGTACTATTTAAGGAATTATGTTTAAATATAGTGGTAAGTCTTTCTTGACTGGTTTTGGGGAAAATTAAGTCCTGGTACTTTTAGGAATCCATTGTGTATAACAAACGAACTTCTCTCCTGTGTATCTAGAATGGTACTAGTTATGTGCCATCCTTGGGAGAAGTGAGAAAATAGTCGAGTAATTTTCTGTGTACTGTAGTTCAGATGAGAAATCTTGGTTTAGAATGTTAAAGTTTTAAGGTTCTCTTGGTTTAGCCTTCTTGGTTTTCTACTGTCTCTTAACAACCTCCTCTACCTAGCAAAACATCAACAACAAATAAGCTTTTGGGGAAATCTGCTTATTGTAAAGCATAACACCCTTTACATATGAGCACCACAGATACAATGTAGCAAGGCAGGAAAAGGTTTTATTACTGACAGGCAACTCTGTTAGACAATAACAACCAGGCTAATATTCTAATTACCCCATGTGAGGTCCCCAGAGAAATATAAAGGAAGTAAAGGAAATGTAGCCGAGATTTTCAATCTTGCTCTCTCACAATAATACTGTCCTCTTTAATAATCATTTCCAACACACCCCCGCCAAAATACTGTACTTAATGTCTTCCACTAAATTAGCATGGTTGATATTTAAGCAGAAAAAATAAAAGAACAAGAAATATGTTACAATTTATTCTATGAGCTATCACATCCTTAATTAAAAAAAAGAATTTACCAACAAAAACAGTTAAGATTAGAGGATACAATGATTTAATGTTATAGATAATTTCCTCTAGTCTGCTCATGTTTCTCCTGGGTTTTGATTCATTCATTACTGGATAGAGAAACTAACTATTAGTAAAGGAGATACTTGTAGTGAGTAAATAATGACAGTCTTTTTGAAGTTATTCTATTTATGCTGCCTTGTAGTATCCTCTCTCAAGTTACTGTTTCGTGAACTATGTGCATTTGGTGCTACAAATGCTGATCAAAATGGCTCCCAAGCAAAAAATTTACACATACATTCTCCCAGTGGGCAAATTATTCCCTGGGTATTATAACTGAGTGCTAAATCTGGGTTGGTTTGGTTGTTTTAAACATTTATAACAAAAGTTGAACATCGGGGAAACTGTATATGTCAGTTTAGGCTGAGCCTGGTTGAAATTAAAACATAGGAATATCATCAAGGTTATAGTGAGCTGTGATCATGCTACTGCACTCCATCCTGGGCGACAGAGCAAGACCCTATCTCTTAAAAAATGGAAAAAAAAAAAAGATACAGGAATACCAAAGGGAAGTAGGTTGTTCATCTCTCCTGGAAATAATGCTTTGTAAATCCATTAAATTTGTTAGCTAGTTAGTTAGCCTAGGGCCTTTTTGATTTTCCCAAAGTTAACATACAGTTTAAGGCAAATGTTACTTATGGAAATAAGCCACAGACTACAGAAGCCCTCATTTAAATGTAAAAGAAATAGCATCAACAAATTTACCCATTTTGTGTAATGATACGGTAAGCAATGAATAGAGTTTTTGTTCATTTACCTTGAAATACAGAACAACTATCATTTTTCTTGGATGAAGCACAATGATCATTCTGGTGTAGTATAATATATAACAATTTTTCTAATGAAATAATTTCACATCCAGTGTATCTCATTATTAATTTCTGATATAATACTCAATTTTAACTAAATCTAACTATGTAGCATGGAATCCAGTGTTAATGTGTCCTATAAGTACATATGAAAGAAATATTCTTTGTTTTGACCTACATTTCCTATTGATGTAACAAAACACTACTTATGACACCCAGTATAATGATTTAGGTAATAATGTCACCAGTTAAAACTATGACATTGATATAATACATAGTTTCAGTTAGTTATCAGATACAAATCTTCAGGAAACTAGGCTTTATTGGTTCAGATACTTGCCTGCTTGCTTCACAGAACACTTTGTTAAGTGAAAGGAAAAATAATGTCTCCATTTGAAAAACAGAGGGAGTTTGGGGCTGGCAGAATGCAATTGCCCAAGTTAGAGGGAACCAAATTGATCTGAAATCATTTAGATAACAATGTGATGGGCAGAGGACAGCATTTGTTTATGAAGACAAATCATGCCAGGCAAATCTGATTTATTTGGTCTTATAAAATTACTCAACAAGTTTGTGGATAAAGAAAACTCCATGGACAAACAATATATCTAAATGTTTGTAAAAGCCTTTGATGTGGGTCTGCGTGAGATTAAGATAATTGAAATGCTGGGAAGATATTGCCTGGATAACAATGCAATGGTGTGGTTATCAGATTTAAAACAGAATAATCATAAAAATAGATCATAATATTTAACTGATATATTTGGCAGAAGACTATAAAAGAGCTAGTATCTTTATAGGTCAATATGGAAAGCAAGTATGAAAATGACTTAGTCCAAAAAATTAGCTTATTCTTTCTTCAGGAGGTACACATATCATAAGCAAAAATTATTTCAAAATGTTTTACTACTTGTCCAAAATGAACTATTACTTTATTTTGGCCTTTACTGATATTAATAAAATTTGGAATCTATGATGTCTGCTAAAAGCATTAAAATAGATAAGTTTGATAAATGTGTAAAGCATAGCAAAATTCAATGAAAAGCTTACATAGGTTTGTGAATAAATTCCTTTGTAGATTTTTAAGAACTGAGAGATAATTTAAAAGAAAATAGCTAGAGTAGTAGTAATAGTTTTGGGAGAGAGAGCAACTAATTATAAGTAAAAATTAAGAAAAGAGAATTTGGAAGGAAAAAGGAATACAGTTTGATGCATTTAAAAGTCTTACTGGCTAGGCACAGTGGCTCACGTCTGTGATCCCAGCACTTTGGGAGGTGGGAGGATCGCTTGAGCCTAGGAGTTTGAGACCAGCCTGGGCAAGATAGGGAGACCCCATCTTTATAAAAAAAAAAATTTAAAAATTAGCCAGGTGTGGTGGCTCGCCCCTGTGGTCCCAGCTACTGGGGAGGCTAAGGTGGAAGGATCACTTGAGCCTGAGAAGTCAAGGCTTCATTGAGCCATGATTGTGCCACTACACTCCAGCCTGGGTGACAGGGTAAGACTCTTTCTCAATCAATCAGTCAGTCAGTCAGTCAGTCAATTGTCAAATGGGAAAAATACTTTATGTATCCACAGGGGTTATGTTAAAATATTTAACAATATTATGAAATGGTTACTATCCAATCAGAACTGATAATGGCCATAGAGCTGGAGCAGGGCCCTAGAGCCCCATTGGTATATTGGGCGTTAACTCTTTAGCTGATGGATAATGGGGAGGTGGGTAGTGAAGAGGCTACAATAACTGACCAGAGTCAAGGGGAAGAGCATTTGGAAAGGTAGTGGTTATTTGCTAATGTTATGGAAGTATTTTAATATTTTAATAACTGAAATGGTTTTTTCTGGTGGAACCAGCTATATAATAAACAAAGGACTCTGAGAAAAATAAACAGAAAATTTGAATAGGTTAAATTACAAAGAGTAAAATTACAATTTCAATAAATAGATTATAAGATGTTAAACTTCATTAATAATAAAATACAAGTTTATTTTCGCAAAACAACACTTTTATTTATTTATTTTTTTGAGATGAGTCTCACTCTGTCACCCAGGCTGGAGTGCAGTGGCGCGACCTCGGCTCACTACAACCTCCTCCTCCCGGTTTCAAGCAATTCTCCTGCTTCAGCCTCCCGAGTAGCCGGGACTACAGGCGAGCGCCACCATGCCCAGCTAATTTTTGTAGTTTTTGTAGAGACTGGTTTCACCATGTTGGCCAGGCTGGTCTTGAACTCCTGACCTCGAGTGATCTGCCTGCCTTGGCCTCCCAAAGTACTGGGATTACAGGCGTGAGCCACCGTGACCGGCTACACTTTTTACTTATCTTACTGGCAATATTTTTTCTCATGTTTGACAGAACATAGTTGAGAGAACAGGAAAAGTGGCACTCCTATGCCTGCTGACAGAAGTATAAATAGGCACAATCATTGTGAAGGATAGCTTTGTAATAATTACCAAAAACTTTTAAAATGTTGTTCTGATTTAATGGTTCTGGTAATGTTAGGCTAAATTAAGCAGATAAATCCTCCTAGTGAAAATAACTAACAGAGCTGGATTTTAAAAATATTCTTAAAGCATAAAAGAGTATGAAACACAGTAAGGAATTACTAAAGGTGAAGGAAAAATGGGAACCCATATGTGGAGACTGTTCTGCCCTGAGGAAATTTTCTGACTCATGACAATTAGAATCTTCATTCTGGTAGACTTGCAGGGCAAGGGAGACAGAAAGAAAAACCCAGGATGTGTATAAGATAGAAAATCTAATAGAAGATCCTCCCCAACAAGATACTGGGACTCCAAAGCCCTTGAGAATTTACTGCTTGTATTCAAATTGCCTGGGTCAGTGAATTTTAAGCCTTGAACTTGGGTTAAAGTAATTCTAAATTGGTAGTGCCAGAAGCAAATATAAATCCTCTTTGAAGCAAGACACCTTTATTATAGGCCTAAAATCATTTCTAGAAATAATTCTTCAAATGTAATGTTCAGCACCTAATAAAAAAATAACAGATACATAAGGAAACTAGATTAAACGGGCAAGTATCAGTAGAGACAACAGACAATAAAAACAGACTCACAAATAACTCAAATATTGAATTTATCAGACTCAGACTATAAAATAAGACTACAAAACAATTATGAAGAGTATGTTTAAAGACAAAAGACCAACTTGATGCTGTCTACAGAGAACAGAAAACCACAAAGAGTAACGCAGCAGGTTTGACTTTGAAAAAAGAATCATATAGAATTTTATTGTGATTTTAAATATATTTTTATTTTATAAATAAAAATAAATTTTATAGCTAATTTTTAAAATACAAATTTAAAATCCAGGGCCAGGTGCCGTGGCTCATGCCTGTAATCCCAGCACTTTGGGAGGCCAAGGCAGGCAGATCACGAGGTCAGGAGATCGAGATCATCCTGGTCAACATGGTGAAACCCCGTCTCTACTAAAAATACACAAATTAGCTGGGTATGGTGGTGCACACCTGTAATCCCAGTTACTCGGGAGGCTGAGGCAGGAGAATCGCTTGAACCTAGGAGGTGGAGATTGCGGTGAGCCAAGATTGCACCACTGCACTCCAGCCTGGCGACAAAGCGAGACTCCGTCTCAAACAAATAAATAAATAAATAAATAATAAAATCCAACAGATTTTAAGTGTATACTACATTAGACATACTTCAAGATTTAGTAAACCTGAAGAACATCAGAAGAAATATTCCAGAGGCAAGAAAAGAAAAGAAAAAAATATATATAAGAAGGAAAAAGACACAGAAGGTACAGTGACAATGTCTAACATAGGTTTGGCCAGGGTTCTAGAAGGAGAAAAAAAGATAAGACAAAATAGAAGCAATTATCTGAAAAGTTAACTGCTGAGGATTTTTCAAACTGACATTACTTCAAAGCACTGATTTTTTTTTTTTTTTTTTTGAGATGGAGTCTCGCTCTGTTGCCCAGGCTGGAGTGCAGTGGCGCGATCTTGGCTCACTGCAAGCTCCGCCTCCCAGGTTCACGCCATTCTCCTGCCTCAACCTCCCGAGTAGCTGGGACTAGAGGCACCTGCCACCACGCTCAGCTAATTTTTTGTATTTTTAGTAGAGACGGGGTTTCATCGTGTTAGCCAGGATGGTCTCGATCTCATGACCTCATGATCTGCCTGCCTTGGCCTCCCAAATTGCTGGGATTACAGGCGTGAGCCACCACGCCCGGCCCAAAGCACTGATTTTAACAAGTCTTACAAACTGAAAGAATAATAAATGAAAAGAAATTCATACCTAAGTGTACTAAAGTGAAACTTCTTAAGACTGAAGACTAAAAACAAATATTAAAATAACCTAGGCCAGGCGTGGTGGCTCACGCCTGTAATCCTAGCACTTTGGGAGGCTGAGGCAGGCAGATCACCTGAGGTTAGGAGTTCAAGACCAGCCGGGCCAACACAGCAAAACCTTGTCTCTACTAAAAATACAAAAATTAGCTGGTCATGGGTGCCTGTAATCCCAGCTACTCAGGAGGCTGAGGCATGACAATCACTTGAACCCAGGAGGCGCAGGTTGCAGTGAGCTGAGATGCCCCTGCACTCCAGCCTGGGCGACAAGAGCAAAACTCCATTTCAAAAAAAAGAAAACAAAAAACAAAAAAAAAAGAATCCAGAGAAAAGAAAATTACTTTCAAAAGAGTCCTAATATACTAACAGCTGACTTTCCACTAGTAAAAATGGGAAAGAAGAGACAGTGGAATATTATTTTCAATGTGCTGAAACAAAACAGTTACCATAAAATAATGACATTTGAGATATACTAGAGGAGACATATTTTGCCACTATCAAATCTACAATGAAGGAAATTTTAAAGCATGTATTTCAGGTAGGAGGAGAATGATCTCACATGAAAAGTCTTAGATACAAGGAATTAAGAGCAAAGAAAATGGAAAATGTTTAAGTAAATCCAGTGTTTAAGTGTATAAAACAATAATAATAGTCTTGTGGACTTTCAAAAATACAAAATTAAAATACACAACAATAGCATACAAATCAGGAAAGAATATATGGAGTTCAAGTGTTCTGACTTCCTTATATTATTAAATTTTGACAAATTAAAAATGTGTAATATAATTTTAAAAGTAATCAATAAAATAATACAAAGAATATAATTTTAAACTGGTAAAGAGGAGGATTTGATACATAAAAATCAGATATCCATCTAAAAGAGGACAAAAAGGAGAGAAGAAGAAATGTAATAGATCAGACAAATGAAAGCACTTTGGAAGATGGCATATTTAATTCTAAATATAGTAGCAAGAAATGTAAAAGGACTAAATGGTTCAGTTAAAAGCTAAAGATTGACTGTTAAAAAAAATCCAACAGCTAATAGGAGACACATTTGAAACATAATAATAAAGAAAGGTTGAAATTAAAAGGAAAATACATACCTTGTAAACACCAACGAAAAGAAAGCTGATATGTCTAGAGGAAAACATCAGACAAAACACTTTAAGGCAGAAAGCATTAGTACAGATAAAGAGGGATACTTTATACTTATGAGAGGTTTCAATTAACCAAACGGATATTGTTTTTCATTCATATGAATCTTAAGACTATGAGAAAGTCTCAAGATTTTATATAGCAAAAGTTGAGAGACTATAAAGAGAAATAACATAAATTACCATATATATGTGGAGGGGTGGGCATAATATAAAACTTGGTATGTACAACTGCAAAATATACATTCTTTTCAAGCATGTGAATGGAATCTTAAATATAAATATATAGATATAGATAAAAGTTGACATGGCTTTTTCCCCGTCCAGCCAGGTAGCAATTTTCATTATTCCCAAGTGTTTATTTGGAACACATATAACACATTATTTGTGTACATAAAAGCAGGTTAGATAGGCTCTACCCTTATTACAAGCAATGCAAACACACCAATGTTGAGCACTTGGTAAGAGCCAGCTCTGTAGAGGATACTAGTTTATCTCCTTTAATTTAACTCTCATCCTATTATGTCGGTATTATTATGCCTAATGTGGGGAAAAGAACTAAGACACAGAGAGATTGAGCAAAAATTTTAAGATCAGCCCCCACTTTTTTTTTTTTTTTTTTTGAGATGAAGTCTCACTCTGTTGCCTAGGCTGGAGTGCAGTGGAGTGATCTCGACTCACTGCAACCTCCGCCTCCTGAGTTCAAGTGATTCTCCTGCCTCAGCCTCCTGGGTAGCTGGGATTACAGGCAAGTGCCACCAGGCCTGGGTAATTTTTGTATTTTTTGTAGAGATGGGGTTTCACCATGTTGGCCAGGCTGGTCTCGAACTCCTGACCTCAGGTGATCTGCCCACCTCGGCCTCCCAAAGCACTGGGATTACAGGCATAAGCCACCGCGCCCAGCCGAAGATCACCTCTTTAGTAAATGACAGTGCTAGGATTCGAATCTACTCTTTATTAGCAATGAGCCAGCTCCAGAAAATACTTATTCGTTTAAGGCTGGAAGTAGGGAGGTAAGCATTCCTATCGGAGGATCTCTAATAATATTAGGAAGCTATCTTTGTACAACATTGACAAACGTTTAAGTGTCTGCAATATAGTAGAATTACATATTGAGCCAAAGAAGTGGCTAAAATAGTTTGATGAGAGAGCTGTCTTAGAAGACACAGTTAGTGCTAGTGATTTGGAATGTGAGAATGGCTGAGAGTAAAGAACTATCATGTACCCAGCATAAAGAAATTAAAAAGCCTCTTCTATTTGACATCTTATGCTATTGAAAATCCTTTCCTTCTAGTTCAAGTTCACTATTTTCCCATTGCTTATACGTCCTGAAGTGAATTTCAATCTCAACAGTCTTTCATGACCAAATGAAAGTCGTTATAAATTCCCTCTGCTTTCAAGTTTTTAGAATGTGTATTATCTATTTTACTGCTCAATACAGGGAGGAAAACATAGATAAGTATAATTATAGAGTGTATCAGTCAATTATTTAAATCTATTCAATATTTGAATAATTAGGCCCACTTCATCTTCTATCAACTGTTTTAATATTTGTTCAGCTGAGCTTCACGCCTCAAGTCTCATCCCACTTTCTTACCTTCTCCACATCTTTCCCTCAGCCTCACAGCTGCATTGCTCCAACATAGCCATACAGTTTTCTTTTCAAAGCAAATATTTGATTATATCATTTAAATGCTTTAAAAAAAAGCAGTAGCTTTCACTTAAAAATATCCGCACTCAATTTAGTGTGGTTATAATGGGCTTTGCAATCTTGCCCCAGTTTATCTTTCCAGTCTCAGCTTCTCCACTCCTTACACCCTCTTAGGACAAAAATAACAGACTGATGGCCCATTTATGGAAAATACTGTACTGTGTTGTCATGCCTATGTGACAAGAAACTGAAGCCAGAGAGGTTAAACAGCCTGTTTAAGTCACGCAATAAGAAAATGGCAGAGCCGAGATTCAAACTCAGATCTGACTGACTCCAACTCATGGGCATAACCCAGTACACTACATTGCCTTCTTTTGTCTTTTACATCTTTTGTGAATTTTGTTTTAACCACATGAAACAAAATTAATTTTGAGCACATTAAATGGTGTGCATAATCACTACTGTCTTGCATCATAATTGGGTATAAAATATCAGCCAGTCACACAAGAAATTATTGTTATTTCTGAAGAATTTAGGGTTGCCATTAGTGTCAATAGTCTTCCTTCGCCTCAGACACTTAATAACACCCTCTTTTCATTTAAGACTCACTATGTGCCATGCATTGTGATAAGTATTTTATAAACACAATAACATGTAATGCCCAAAGTACCCTGTGAGATAATTATTTCTATTTCCATTTGTGATGAGGAAACTGAGGGTTAAAAAGGCTAAATTGCTTAAGATTAAACAGCTAGTAGTGGAGCTGGAACTCTACTAAACTCAAACTGTCTAACTTTAAAGCCTGTGCCCTCAACTAACTACCCTATACAACCTCCCTTTAAATGTCCTAGATTGAACTTCTCAATAAACTGGATCCTATCCTGTACATCTTATTTTTGCCTAAAATTCCCTGTTTCCTAAACATGTAGTTTTCTCTTGCCAGTCTTATCTTTCCTACTAAGTAGCTGACCGCTTCTTTCTGCTCCCATTCTTCTAGTATCCTGGGTACTAAACAGCTTAAAATAAGAGGCTCCTGTCATGAATTGGGGTTTATTTTCCCTATAGGTAATGGCTTCAGAGGAAGAAAATGGTGGTGATCTAAGCCATGGGTCAAGTGGCTGAGGTGGGAGGAAAAGACTTCCAAGGGCATATGATACAAGAAAGACTTTCCTATTCCTTTCATTTGTCTGGACTAAGATTCCCAAATGCCTAGGATCTAGAACTCCTTATGACTTTGTATACTTTCTTTTGTACTCAGTCAGGGTGGGCTTCAGGCCTGTGGGTTGCAGTAACAAGAAACTGTGATGCTTTTTTTTTGAACCTGGTAGCTTATGATTTTAGACATCAATTCATTTATATATGTCAGGCATTGATCTAGATACCAGATGAAAACGAAGCTGAGAACAAAACAAAGAACCTACCGTCCTGGATTTTATAGAGACAACAGACAATTAACAAATACATAATACAGTGGCAAATAGTGATAAATGCTATGAAGAAAAAGTAAAGGGACAGAAAATGATGAAGATATCCTTCAGGCAGTAGAGAAAAAGAAGAAAATGATGAAGGGTGATGGTGGGTTAGGGCTGTTATTTTAGTTTGGGTGGTCAGGGAAGATCTTTCTCAGGTGGTATTATTTGAGTAAAGATCCACAAATGAAGTTAAGAAACAAGATGTGAACATATCTGAAGAAAAAACATTCTGGCAGAATAAACAGCCTTGAGGTGGAAGTGTGCTTGTCATGTTTGAGGAAAATAAGGTGTCCACTTAGATGGAGCAGACTGAATGAGGAAAAGAGGAGTGGGAGATGTGGTTTAAGAATATCCAGGGACCAAGCAGAGCTTTGGATTTTATTCTAAATGTGTTGGGAAGCCACTTGAAGATTTTGAACAAAAGAGTGAAAGAATCAGATTTATATTCTAATAGGATACAACTTGCTGCTGAATAAAGTATACACTATAAGGAGGCAAGGATGGAAGCAAGAGACCAAATAGAGTAACAGTGGTAGAGAATTTGAGAAGATTCAGATTCAGGAAATGCTTTGAAAATAGAGCTGATAAGAACTGCTAATGGATTGAATATGGGGTGTTTAGCTTTAACCCAAAGTCTTTGGGTTTTGGCTGAGGCAACTAATTGAATGAAGGTGCCATTTACTGGGATGAGGAAAACTGAGATGGGGATTAAGTTTAGGAGAGGAAATCAAGAGTTTGGTTTTAGATTTGTGAGAGACTGTTTGACTTTCAAGTTCCTAGGGACAATGGGCCTGTAGTAGCTGCAGCTGGTGTTAACCTTTTACAGGGACATGTCTAAGTGGAGGTGAGGGGGCAGAGAAACAGAAGAAATAAAGTTCCTTCTGAGTAATCTCCCAGATATTCAAGTGATAAAAAGCAGGTTAGTCATCTGAGCCTGTCTTATACACACTGATTTCAGGGCAAGAAGAAGTCTCCTCTCTCTTCAAAAAATGTTCCGATTTCTATTGTCTCAAAATTTCTGAATTTAAATTAAATGTATCCCGCAATTAGAGAAAGCAGAAAATGTAAATAGCTTGAGAGATAATCCAGTGCGTATGAGTTTTTACCAAAGTATAACTGAGAGCAGATGAAGGTCCTGAATGTTTAATCTTTTTGTGAAGAGAAAGGAGGTAGATATTAAATAAAACAAAGATTTTATAATCTTGCTTTGGCAATGCCCTATTTATCGTAATTTTTAAGTGAGAAACTACAGAAAGAGTGTTTGTATCTTGAAGGATCATCTAAGTTTATACCCAAGGGGGGATTACGCATTTAAATTCTTTCTCTTCCCCACATTTTAATCCTTTCTATCTTTTAACCCTTAGTCTTTTCCCAAAAGTGTTCTTCAACTAGAAGGCCTGTGGCATGATTGAGGCTTGTCAACTCTCTTCTAGGGCCAGATTTCAAACAGATGGCCCTGGAGAATGCTACTTATCTGTACAGTTCTCCATTTGATGTTGCAGTGTGCTAGTATCCTAGGGGAAGGGTACCACATTTAACTCCAGAAAGGATTTAAGGCAGTTTTGCAATTTTTTTTTTTCTGATTATCAGAGTAATATACGATTATTGCAAAATATTTTAACAAAAAAGTTAAAAAAAGACTATTTGAATTCCTACTTACTAGAGGCAATCCCAACAACATTTTGGCATATTTCCTTCCACTGTCTTATATGCATTTCGTTTTTTTCATAACTGAGCTCTTTATTGTACAAGCAACTTTTGCTGCCTGCTGTTTTTGCTTAGTTATGGTATATATGTTTGTCTCTATCATTACATTTTTAAAGCTACGTAATCATCTATAACACGGCTATACTATAGTTTACTCAAGATGGTTTCTGATTATTTATAATTACAAATAACACTGTGATAAACAGCTTTGTGCATAAATCTTCGCTCTTCTTTTGGATGACTTACTAAAGGAGGAATTGGTAGATTAAATGTATACATACTTTTTAAAGCTTCTGATGTAAATTGTTACAATGATTTCCAGAAAGGATGTTATTAAATTACACTTGGGAAGGGAAGGAGAGAGCTATTGGAACTATCGGATCTGGTAGAAAATATCTGACAGCAATTCTTACAAAGTACTATGCCCCTGGGGAAGAGTCCTTTCTCTCTCTGGAAAAGGGGTTATCTTAAAGTATTAAAATTATTACATCAGATTTTCCACACCACACAATATGTATGGATCATGAGGAGGAAAGGAGAATTGAGAATTTGAGTTAGAAGTCACATATAAGCTGACATGTCAGAAATGACCAATTTGGGAAACTAAGTTTACCAACACTGCTAAAGGACTCAAATATTTTAAACAGTGGTTCAGATATTGTGATTATGCAGTATCAGGTTTATTTAATTTTGTATCATTTCATGCTATTTAATGAGACAATATAATGAGTGTTTTTCAAACTGTGGGTCCTAATCCATTTGTAAATTATGAAATCAATGTATTTTCTATGACTGCTATTTTTAAGAAACAAAATACAATACAATGAAAAATATGAGAATGCACTGCAAACATTTCAATGTATGATTTCATAATTTACAAATAGATTAGGACCCACAGTATTATTTTGTGAGACTTTTGTTTCAGTTACATGTGTGTATATACTATAGAACACATTTATTATTGTGGGATGTGATTAAGGAAAAAAATAGTTTGAAGCCATTGGTGTAGTGGAAAGAGTCTGGGCTTTGGAATTAGCCAGAACAAGTTTGAATCTGAGCTCTGCTTGGCTTTTACCCATTATCTAACTAAATGGCTCAATCACCACATTGAAAAAAGAGAGAAATAATATCTCCTTTTTGGTTTGTGTGTGTACATGTTGTGTGCGTGTGTATGAAGATTAGAGATTACTTAAGCAGAATGCCTATAACATAGTCAATGATTAATATATAATTACTTCCAAATCTTTCTCAAAATAATGTTCTCCCTGTAAAAATACTTCACTGAAGAAAGACAATGTGTTTTATTGATGACTACATCTGTTATGCTATCGTGTACTTTTAAAACACCTCTGTCAGTCTTTTTCTCCAATTTGGTTTAGTAAGGAGACTTGTGCACATAGTCTTTCCCCTTCCTGTTCTCACACTTTATTTACCTATATTATGGATCTTGGCACTTTATATCTGTCATAGATGGTCTAATTGTTGCCTAGTTCAATTACTACTAAACACTTTCAAACCTCTTCTAGTTCTCAAAATAGTGGTGGGAGCATTGCAGGGTGCCAGATGAAAATCTGTTGAGTTTGCTCTACAGCACACCTTTTGCAAAGTATCACTTGTGGTGTACGGGGAAGCAGCTGTAATGCTGATTCCGCCGGCATTTCTCACTCAATCTACTCCATGCTAAACAGGCCGGTTAGGAATTAAGTCATACTCTGGGTAGTACAAGTGGAAAGTGTGAACAGAGAAACCACTTTATGCGAGGACAGTGGAAAATGAGATCCTCCTTTCCTCTCCCTACTCCTGCTCCTATCGAGAAGCACTTAAGAGCGCAGACGCCCAGGACCCAGCCGCGCTCGGGCGTCCCGACTCGGAGGCTGGCGGCGGGCAGGCACGCTCTCCCGCGCTGAGAGCCCTTCTGCGGAGATGAACTCTCGAGTGTCGCCGCCGCGCGCGGGCCCGATCGATACCGGCGGGCGGACGTGCTCCCGCCGCCGACAGCAGCCACAGGGCGGTGCAGTCAGCTGTCCGGCCGCTCGGTCGCACTTCTCATCAGCTCAATACCCGCAGAGGACGTGCACCGGTTCCCTCCCGGACACCCACCCCGTGGTCTCCGCCGCACCTTCTGCCCACCGCCCCTTCCGCTCGGCCGTCCGGCGCAGAGCGGGAGCTTTTCAGCCAGACGCCCTCGCGTTGGGGGCAGCCGGGTCCCGGCCCGAGCGGAGGGCGTCGTGAGGTGGCCTTTTCGCCCGGCTCCCCAGTGGGACGCTCCGCGGAGGCAGCCAAGGCGGGGAGTGTCGAGCTCCCTCACACTCTGGACCTTACCTTCTGGCGTCTTCGCCCGGGAGGCTGCAGGGGGAGGCGGACCCAGCCGGCCACAGGGGCAGGTTCGCGGCGCTGTGAGGCGGGGCTGGGCGTGCGCCGCCGCCGCCGCCAGATTCGTCTACTCCAGTGAATCGGCACGGGAGAAAGCCCCGCCCCCGGCGCCCGCTCCCACTCCTGATTGGCCGGGCCAGCCCGGGGAGGCCCGGCGGGACCCCGGCCCGCGTCTCAGCTATAAAGATAGCCCCGGCATGACAGCCGCGGCGAAGCTCTTCTAGTTCATCTGCTGGCCGGCTCTCAGTCCCCGTGGCGCCCCCTTTCCTCTTGTCCCAGAGCGCTCTCGACTCCACCATGCCAAGGGGATTCCTGGTGAAGCGAACTAAACGGACAGGCGGCTTGTACCGAGTTCGCCTTGCGGAGCGTGTCTTCCCTCTGCTGGGGCCCCAGGGGGCGCCGCCCTTCTTGGAGGAGGCTCCCAGCGCCTCCTTGCCCGGCGCGGAGCGGGCGACACCCCCCACCCGAGAGGAACCAGGAAAGGGGTTGACGGCGGAGGCGGCCCGGGAACAGTCGGGGTCGCCATGTCGGGCGGCTGGGGTGAGCCCGGGGACGGGCGGGCGGGAAGGCGCGGAGTGGCGGGCGGGTGGCAGGGAAGGTCCCGGGCCCAGCCCCAGCCCCAGCCCCAGTCCAGCGAAGCCGGCAGGCGCAGAGCTGCGTCGGGCGTTCCTGGAGCGCTGCCTCAGCTCGCCCGTCTCCGCCGAGTCTTTCCCCGGGGGCGCCGCCGCCGTGGCCGCTTTCTCCTGCTCCGTGGCGCCAGCAGCCGCACCGACCCCGGGGGAGCAGTTTCTGCTGCCGCTTCGGGCGCCGTTCCCAGAGCCCGCGCTTCAGCCGGACCCTGCGCCCCTCTCGGCCGCCCTTCAGAGTCTGAAGCGGGCGGCCGGCGGCGAGCGCCGCGGCAAGGCACCCACGGACTGCGCGTCTGGACCCGCGGCCGCGGGAATCAAGAAGCCAAAGGCCATGAGGAAGTTGAGCTTTGCCGATGAGGTGACCACATCCCCTGTCCTGGGCCTGAAGATCAAGGAGGAGGAGCCCGGAGCGCCGTCCCGGGGCTTGGGGGGCAGCCGCACGCCACTGGGGGAGTTCATCTGCCAGCTGTGCAAGGAGCAGTACGCAGACCCCTTCGCGCTGGCCCAGCACCGCTGCTCCCGCATCGTGCGCGTAGAGTACCGCTGCCCTGAGTGCGACAAGGTGTTCAGCTGTCCTGCGAACCTGGCCTCCCATCGCCGCTGGCATAAGCCGCGTCCTGCGGCTGCAAACGCCGCCACAGTCTCCTCCGCCGACGGGAAGCCGCCTTCTTCGTCGTCTTCGTCCTCCCGGGACTCCGGGGCCATTGCATCTTTTCTGGCGGAGGGAAAGGAGAACAGCCGAATAGAGCGGACTGCGGATCAGCACCCGCAGGCCAGGGACAGCTCCGGGGCGGATCAGCACCCGGACAGCGCCCCGAGGCAGGGCCTCCAGGTGCTGACGCATCCAGAGCCACCGCTGCCTCAGGGCCCCTACACGGAGGGGGTGTTGGGGCGCCGGGTACCTGTGCCGGGCAGTACCAGTGGTGGCAGGGGATCCGAGATTTTCGTGTGCCCATATTGCCACAAAAAGTTTCGTCGCCAAGCCTATCTGCGCAAGCACCTGAGCACTCACGAGGCGGGCTCGGCCCGTGCGCTAGCGCCGGGCTTTGGCTCCGAACGCGGTGCCCCACTTGCCTTCGCTTGCCCATTGTGCGGAGCGCACTTCCCTACAGCAGATATCAGGGAGAAGCACCGGCTGTGGCATGCTGTCCGCGAGGAGCTGCTCCTGCCCGCTCTGGCGGGGGCTCCTCCCGAAACGTCGGGCCCTAGCGGGCCATCTGACGGGAGTGCCCAGCAAATTTTCTCGTGCAAGCACTGCCCGTCCACTTTTTTTAGCTCTCCAGGGCTGACCCGGCACATCAATAAGTGCCACCCCTCAGAAAGCCGGCAAGTGCTGCTGCTGCAGATGCCACTGCGGCCTGGCTGCTGAGGGACGAGAGACCAGGATGATTTCGAGGTTGGCCTTAGAGGAAACAGATCATGGGAATTTCTGTGGGGCTTTCTTCAACTTGCAAGTTTACTTTCATTCCTTCCTATGTTTTAATCCCCTAAAATTCTCCCTGTAGTCAATGTTCCACCAGAGGAGCGGACAGTGAAATGTAATATCCCTCTCTAGAGCAGGTATGTATATGGTATAAACCTTGAGATCAAAGACTGTCAGCTTTAAATCCTTCTCACTTTCCCCACTAAAATAGGATTTTTCCCCTTAAAACTCTGGAGACCCTAACGAATCCTATATGATTTGTAATTCCTATGGAAAGTCGCGGTGAATGCGTGCATGTCTCAATGTCCACAAAGGATTCTGGCTACCCTTTGGTAGCCAATGTTTTTTTTGTCTTGTCATCACAGGCGCCTATACAGCTTCTGTCTCAATAGGGTCAGATATTTTGCACTGTATATTCTGTGAATTAAAAGTTATGTGATTGGTGTCAAACTTAAGGAGATTCAAGACCTGGCAGAAAATGTAAGAGGATTTTTGCTGCTTTTGGGGTGCATGGGGATCTCCCCTGTAAACTTTCCTTTGCCCAATTATATGTACATGTCCATTCTTAAGTTGGTGTTTGGAGGTGGGGAGGATGCTACTTTACTGGAGTTGAGACACCCCCTAAAATTCTCACCCTCAGCTATTTTGTGGGCAGTATTCAGGAAGAGCTACTTCAAACCTTTCTTTAAATGGCTTTTTGGAAATACAGAAGTCGTTTCCTCAAGTTTGACTGTTTTAATGGGGTTTCACCCAAATTGTTTAATGCTTCTGCTGTAAATGTCATACTGTGTATTCATTATGAAAATATGTACAGCTTAAGGAAGATGTTAACACCTGTAATCCACTAAGGAACTGAATGGCAATTTGCTCAATATTCAGTATTTTCTTTTCAGCGGCAACTTGTTTTTGATTTTTTTAAAAAACCATTTCAGTGTACATTGTGTACTAATTCCCTACTAGCCAGTTTGGGACATTGGCTGAGCACTGCCTGACAGAAAGCCCGTATTTGTAAGATGCTTACCACCAAATAAATGTACATAGACTGTGCTTTTGTTGTGTTCTGTGTTTGTCTTAAGAATCCTGTTGAACACAGCCTATTTTCAAAGCCACATTTCTTATCTCCCCAATGTCGGTATCCTGTTTTAGAATGTTAGTGACCCATTTGGACAGAATACAAAGACGGAAATATTTTGCAAATGAATGTGATGGTGCAGGAATGCAATGAAAAATTTTCCTTTGAAGTATGGCTGCAAAGACTGAGCTGCAAAAAGCAAGGAATATGCACTAGTCTTTGAATCTAAAAAAGACATCCCCCCCAAGAAATGTCAACCGAAAACATATTTTAAATATATATATATATATATTTCAAGCTAGTGAACAGTGTTACCTGAAGATGAAAAGAAGTATTTTAATGGTGCTAATTAATTTCATTATTTCAGGTTTGTATTTTTACTCCATATTGTTATATATCATCAATCCATTAGATTTTTTATAGCACTTTAGAAACATGTATGCAGTTACTCTGATTTTCCTTTTTGTAATTCTTCACCTTGGCTGTAGGAAATTGTCTACATTGTTCAATCTTCTTCCCAAGGACTCTATCCATTTGTTTATCTTCTACATCAGCTTACATAGGACTTTTAGTTTTCATTTATAAGAAAATGAAATTGGGTGCACAGAATTTCTGAAAGATTGTCTTAGAAACTTGTTAGTACGAAGTTTTATTGCTGAAAGTATATTATAAAACAAAGTAAAATTTAAGAATCAAAAAAACATGAAGCTGTAATCCCAGCACTTTGGGAGGCCGAGGTGGGCGGATCACGAGGTCAGGAGATGGAGACCATCCTGGCTAACACGGTGAAACCCCGTTTCTACTAAAAAACAAAAAACAAAAAACAAAACAAAACAAAAAAATTAGCCGGGCGTGGTGGCACACGCCTATAGTTCCAGCTACTCAGGAGGCTGAGGTAGGAGAACTGCTTGAACCTGGGAGGCGGAGGTTGCAGTGAGCCGAGATCGCGCCAGCCTGGGTGACAGGGAGACTCCGTCTCAAAAAGCAAAACAAAACAAAACAAAAACATGAAGCTGAGATAAACTAACAATCTAACCAACTGCATTGGGTGAATTTCTGGCCAGCCTTTATGAAGACAGAAAATTTCCTGTGTTTTTAACGACTGTGGTAGGATCTGTGAGAAATAAGTTGGAATGTATCTTGAAAAGGGAATTCAAGTTTATTTTTGATGATTAGCTAAGATAATCTAGGTTCATGCTTTAAATCTCCTCACTACTCATATAGCCCTGCTTATTGAAAATATATGAAACATAGAAGACAAATCAACACTCATGGATAGGAAGTGATAAGAATATTTTTATTGTATTATTAAATACCATGTCATCTTTCCCCCCCACTGTTACAAATTATAGATACTACATGAATGATGATACATAATTTATATTTTACGGTTTGCCAGTATGATGTATTTACACATGCAGTTAGTACCAATGTCATGCTACATTTCCTCAGGAGATGCCCATTCAAAACAAAATGTGAGCAGCTTATCTACTGTAAGAAAATACTTCTAGAGGGTGGAATGTATACCAACCTGGACCTGCAAGTTCAGTATTAACAATATTAGATTTAACTTAGACTCCTGGGTTATGTTCCTTTTTCTTTTTTAAATAATACTCATAATTTGAACAACATATTTATATCAGAAAATTTTCCTTCTTTTCTTCCCCATCTTCTTTTTGGTGCTTAAAAAAGAACATAGAAACACCAGGATCTAGCAGCCAATAATAAAAGGCCACAATCTGAAAACAAATGGCATTTAACAGTGATACCACTTGAAATGCAAAACATTAGAAAAATACTTGGAAGCTAAACATAAAAGTTCAGCACAGTGATTTTTCTAGTTATTGGATATAACATGGCATCACCTGCACAGCCAAGAAATGAGACATTGCTTTGGGAAGAAGAGTTAATACTAAAATGATTTCAGTTGGAATTTGAGATGCTAAAGACCATTTATTTTGAGTGTTTTATTGTCATAACAAATAATCTGTACACATTCTGTGTATTAACAGGTACATCTTTTGCTGTAACTTTACAAATGCTTAAATGTAAAATTTTACATTTGTAAAAAATTATATATTTATTGAACCATAAAGTTGCAATGGGGCACAATAAATAATGAGACTAATTGTCCAATTGTATTTTGGCTCACAGTTAACCATGAAATTAAAGATAAAACTACTTAGACATAATTATCTAGGAAGGTAAAGGGTGTAGAATAAAACTCCCCCTGCCCTCAAAATATGGCAGCTTGGATTGTGGGAAAAAAAATGAAACAATAAATAACTTAAATCTTTAATATTAAGCTACAAATTATTTAAAATTATTTAAATCCAGTGTTTTCTCAAATAAATGTACAGGAAGAAACATGCATGTTATGGCAGACATGAAGGCCTGAAAGGGTTAACCCTATGTTCGTGCTAAGGTGGCTACTGCTGATCACTGCTGGGCTGCTTGTCTCCTTAGGATTTATTGGCTGAGCCAGAGGAACGACGCAGCTTCATGGACATGCGGCTTTTGCTAGTTCGAGGAGACATTGGAGAGGCCAGGTCAGCCCCATCTACCTGCGTTGCTGTGGGAGTTTCACTGGGTAGAATCTCTGGGTAGGAGCCTGTAGGAAACAGCAAGAGCATTACTACAGTTATCCAGCCTCTCATCCCCTGAGAAATAATCTTTCTGCTACTAATCTGCAGCAAGGATCCCATCCCTTAATAAGATCTTTCGAGGGAAAAAGCAAGCCCCAAACTTGCTTGTTACAATAGCCTACTAATGTATTTAAAACCCAGCAATCTGGTGGCTCATGTCATTATATTAGCAAGAAAGCGCCAATCATCATTCCCAGGGCTAGAACCCTGGAAAAAGCAGTGGGAAGCAAAATCTTTGAGCCAGAAAGAACAGGGATCCAAAGCACCATCAGCATGCAGGGAAGGGGTCAAGAAGCAGGTGAGAAGGACCAATTCCTATCTCTAGGATTCAGGGTACAACCAAGAAAAGAGCCTTCACTACTCAAACTTGAAAAACAGCACCAAACAGTTCCAAACAGTTTTGGAACCACGGGTTTCAAAAAGGAAGTCAGTTTCACTAGATGCCCTTATAAACAAAACAAAACAAAAAAAGGAACTCAGCACTATGAGATCATATACATGCTAGGTATTTAAAGACGGCTTTAAGAAGGAGCAAGATAAATTTGTGGATGAGGGGAGGACAAGAATTCTCCTCTGAATGTCAGTTAAAAAAAGGCAAACTGACTCCCCCAAAATGTCTTAATTTAAAAGACATAAACAATGCTTTTGTTTTCATTAACTTAAACTTTTGCAGGTATCTTATTCAATCATAAGCAAGCAGGTAACCAGTAGAATTAGTAGATATACAATTTTAGAAGTAAAACAAAATCAAATAGGAAAGTTCTTTGTGTCATTTATAAAGTAGTTTTTCATCTCTGTGCTTTATTTCTATAAATTATCATTCTCTAATATGCAGCAATACTACAGAACCTTGCACACTGTAGGCTTTCAAATATTTCCTAAACAAAATGAGTAATTAATTAAAATCACATTAAAAATAAAAGTCCTTCAGAAAAAAAAATCTGAAAACAATAACAGCAAGAGATTCTGGATATTTTAAGGCATTTTAATCCAGATTTTCTGGGTCTTAAGTACATGAAAATTTTCTTTATGTGTTTTACAAACAAAAACACCACACAGGTTGCAGGTTTAACTGTACACATACATGTCCTTACTTTACAGGGAGACTTTCAGCATATTTGTTAGCCAATGTAGCACCTCATTGATACTTCAAACTAGGAAATAATTATGCTAGCACTTTCATATCTATGAAATGTTTTGTGCTTAAACTGAAGTTACTGAATGTTTATAAACAAAAACAAAAAGTTCAGTAAGGGGTGAAGATCCTATTGAGATGTCTTAAGCAATTAAGAATATGTCTTTGCAGAACACTTCAATTTTTTTTTTTTTTTTTTTTTTTTGAGACGGAGTCTCACTCTGTCGCCAGGCTGGAGTGCAGTGGCACGATCTTGGCTCACTGCAATCTCCACTGCCCGGGTTCAAGCGATTCCCCTGCCTCAGCCTCTTGAGTAGCTGGGACCACAGGTGCGCACCACCACGCCCGGCTAATTTTTTTGTATTTTAGTAGAGATGGAGTTTCACCATGTTGGCCAGGATGGTCTCAATCTCCTGATCTCATGATCCACCCTCCTGGGCCTCCCAAAGTGCTGGGATTGCAGGCGTGAGCCACCGCACCCGGCCTTCAAAAAGTTTTTAAGACCAAATGTTAGAGTTATACTTAAGAAAAAATATATGTTTCCAAGGAAAAATATTCTGTCACTCATAATCCAGGTCAATTGCCCTTCTTCTCAAAGTAACTTTTCCAGCATTATTTTCTAATTGAAATAAGACTGGCCTTCAAAATACAAGGAGAAGGAAACATATTTCTGTTCACCTTTACTCTTCCTGAAGATCTGAATTGGTTCATAGCAGACCCATACTGGAAAATTTATGGGAGAATATGAATCCATGACCCCCTTTAGGGAAGCACTGCAGATGGATGGCAGAAGGAAAGTGAAGAGCAGTAGTAGCTCATGCTTTTCTGGTAATGCATATCATTCCCGGCCATCACGAGAGGCCCTCCCATTGCTGTTTACCTTGAGATGGCCAATGTTTTCTAGCGGAGGTTTTGGGAGGAAGAGAACTATCACTGCATTTCTTTCTTTGTTGTGAATGAAGAAATGGAGTAGCAAGCAGAAGTGAGAAAGCAAAAGAGAAGATAGATAACAGATATGAGAGACACAGTGCAGAATTTTCTAGGTGTTAACTGAGGAGCAGAGAGAGAGGAATCAAGGTTTTTATTATGAAATATAATTGGGCATGCAATGCATTAGGGTGATGGTTCACAATGACAATGCTTTGTAAATTCAAATGTTATACTTACCAACTAACAAAACAAGTTCAAATAGGAAAAAAGAAAAGAAGAAAAAAGGTCTATGAGAGATTCTGTAAATATCTACCTTTTAAAGTGTTCACTGTACTGTTGGCATGTTATCCTAATCACTCAGACATAAAATCTCTAGAGCTGCATTGTCCAATGTGGTAGCCACAGCCACATTAAGTTTAAATTTATTGAATTAAAATGAATTAAATAAAAATTCAGTTCCTCAGTACACTAGCCACATTTCAATTGTTCAACAGCCACATGTAGTTAGCGGCTTCCACATTAGACAGTGCAGATATAGAACATTTCCATCACCATAGAAGGAGGGCTTTATCAGAGAGCATTGCTCTACATTATGGCAAACTCAAATAATATTTTCCTCAAAAACAATTCTTCCATGTCTTCCTCACTGCCTTTAAAGTGAAATCTCCCTTCACTCAACAGAGTCAAATAAGGATTTTTAGTGTGTGTGGTGTATAGTTATCAGTACTTCCTAACAATTTAGCAAATTACATTTGTGGTATATATTCAACATTCCCAAACTCTATAAATAATTTACAGTAGAAAGACCTCAATTTTAGATGTAAAAAATGTAGTAACAACCTACATTTCATTTCACATCCTACTCTACCTATTGATTTATACTACTTGAGTCATAAAGAATGCTGATTTATTTCTATTATTAATATATCCTCAAGGATGAGGTTTTAAAAGTACACATGAGCTCCTATGTTTGTGCATACCGTATCTGTTACTAACATTCTTACAGTGCTCACACAGACTGTGTAATCTGATGGGATAAATTGATTCATATATTGCACATTGATTACAATAAACTATTATTACAATTAACATAATGGATATGACTTTTGGGATATATAGGGATTATAAGAGGGAGCTCAAAAGATCATTTTTTATTGTGGTTTCGTTTGTACTGTTTGGTGACAGGTATGACTGGTTTAAAGCTGCTAATTATTGGGCAGATATAGCCCTATAAAATATTATATCTTTAAAAGCAATTTCAATTAATACTGAACTCCAGCGACGATGTGATTTGTTAGAAAGAACATGGGCATAGGTTAGACAGTCCTAGATTAAATGCCGACTCTGTCACTTTACCAGCTGTTTGATCTTGGGCAAACTGACTTGAGACATTTTTGTATTCGTAAAATGGAGCTAATACTTGCAATTTTGTCAAGTCATCCCAGGGATTAAGATTACATATGCAAAGATATTGGCACATAGTAGGAGCACAGTAAGTATAGCTACATAATAATGCTATTAAACAGAGAAAAATAAAAGCTGATACATTTTGAATCAGAACAGATGAGGATTAGAAACGAAGGGATAGAAATGAGGAACATTTTTGAAGAAAATGACCACCTATACAAAATATTATTGTTCAAATGTGAAAAGCACAACATACCATTAAATTTAGTTTGAAGGAAATTTATCCTCTCTTATGTTGATAGTCCTATAAAATATAACCTTATATTAAAGGTTAAAGGCTACCCAAATAACCTTGCTTTTAATATTTTTAAAGGAGTTGATAAGTTATTAAGATTAGCATGGATGGCACTGAATATCATAAAGGAAATAACACAATTTATTTTTTATTTTTATTTCTTTATTTTGAGAGGGAGTCTCACTCTGTTACCCAGGCTGGAGTGCAGTGGCGCGATTTCAGCTCACTGCAGCCTCTGCCTCCCGGGTTCAAGTGATTCTCCTGCCTCAGCCTCCTGAGTAGCTGGGATTATAGGCGCATGCCATCATGCCCAGCTAATTTTTGTGTTTTTAGTAGAGAAGGGTTTTGCCATGTTGGCCAGGCTGGTCTTGAACTCTTGGCCTCAAGTGATCTGCCTGCCTCAGCCTCCCAAAGGGTTGGGATTACAGGCGTGAGCCACCATGCCTGGCCAGGAAATAACATAATTTAAAATAGTAGAGAAATAAAGGCAAACATGTGGTTTCATTTTAAGATACATTCAAGAACTACTAGTATTTTAGATTTAGAACAAATCAGGCCAAGCTTGTCATATTTTACCTCCTCCTTACAAAGGAAAAAATTGGGAGAATTGATTAATTTGCATTTATATGGATAACAACTGGCAGAACTAGGATTTAAATCCAGATTAGTTTGATTCCAAAGCTCATACTTCTCCCCTGGCAACCTTAAAGATATATGGGGGAAAAGAGATTTTTCAATGGGTGGGAAAGTAAAACCCTTAAAATAAAAATCTTTAACAATTTATAATTTGTAAATATGACAGGTTATTGGGCAATATCTCTCTATCAACAGCAGGAAGGGGATGAAAATATTTAGACTAAATGGGTAACTGTAATAGTTAAGATCATGCCCTCTGAAATCAGATCAGTCTAGGTTGAAATACTAGCTTGACAAAGTACCAGGTGACTCTGGGTAAGCATTTTTTAATTTCATAATGTATGTACAGTACCGAGCACAGTGTCTGGCACTCAGTAATAGCACAATTATTATTTTATTATTTTCATTACAAAAATTTCACATCTCAGTGAATGTTCTATGTGGAAACTGAACCAGCAGTTATCACAAAAGGTTAGTGGGTCTTATTTAAGATTATTACTTGCCTCTTGGTCAACAACATATAAGCCAAATTTCCAAGTTCAAAGTATCAAATAGAACATATCTGGCTGCCTATAATTTCAGGCTAATCTAATGATAAATTAATATGCGTAGGAATCTGTTTTTAAAAACATTAATTAGCCAGGTATGGTGACTCAAATCTGTAACCGCAGCAATTTGGGAGGCTGAGGTGGGTGGATTACCTGAGGTCAGGAGTTTGAGATCAGCCTGGCCAACATGGTGAAATCCTGTCTTTACCAAAAATACAAAAATCAGCCAGGAGTGGTGGCATGGGCCTGTAATCCCAGCTACTTGAGAGGCTGAGGCAGGAGAATTGCTTGAACCCGGGAGGTGGAGGTTGCAGTGAGCCAAGATTGCGCCACTGCACTCCAGCCTCTGTCTCAAAAAAAACAAAAACAAAAACCAAACCATTAAATAAACAGATTTATAGCTTATGTTACATATTGCAGGCAACTAATTCTTCTGTTGGCACTTACTAATATTTAAGATATTTATAAAATAACTATCTTCTAAGGAGCTAAAATATTTTATTTCAGATCATTTCAAAGCCTGAGTAGTTTAAATAACTTTTAAAGGACATTGAGCTAAAAAAGGTTACCTAAAGCAATGGCTAAATTTTGATGATCCATCCCACTCAAAGATTCAAAGAAATAGATCTGACCATCATAAATTCCATCCTATCTACATATGGGAATATAGATTTTGCAAATTAACAGCACAACTGAGGTTAGAAGGCAGACTAGATACTACTCTAGGTTTTCATAGTCACTCTTGATTATCTCTGAATTTGGTATCATAAAAATTATATTTGAATTTTATTAATTTTATAATATTGCTTTAAATAGGAACCCCTATATTCTCCAAAAGTAATTATAAAAAGTGTTATGTATGTATAGATATATGTTTGTGTATGTATATATATGTATATGAATACAGAAAGACAGAAACACCTATCAACACTTTAACTGTAAATAACTAAAATCTGTAACTTAAAGACATAATACTCCAAAAAATTATGAGTATATTTTTAATGTTGAAATTGAGAAAGTTAAACCAATTAATATTTACTATACACTTTCAGCAAAACAGGATCCTGTTTCTTGTTGTCATTCTAGAATTTCTCTTATTACAAAATAAAAAAAGATAATATTGAAAAGACAATATAACATTGGGAGAAACATGTACATATGAACAAACAGTGTAATCTGGCCAAGAAGAGCAGTAATTTCATTTTAAAGTTTATAATTAAAGGAGAGGTATTTGTAAATATGAAAAAACTTTAAGAAGTCACTAAAAACTTTTGATATTTTCCACACACATGCCTGACAAAGATAAAGGGATTTTTTCCTGTAATTTTTTAAAAATAAAAGACAAGAAAAATCTAATAATATTTTAACGTAGTTATGAAAGATCAACAAAGTGTGACATCACGATATTTCCCTCAATGACCTTAGGGATAAAAATAATTTCCCTTAAGTATCAGTCTACTGCCACAGACAGTACATTTTGAGAAAATACAGTTATGAAATTTATGGATCAACTATGATGCACCAAAATCTTTCATATCTATTTTAATAATACTGAAAGTAATACGGAAAAATGTTTTCTCGGATTTAAATGTCACCACAGTTGATTTGCACGTTACCGCTAACCAGAAAGTGGGCTTTAGATAATCTTGAACCAAATTAAGAAATCTTAAAAAAATAATGCTAAATGACGAGTTAATGGGTGCAGCACACCAGCATGGCACATGTATACATATGTAACTAACCTGCACATTGTGCACATGTACCCTAAAATTTAAAGTGTAATAATAATAATAATAATAAATATTATTTTTCTATACTATTCCACTGAATATAATTATGTTATAGGGTTGGTTAGACAGAATATAATCACCATTTTGGCATTTCTTTAAAATTTAATTTCAAATGACCATATTAGTATTGATTAGTACTATTTTATATACATAGGGTGTGCACAGGATATCTAAAGTTGATTTTTCAATTGCAATTATGAATCCATTTTTTCAATGTGGTGAACACATTTTATACTTCTGCTAGGAAAAAGATTAAAAACTTTACACTATTATGTCATTTTTGCAAACCAGCAGTCAGGTCCAAACTGCTATTATACAGCTTATTTTATGTCTTCTCTGTCCACTTTGACTTATAACTTTAAAGGGAGCTCTATATGTATGGGACTTATGACAGAAAAGTTAAGATTTGAGATAACTGGAAAAAAATTATTTTTCAGATTCTATGTTTTTGCTACTCTTAAGAGTAAATATTTCATTTTTATTTTGTGTTGAACTGAGAACCACTCTGATAAAAATTTATGTCATAACTATTAAAGTCTGCAAAAACTTATATAGAAACGTATTCAGTAATACTGGCACAAGTTATTTACAAGCAAAAACACCCTTTTGAAAATCAGAGTGCATATTAAAATTAGAGGATGGTTCTTAAATGCAGTGACAACTCTTAAAAATTAACTGAAAAAATCTGTAGCACAATATTAGGTTTATGTTCAAATTCACATTTTTACTACTATTTAGACAATCATAAGTGTTATTTTAAACAACTTACACAATAATTTTGTAAGACACATTAAAAATGAAGCCAACAGAACCCTGACTTGGCTGCTGTAGCATCCTTTAATGTCTCAGAAGTGAGATACTACTCACTTCCACAATACCTGGCCAAATGTGCAGGATAACATGCAAAATATGGGGAGAACATTAAGATGACAAATACGAAAGAGTACAGCTGGTAAACAACGACACATGAGAACTGAACAGCCTTTATCAATCTAAGGGGGAAAGTTAGTCCAAGTGTGGTTCTATTATCAATATTTTTCACTTGTGAAATTTATGGCTTGACTATAGGATACACAAGTGTTATTCATATCTCTTTTAATATAATCTGACATTTTATCGGACATTCTCCATTATTAAACAAGAAAATTGCCAGATATACTTAATTAGTTATTTTGCTGTTCATTAATTTAATATTTCTCTTTTACCATCTTTTTTAATGCCAAACTGGGTAATTTTGGATAGTGTCAATCCATTAAAGTGAATCTTAGACTTTTTATCTCTTTCAAAAGATTCAACCTGGTTTAATACGGTTTTGTCTTTGCTAGGTCTTTTATACTATCTGAAAGCGATCTAAATTTTTTGTAAAATTATTTTTCTAATAGCAATTTAATGATGACAGGAATGGAAACTTTAATTTCACTAACTAAATCTCAATTGAGAATTACAGTAACTTTTTCCAAATAAATTAGGCTAGAAAAGAAGTGTTGTGCCTTTTGAATTTATTTAATATAAAGAAAACTTATTTAATATAAAGAGATTTGAAGGTTTATTATGATAAACTTCAAGCATATTATGTCCTCTTTTCCTGCTTCCCTTGAATACCATTACAACAGTCATCTTTGTATTTCAGGTGCCTAGTGAAGTGCAAGGCACACAGAGAGTTATCATTTGATGAGTTAGGATATCCAATAACAATGCAACACATCACAAAATACAAAGACACACTACTTCAGTTCAATAGTACTACTTTTTCATGCTGAGAAACAGAAAAAAAAGGTCAATATAACAAGGTGTAACTAATTTCAACCAAGGGATTCTATTATTAGTTATTTTTATCCCCAAACCATGTTAGTGTTTCATGCAGACCTGGGTTAGTCAGTATAATACTGGAAAAAATTTAGTGACAATTTCTGAAATGTTTAGTATGAACCGGACAGTGTTAAGTTTACTTATTGTTTAAGTTACAAGCTTAGAGCCTGCTAATTTTGAAAAAAGGAAATGGGAGAAGAACAGAGGGTGTTTTGGTTGACACTTTGTCTTACCTTCAGATAAACAGAACTGATATTTAATGATCTAAAGAGGGAAAATAAATGAAACAATCATAAGGAGAGCAAGATATTACAGAATAGGAAGGCCACGAGTCATTTATTTTCTTACTGATTTCTTCAAAATTAATCATAAAATGCAGTACCCTCTTACACTCTTTAATTATTGTAACATAAATTACAGTATTAAGTACTTCTAAATCTAGACCAGTTATATTAGCTTTAGCTGTAAAATCAGAGATGATGGGGTGATATTCTTGGCCACAAAATTTGATCCTCTGAAGTTCAGAGTGCATGCTTAATTTGTATTTCTTTTGCAGATACTTCAGAAATGATTCCAGAAGATGCAAGAGTCATTGAATATTAGCTCATATAAAATGTGGTACATGTACTTTTATGAAGATAGTTGACTTTTTAAGGAACTGCATTTAGGTAAAAGAAACCATAAATCAAATTTATAGGCCAAATTCAAATATTAAATAGTGATTAAAAATTCATATTTCAATGATTAGAATTTTTTTCAAGCAAGTTTTTAGAACAAAAGGGTACTGCATTTCAAGTTCCAATAACAAGTAACTAATACTCGCTTTTAATCTTACCGGCATCAGATGGTAAATGGTGGTAGGGAGCTGGAGAAAAAACCTGTGCTGCAAAATCTTCAAATGTTGTTGGTTCTAAGTGGTGCTGGACAATTGTTTGCAGGTATCGTGCTCTCTCCTCATAGCTGATTTCCTTTGGTTAAGGATAAACTTAAGTGCAGCTTATACTGGAAAAAAAATCTTATCAAAAAGGACTGCTATGATTGCTAAGCCATTACTTCTTAATAAATAGAATTATTCACTAATTATTCTTATATATTGTTAACAGTATGGCTTTTTAAAGTGCAAAAATATAGTTTTTAATGTATGTTTACTCTTCATGATCCCAGTATAAATGACAACTTAACAGGGAGACATTTATTAGATAATAATTACAATAATACTAAACTACTGAAATGAAGGAAGTTAACAGTTTACTTGAGAAAGGATTCAATTTCTATCAGGAGTCTAGGCTGAAATTTATATCGGCCTAGGCTCATCTTATCTTGTTAATCAGCTTCCATCTGCAGATTTACTCTCAAAAGCCACGCAAGAAACATTGTAATGTTGCTTAAGATACTACGTCCAAAATTCTGTTTTTCATTTGTAAAGATTTATTGTGAAAAATTCCTACATATCTTCTTCTTTTTCTAAAATCCCTGCATTTTCTCAACAATTGTTCTCATTTTGAATGGAAGATTACTGTTGCTGTAATCCTCGAATAACTCCATGTGGTTAAGATAAATACATAGCTGAATCTGTATGCTGGGAAAAAATACCTAGTCAATTATAACACTGAAACAAGCAGGAATATTTGCAAAGAGTCCACAGGACTCCTAAATACTGTCTAACAAAGCATCTCCAGGGCACTGACACTGACAGAAAAATACTGTAGTTCCTTTTCACCACATTTTCTTCTCTGATATTATTGACAAGCAACCAGTACCTTGAAGCGTTGTTGCTTTTGAACAACCCACTCCAGGCTTCCTGTTTCAGCAGGCCTGATTGTGCTGTTAGCACAGAGAGGGCGAGAAAGAGAGAGAATATTTCTGTTGTTCACGAAAGCAACTATGGAAATGGCTGTCAAAATGTAGAGCAGCAGGCAGCAACATACAATTATCAGGAAAAACTCACATGCTGACTTCATGTCATATAGTTCCTGAACTGAGAAATCAGTTAACCTTTCTTTTAAAACTTTTAAAAGTTTCCCTGTGGTACTCAGTGTGCTATGCTGACAGGCTTTACATAAGACATTTAAATAAGGATAATAAAAATTTGTCTACTTGTTCTTCTTTTTTTCCACTGAATTTTTCCCCAAAGTCCACTTTAATATTTTCCCTCAAAATTCCTTATTTTTTAAAAAAATGCAATTTAATTATTATATAGTTCTAAAACTCTAGAAATTGTAGACTAAGCCAAGACCCAAAAAAATAATTTGAGAGGAAGATAATTTTAAATAATTCAATGGGAGATACCATGGCCAGTTAGTTATATTTACAAGTTCACTGAGTAAGAAGAGAAAAAAAAAGTATAAGAGTTAAAGGCAAGACTATATTCATTATGCACTTGACTTTGATTGTGGTAACTTTTGCTAAGTGGCTTTCATATTACAATTTATCTGCTTCTATTACAATTTATCTTATGTATCAAATATTAAAATAACCTTGAATCCCAATTCTATTACCTTCCATTCTGTACACTGGGGGTGAACTTCAAAAGAATTTTACTTTTGAGGTGGGAAGCAATAGGACAAGATGCATATTAAAATGATCAGCATCAAGGATTTTACATGAGGATAATACGGACATTTTTGAGTCTTAACATAAACAAGTAATATGGCACACTTTTAAAGGGGGTATATGGTTATAAATAGAAGAGGATGAAACTGATGGTACAATCTAAATAATACCACATATCTCACAACTTGTTGGAAAGTACTTTTTTCATTGGGGGAGATTCACAGCTGCCGAATTTTCTGCAGTTAATAGAGTCCTTTGATTCACAGCAGTGCCCCTTGTACAAAAAATACTGGCCTTTGTGTATTACCAGAAACTAATTTTCTATTTGGCTGAAAAGGGAAAAATGGGGTTATTGCTTCTCCCTCCTACAGAGCTTTTCATTATGCCTGATGCACTCAACTTCTAAGCTCTTCTGAGAAAAAAAATAACTGAAGAGGCAAGAGGTAGAAAAATGAGCTTGTTAGCACATTAGAAGTGAAGTATCTTGGTGGGCCCTAGAAATTCCCAGTGGTGTGTTAACTTATCACTCTATGCATGCTGGCACTGATAGTCTTCCAATTGATCACTCTCTTTTCGCACCAAAGGTGCTGCCAGGAAGCAAAGGCTGAAGGCCCACAGGAGAACAGTCTGCTATCAAAACAAGCTGTTTTTAAAAGTCTGCTTGAATGGGTAAAATGCTTCATGAAAAGTAGGGTGGAGACACCTACCTGCTTTTAAAAATGTTCTACTTTCAGAGGGCCTATAAATGAAATATTTTACATTATATTTAGAATTTATATAAAAATTAGGCAGAAAGAAAGCAAATGTTAATATTTCTAAAGCAGGGGAGGATATTTCCAATGTAGTAAATTCATCAAAGCAAGAAAATGATTATCTAGCTAAAATACATTTTGCAGACTAATTCTACTTCCTTATACAAAGAGGCTTATAAAATGGAAAAAATCCTAATACACAGCTGCACAAAACTAAAATTATCCAGATATAACATACTCATTTTGTATAAAAAATATATTTAATACATTTACAATAAATTAATTAAATTTCATTAATGAAAACAATGCTTTCTAAAATTATTTTAAAAGTTCAAGTCAGGATGGCAGAGTGAAGGGAAGCAATCATTAACGGTTGAATTTAAATGAAAAAACTACAGTGCTCATCACTTATTAGGTAAGTTTCCTTTTTGGGGGGTCAAACACTGTTAGCTTGGTAAAATAACTATATCTAAGGTAAATCACTTTCTAAAAGCTAAATGATCTTTATAAGTTTCCCAGTTTGATGTAGCCAAATAAATAAATAACAACATGAAAACAAGCCAACCCAATCTACAGGACTTACATCCCCCCCCGGCCCCCGCTTTTTTTACTTCTGAAAACATGTATTAAGGAAATATAATAAACTCTAAGCACTTAGACCACAGTTCTGAGTCCACAACGAGGTGCTTTTTGTGATTGAGATGATTAAAGTTCCAAACAGTGCTGTTAGAATCTGCAATTGTAATCATCCAAAGCAGTTAATTCCTATATCTCATTATAATAGGTTAGACACTTACTCCATAAAAGGCATCTCTCTAGGGAAGAGTTATTAGTACATATACATTGAGTGGCACACAAACTCCACAGCTGGCAACAACAGGACAACTCAAGCTATCGTTTTATATGGTGAGTGCCTGTTGCCATTGGCATTGAAATTAAAAAACCGAAATGGATAAGATGATAAAAAGGTGAAGGTAAATAAAAAAATTCAGAACAAAAATTTAAAGTACAAATCTAAGTTGAAGTAAGCAGATTTTGGTTGTAAATTTAAAACAACTCAAGCCAAAATTAGCTAATAAAAACCATTTGATGAGGGAGACTTTTAGCTAGTAGGAATCTTTAATACAGAACTAGCCAATCAAAAAAAAAAAAAAAATAACACACAGGTGCTGCAATCACAGCAATATAATTATCCACTAATCCTCCTTCCGCTTTCTACAAAAGGAAAAAAGGGGGGAAGGAATATTATTATTCTAAAAATAAGGGAACAAAATGTCTATAGCGTAAAGAAACAGTTTAAATGTAATCTGTAATTCATTAATATTAAGTTAACATCATTACATATTTTAAATTATTACTCTTGATTTTAAGCTTCAAGACCAGCTATTAAGAAACTGGGTTCAATTTCAGACTGATCCTGGAAAGATAAGCATAAATTTTCTGTGCCATAATTTATCTGTATGTTAAATGGGGATACATCTGTAAGTTAAGTGGGGATACCATCACCTGCTCACTTCATAGGGTGTTGAAGATAAAGGATACAAATACGGGGTAACACAAAAGTGCCCTGACACCTGTCCTGAAATACTTTATTTTGACCTTTGGCTCACATCTTTGTAAACAGCAGGTGCTGTCTCTAGGAGGGCAATTTTTGATGTCAGTTTAAGAAATATACCTGTATTCATGTGCAAGAACTCTTTGATAATACTACTACTATTTCTTGTTTGCGGCACGTACAGAGAGGGAATTTTGACTTATTCTGATGCAAGGAAACTGATTTCTCATGGAGGAAAAGGACAAAAGATACTGCAGAAGGTTATGCAGTATCAAGTATTTCAACTTTATTAACACATAAAAGAATAGATAAAGGTAGATTTGGTTTTAAAGAAGCAACACCTTTCGTTCTCCACAATAATTTTATTAATCTGGTAATTGTGAACTGCTTGTAATGTTAGAAAAGGGAAAGCTTTCAGTTTTGTAATTCCATGGCACAACCAGTAGGCTGTATAAACATTCAGTTCAAATCTAATTTGTGACTAGTCTGAAAGAAATGGAAATGTGTGTGTGTGTGTATATATGTATGCGTATACATATGTTATACACAAGAATGAATATAAGGTATAATTTTCACAAAAAGGAATTATAAAAATTACAACTTGTAAGCAGATATCAAAAATCTGTATAATTGCTTATTTTCCTCTTAAGTTCAGGTTTCATGTTTTATTTCCTAAACAAGAAAAAACGATTGGCTCATTTTAAAATAAAGGCAAGTATAAAGTGTTTATATCTGTGCTCAATGGCATAGTCTCAGGGATTTAAGGCCCATTCTGAAATTCTTAATTTAGTAAGCACTTCCCTACACTCATATATTTCTATGGCTTCTTTGCAGTTTCAGCACTTAGGAATTTTATCTCCCTTCTCTAGACAGAAGATTCCAAAAATAGTAAGCACAGGAAGAGGGAGTGTTCCAATAGTTACTTAGAAATGTTGCCTACTGATTTAAAAAAAATTTTTGGTGAGTACAACTTAAATCATATTTGAGTTGTAACTTAAAGTAGCTGAAATCTGAGTACTACTTAAGTTGAGCAGATTAGAGTAAATTATTCAATACTCATAAAGTTTGTAAGGTTGGTAGCCTGAAATTGGCTATGGTGAGTTTCCACATCATACATCTTGAAGATTGCTGCAAAACGCCCACCTGCCAGGTCCCCTTTAGAGAACTCTTTCCTTAGGCTTGTTCTTCTACTAAATACACTTTCTTTTTTTTTTTTTTTTTTTTTTTTTTGAGACGGAGTCTCACTCTGTCGCCCAGGCTGGAGTGCAGTGGCGGGATCTCGGCTCACTGCAAGCTCCGCCTCCCGGGTTCACGCCATTCTCCTGCCTCAGCCTCCCAAGTAGCTGGGACTACAGGCGCCCGCCACTACGCCCGGCTAATTTTTTGTATTTTTAGTAGAGACGGGGTTTCACCGTTTTAGCCGGGATGGTCTCGATCTCCTGACCTCGTGATCCGCCCGCCTCGGCCTCCCAAAGTGCTGGGATTACAGGCGTGAGCCACCGCGCCCGGCCTAAATACACTTTCTTAAGAAATAGTTTTTATACCCGATTCTTGGGGGCAGATTTGGTGGTTCTTCAATGTTACTTCTTCACTTTAGAGACTACTAATCCAGCCATTCTACTTATGTTATTGAAATTTTTATGATCCATTTTGTGGTTACAGATAGTGGTGAGACCAACGCCATGGGGACAGAGACCTTGTCTTCTTATATTTATGTCTTCAACACCCAACACAGGGCCTGGTAGTATTCAATGACTGTTTACAACTTCTAGAAGGAATGAATAAAGTTGGTTTGATAGTAGATTAGGAGATGTCTGTTATGCTGACAGCCCCTTTCCTCTAATCCCCATATGGCTCTGTAAAGGCAAACCTTTTAGGGGGAAATATAGTTGGAACTTTCCTAGAACTGGATTTAGACTTTGAATCTTTCTTGTGAGAAAGATTTTGGTTCTACCATGCCCCTTGATCTTGCTGGCCCTCTCTGGAACCAAAAAAAAGTAAATAAAGCACAATGTATAAATATGTAAAGTATTACATTAAGAGAAAAGAAAACTGATAATTACTTCTTTAAATCCTCATAATCTTAAAGAAGGATTTTTTCTTTAGGCAATGTAATTATAACTCATAATTTAGCATTGAAATAAACATTTCCCCCATTGGTTGTGATAATTGTTTAAATTTTTTTCATAAATTCTACAATGGCATGAGAAATGAATTTAGTCAAACTAATTCTATTTGCTTAAGTGGCCATTTATAGAGAAGGGAAAAAAAGGGAAGAATGAGAAAATCTTTACAGAGAAAATTAAATGAAGGGTAATTTCAAATCATTTTAGGCAGATTTCCAAAACTGCTCTGTATACCATAAGAATAGAAGTAATAATACCCTTGAAAAACAACACTTGAAAAATGTTAAATATTTAGGTTTTTAAAAAGGCCACCTTGAAAGAGGTTATCCCAAGACAAGGCATCATTTATCGAGAATATTTAGGACAGTTTGAACTAGAGGAAGGATACATCCATCAACATTACTTCCAGGAAGCTTGGTAAAATTAGTTTATTTTACTAATGTTTATAGGCAGCAATAAGGCTTGCCTGAATGGAGAGTACAGAGATTTGCTTGGATAAACAAAGCTGCTGATGGATAGAGCTGGGACTAGAATCTTGGTCTTTTAATTAATAGTCCAATGCTCTCTCTACATCCAATCTCAATGACCTAGGTGTTGTGCGGTGAAAAAGCAAAGGTATATTAGGCCTTTTAGTTATGTCAAAATAATGAATATTAGCTTAAATTCTAAGACTGGCAATTTTTGAAAGATGTTTGTTTACATATTAGTAGAGTAAAATACTATTTGCTATACTATAGTTTACTATACATTAGTGACTATACTACAGTAAAACCCCTTGCATGTTCTAAAATAAAAATTTGAAAACAAACCACATTTGGCACTTCAGTTTTAAAAGGCCTTGAAATATCTTTAAACATTCTGAGGCAATATCATTACACAGGGTCTTGAAAAAAGAATGAAAAATAAGAATTTTATTGAGACATAGCATATGGGTAGACATATTTTGCAAGTACATCTCAAGGATCTCATGGTTATTATCGGTAGTAAAGTAGCAAATTTTCCGAAATACACCGGGTAATTAGTATCTCATGGACTAATATATAATATACACTGTTCATTTATAAGATGAAAGCAAACTATACTGCTTACCTTATAAAGCAAGATCTGATAAATTAAGATCTGGCAGAGGGAAAGATATTCCATTTCTTTCCTACTGTAACTAATTTTTTCCAGAAACATGCAGTCTAGTTCACATGTAGTAAAAAATAAAATTCCCCTAAACAAATTGCATGAATCTTGTTATTAATATTGCTTATACTATGTTAATAAAAATTCTTCTGAAAGTCTGCAACAGGTTATGACAAATTATTGTCTATTTTTATGATGCCTTATATTCATGAAATTCTTTAGTAGTTGATACTATCTACACCATGAAGGAAAAGCTGTGATTTGTCAGAGCAGACAAAGCTGGGCTTTAATCCATCCTTTTAACCATATTGCCAAGTCTATATTGTTTTCACTGCGTCTCAATTAGGAGACAGGCAGGACACCTGGTACTTCTTTATCTAAGTCCCATGGGCTGCCAGATGACTCAAAATCCATAACAGGTGCTAAGGCAGTGTGAGGATAGCCCTATTATTGAAAGCTGGAGTTGAATAAAATTTGGACCACATATAATTGCTCATAAATCAGTCAATTACTAAATGAAAACATTAAGTAAAAAGTTGATAAGCCCAATTCCACCAAAGTTTGTGTAAATACATTTAAAAAGATTAACCTTAAATAAATAGGCTTAAAAATTTAAACCTACCTAAAGGCTCTGAAAATCCTTCCTGATTTAATAATCCAGTAATCATTGGTGGGTTTCAAAAAGCACTAATATGATTATCCAATATGTATGTGTGTGTGTGTGTGTGTGTGTGTGTGTGTGTGTGTGTATATATATTCTATTTTCATGAAAGTTGTACGAAGCAAAACAAAAACTAGGGTATCTGGATTTCAAATTTAGTGAAATTATAATGTCCTCTCATTTAATGAAATTATAATGTCCTCTCATTCTTGGAAAGATCTACTTGGACCCTGTCAGAAGACTGCAAAAAGAAAAAAAAAAAAAACCCAAATAAGTGAAATTTTACAGTGTACAATTACTTAAGTGTTATCTCTACTTAAATGTGCACTAATTTAATTAAGATTTTATTTAAGTGCTATAATTATTGGGAATACAAAAAAAGTGATTTTATTATCATAGTAAGTAGAAACAAAGTACAGTAAACTGTCATTTAAGACAGTGTCATAGAATCTATGATAAGCAGTACATTGGCTTAAACTAATGCACTATATGCCCCCAGGGAATGATAGGCATAGACACTGGACTTTAACATCAAAATCTATCCATTAATCTTGACTTAAATACAATCTATTCTGCAGTAAAAGGAAGAATGGGCATTCAATGAATTACTGTTTTTGAAATACTGCACTGGTGCCCATTTACTAAAATTACTTAAGAGAACACAGGATATGGAATAGTAGTAAATTTTACAGATTTACTGATTTTACAAAACATGCATTTGAATTTCCCCAAATCTAGCAAGAGCATCCCATTAAAAAAATTTACAGATTTAAAAGGTTTCTTAAAATATCTCTTCCTTATCCTATTTAAGAACATGCTGCATAAATTATAATACTGCAATATAATTTAGTCAACTTCATTTCAGCTGAAAAGAAAGAATCATCTATGGGGTCAGAATCCCTGGAGTCTGAAAATAAGCATTAATTTTTTTTTCAGGTTGTAGATCATTGTTTCTTTGCAACAAAACTACACAACTGCTTGCTGATAAAGCTGACCAAGAAAACAGAAAGGCCAAGGAGTGTTTATATAAATATCAGCGCATACAATATTTCATAAAAAAGGAAACAACCCTCACATTAAAAAAAATCCAACCAGAGGGAATTCAATGAGTGAGATAATCATACACGACTGAAATAGTTATGAGCTACTCACTTAAATGATAAATCTGGCATTTAACCTTAAGATGTGCTGACTAATTTATCTTTAGTGGATTATTTTAGCACTTGTGTTATGCAGAAAGTTAATTTACATTTCTATACTAATATCGTTTATATGTATTCAGATGGTATTTGGGAATCCTAAAAAGCAAAGTGTAAATTAAACCAAATTTATAACCTTATCTGACATGTGAATTGTGACGATTTTATCCACTTCACCTCAATTAAATTATGAAGATAAAAAATTCCTTATTTTCATCTAATAAAAAAATAAGGCAAAACTGACTTTTGCTCTGCAATAATCTGATGGGCTAAAAATAGATAATGGCATGTTAATAAGGAATTACTACAGGTGGTTGCTTATATTCATTTGCCTTCTTTTTTGATAGTAGTTACATGCTAAATAAGTCAACATTCTTAGCAAGAGAGTAAGTAAATGTAGAAACATCAGTTCTGCAACAGCTATTTTTGCTTCTTCTCTTTTCTGAACAGCAATTAGTAAAGCAACCCCTTCCCCTCCTCCCTAGTGCTGTCAAGCTGTTCAGAGCAGTTTGCAACTCGACAATGGTACCATTGTGAATGCTCTCTGGGCTTCCTTCCCACAGAGAGTTAAATGGGCAGTTCCTGCTGCCCATGATTGGTGTCCAGTGAAATAATACTCAAGAGCCAGGTTTTATCAGCTTCACGCCAAAGAAGTGAAGCCAGGGAACCCAAGCCTTCATATCATACTGGACCATATGCCAACCCTGATGGCCCCAAAGGTTTATCACTAAGAATCAGGATCCATCATGTCCCTTGTGAAATTTCACTTCACATACCTTATGTGAAATGCAAAGCTTCACTAAAAACTGAACCTTCTTTACAATTGGCATGAACAGATGGGCGGTAACAGTGGTTTGGCAAGCAAAAGTTAAGATTTAAATAGGCTCTATTCTAGTGTTTGAGAGGAATAGCAGTTAGAAGAAAATGGATAGATTTGTGACCCATACTTTAATTTTAATTCCATTATTATTAAAAATTTAATATCAAAAGGCCTATGTTTAGTCAATGAAAAGAATGAATGAAAACCACTTCAATTCCTATGTCAAATATGTTTAAAGACTAATTTCTGCTTTACATCCTTTCTTCTTTGCTCTTTGAAATCCCGAAATAGCATCTGAATCTACAGTTGTTTTCATATTTAAAGAGTAGAATAAAAGTTGTACATTATGTAGTAGGTGTGGTGAACAATAATGTGAGTGGAGCAGTGCACAGTCATCACAAACTGCAACATCATAGGGTTTTAATACAGGAAAAAAAAAAATCCCTATTCCAGCACAGGTGAGAAGTTGATAAAGATAGAAGCAAACTTCAAGTTTCGTTGTTTTTAGGGAATACTGTACTTTGTCCGTGCCCTGATGGAGTTCTCTTTCTTCTCGTGCACTGTGATATGACCCAACTGTCCAGATTGGCATATGTGGACCATACTGTTACACTAAATTTGACAAAACAGATAAGATGGTGGTAATGCTTTCTTTTGGTATTTTTGTCGTTGTTGCCATGAAGTCAATGTATTATAAGACTAGGACAAAAGTACTTTATTCATCAATAACGTGTAAAAGTGTAATAATGTGTAAAAACTCAATAATTGTATAAAAGTATCTCATAGGAAAAGTGTAAAGGATTGTTGTGCAAGAATGAAGAGTATCATGAGTCTATCATAAGAAATATGAAAATCTCAGATGCTCTTTTAAAAATGATACATATGTATAAATACTATCAAACATTTAGAGATCTTAGTCTCATTGAGAAAATGCAATACTGGCTATTAGCCTGGCAATTATTGCTCAACTAATTATCATAAAAAAGACTTTATGAAAATAACGATCAATAAACATTTTGGAAAGGCTTCGCTAGAAAATGAAAAATAAGAAATTCAAGCTGTAATTGTTTCGCTAGTCAACGGGTAAAAAACACACAATAGCAGAAGGAACTGTTACCTTAGACACTGGCTGCCATAAAACAATCAGTAGCATTAGAAAACCACATTTATGTTTATTTTCTTTCTGCTTGACTGTATTATCTGGTTTTGACCTACTTCTTGATCTTTATCTGCCACTGCTCTTCCCTTTATATCATCCAGCAGTACTGAACACCTTTTATCTCTTGACCATATCACATTTTTATGCCTCCATGTCCACTTCTTACCCTTAAAAAATTCTTCCCTGACCATATCTGTCTAGAAAAGTTCCATGTGTCTCTGAAATATTAGCAGAATTCTTCCATAGTAAAGCCATTCCTCTAATTTCCATCCCATCCTCTCACCCTATCCTCTCCCACTTAAAATTAATCACCTTTACCATCCTACTTGGTCTATATCACTATTGCTGAATGACCCCAAATTGCTTAAGTTTATCATTAGTGCATTAAGTTCTTGGTAGAAGATAAAAATTGAAAATATCTCTAGAATTAAAACAATGTTAACAGAAATGGAAGTTGGCCATATACTGAAGTCATTTTTGTGAGCTCCCACAGTTTAACTGTAAGTAATTATTGGTCAATATTAGTAAAACCTTAAAGACTGTCTCTAGAGACCATTAAGAGACAATGCTATTTTCAGACAGAATAAACTTTCTTTACTATTATCACAAAGTTATTACATATCAGAGATTCACATTTATTGCTTTTTGAAAGGACAAGGATTTGCTAGACCAAAACTACCATCTTTAAAGGTATGCAGTACTTTTAAAATACGGTAACATCGCAGGGCGTGGTGGCTCACACCTGTAATCCCAGCACTTTGGGAGGCCGAGGCAGATGGATCACGAGGTCAGGAGTTTGAGACCAGCCTGGCCAACATGGTGAAACCCTGTCACTACTAAAAATACAAAATTAGCTGGGCGTGGTGGCAGGCACCTGTAATCCCAGCTACTTGGGAGGCTGAGGCAGGAGAAACGCTTGAAACTGGAAAGTGGAGGTTGCAGTGAGCCGAGATGGCGCCACTGCACTCCAGCCTGGGGGAAACAGCAAAACTCTGTCTCAAAAAAAAAAAAAAAAAAAAAAAAAATACAGTAACATCATCAACAGGCATATACTGCCATTTTTGAAAAGAATAGCTAAATAAATTAAAACTGACATAATCAAAAATATACTAGAGTCACTGTAGAAGTGTGGCACATATATGGGGCCCCTGTTTAAATAATTACTCTGTATACACAGACTACAAAGACTACAAGACTTGGCAGCAAAATCCATGACAAGGGGATGTGTAAGCACAGCAAAAAATTCTTTAATTGTAATGCCATGTCTTTAATATAGGAGTTTTTTTTTTTTTTTTTTTTTTTTTTGAGACAGAGTCTTACACTGTTGCCCAGGCTGGAGTGCAGTGGTGCAATCTGGGCTCACTGCAACCTCTGGGTTCAAGCAATTCTCATCCCTCAAGCCTCCTGAGTAGCTGGGATTACAGGCGTGTGCCATCATGCCTGGCTAATTTTTTGTATTTTTAGTAGAGACAGGGTTTCACTATATAGCCCAGGCTCGTCTTGAACTCCTGGCCTCAAGTGATCTGCCCACCTTGACCTCCCAAAGTGCTGGTATTACAGGTGTGTACCTGTAATACCTAGTTACAGCCACCGCGGCTGGCTGAATACAGGAGATTTAAATCCTTCAATTATGGAGCAGATTGTTAGGTAAAGAAGAATGTTTGTCTGCTCTTGGAGAGATCCTACTACAATGGTTAGTACCAGTAGCACAATGGCTGTGAGCTTTTCAAAGACCACAAAACCTGGATCACTTAGCTGGTAAGACATTTTATTTGAAGAATTATCTTCTCTTCTTTTGAAGAGAATGACCATAACTATACATCTTAGTTAAAAATCAATTTGACTTAACAACTAATCAATTTGATTTAACAACTAATCAATTTGTCCATGATATTTAAGACCTTCATAGAAAGCATGAAGAACAAATGGCACAAAATTTTGAGAGCTCCTAATGGACTCAGTAACATAGGTGGTACAAATGTTAAAGCAGCAAAATTGGAAACCTCATCAGCGTCTAGACTCCCATTGCTTCCCCCTACTGCTCTCCTGTTGCTACCACTTTCCTTGCCTTACAGCAGGAAGTGTGAGCCTTCAGGGCTCAGCCTCATGCTGCCTCCTCCTTGGAGGGGACACCAAGATGTGTCCTCCCCAAGTCATCTGCCACTGCCATCAAGTCAGAGATGTCTTAGCTCATTTTTCTCCCTAAGAGATCTCCCAACCCCAAATGAAGTGAAAACCCTCATTAATGAATGACGTCTGAAAATTATCTTCAGTAAACTATAATGGGCTCTAATAAAAATATACTACTGATTAAGTAGTCAAAATAAAAAACCCTTGTATGTGTGCTAGCCTGGCTTATTGATGTATCAGAGGCAATTTTCACTGATCCTAGGTTTCCTCTTCTTACCTACCCAGTAAACTCTTAAGAGTTGTAGCCTAGTCTAATACAAATCACAAACTATAAGTTACTACAAAAAATATTTGGGGCTTTTCCATTCTTAAAAGAATCCATGGCCGGGCGTGGTGGCTCACACCTGTAATCCCAGCACTTTGGGAGGCTGAGGTGGGCGGATCACGAGTTCAGGAGATCGAGACCATCCTGGCTAACACGGTGAAACCCCATCTCTACTAAAAATACAAAAAATTAGCTGGGCGTGGTGGCATGCACCTGTAGTCCCAGCGACTCGGGAGGCTGAGGCAGGAGAACTGCTTGAACCCAGGAGGTGGAGCTTGCAGTGAGCTGAGATAGCACCACTGTACTCCAGCCTGGGCAACAGAGCGAGAGTCCGTCTCAAAAAAAAAAAAAAAAAAAAAAAAAAAAGAATCCATGCTAAATCTAAACTTCAAAAAGATAGATAATAAATACATCCACCTTGTTCTAATTAGAATAAATTACTAGCCATCTACCATAGGCTAGGCACTGTGCTGGAAGTTAGTGAAACAAGGAGGGTAAGTAAGACTTGCTAATATATACACACACAGTAAGTACTATAACAAAATGTTTTGAGGCAGTGTAAATAATAGTTTTACATAGTAAAGGAGGTTTTTTTTCTTTTAAAACAAAGGATATTTGGGTCATGAATAATAAATATGTTAGGTAGAAAAAGTAGAGATGGGCATTACTGGGGTAACAACATGGGCCTGAAAAAGAAGAGCATTCAGGAATAATGAATATGACTTAGCTGGACACATAAGGTGCCCTGGGCGTCAGTGTGGTAGGAGATGAGGGTAAAGATGGGGGATGGAGCTGGGGAGGAGTACAGGTATATTGGACAAAACTGCAGTGAGAAACATAAGGGTAGGGAGGGTAAGGTAAAAATAATTGCTTCCAGGTCATCAAAAAATTTACACTTGTTTCAATAAGCAGTTAAGAGCCATCTTAAGTCTTTTAGTATACAGATGTTTCTTGACTTACAATGGGCTTACATTCCAAAATACTCATCATAAATTGAAAATGCATTTAATACACCTAACTTACTGAACATTATAACTTACCCGAATTATAAGGAATATAACTTATCGTCCACTTTAAATGTTCTTGGAACACTTACACTAGCCTGCAGTTGGGTAAAATCATCTAATGCAAAGCCTATATTTTCTTGAGATGGAGTTTCTCTCTTGTCGCCCAGGCTGGAGTGCAATGGTATGATCTCGGCTCAGTGCAACCTCTGCCTCCCAGGTTCAAGCAATTCTCCTGAATTTTGAATCAAAATTCAAAATTCTAAGTACGATTTCTACTGAACAGTGTATTGCTTTTGTACCATCATAAAGCTGAACCATCCTAAACTGAGGACTGTCTGTACTTAGGTTTGCATTTTAGAAGAATATCCCAAGTGTCAATGTAGATGATAATAACGATAGCATCATTAACTCCCATGTAGCTACCATTTTCTGAACTCTTGCTACATGACAGATAGGTTACCTAGTGCTTCATGTGGATAATTTTACTTAATCCTTACATCATCCTGAATTTGGTACTATTATCCTCTTTTTACACATTAAATTAAGGATAACCCATACTTATTGATGTTATCTTCTGAGAAAATAATCTACAAAAGACAGTAGATACATAAAATTACATAGTTTCTCAATAAACTCATTTTCTTCTAACGTGAAATGGCAACAATACTGACAGACCCCCCCAAAAGGTTTTATAATGTTTTATTATAACGAAAGGCAACTGCATTAGCAGAACCAATCAATTCATCAATTCCATTCCACTTAGTTTTGGCTTTCCTACTTTGCAACAGGTACTGGACATTTGAGTAGCAGAGCTTGAGGGAGAATAAACTGTAACTAATTGAAGAATAATCACTGACTTCTGGTAATCTCCCTGATCAAGTTAAATAGAAACCCAATTCTGGTATTTAAGAAAAAGTCAAATCTAAACAGATTAGAAGAAATCAAACGATACTAGTTGTGGTAGGAAAGAATATTCTAAATCGAGGAATAAAGTATTCTTTTAAAATGCCATTTAATTATATAATATCCCCCATACTGTATATTTCAGAATATTATACTTCTATAATATACATATATGCATACAAAACCTTAGGACTATAAATTACAAGAATTAAAACAGACATGTTGCATTCCATCTACTCAAACCCCACCTTCTGAGGCCCAGATTTTCTAAACACTCTTTCCTGATCTTCTTACTCCAAAGTAATTTCTTCACCCTTGGAACTCTTATAGCATTTTATCTATAACCCTACCAGGACATTTTCATTTAGTCTTCTATTATAATTAGTAATTACATATTATTCTCTCCTTGTTAAATTATAAGCTTATGAGGACAGGATTACTATCTGATTTGTCTTTGTATCCCTCTCAAAATCTTTACTGTGTAAGTGATCAATAAATATTTTTGAAGGAAGAAAAACTACAATTCTATTTCTTGACTTGTTGATAGTTAAACTGTAATAATTCATTACCTAGTACATTTATGATTTATGTATTTTCTCAAATTATAATTTGTAATAAGGATAAAAAGAAAAGAAAAACAGGATATGTTGGTTAATTTTATGTAAACTTGGCTGGGTCATGGGACCCAGTTTTTGGTCAAACATCAGTCTAGATGCTACTGTTATATTTTATAATATTAATATAATATATAACATATATTATACTCTTAATTACTGTACAATACTGTTATATTTATACTGTTACAGTTATATTTTAGATTTGATTACCATTTAAATCAGTAGACTTTGGGTAAAGCAGATTACCCTCTATAATGTGGGTGGGCCTCATCCAATCAGTTAAATACTTTAAGAGAAAACACTGAGGTCCCCTGAGGAAGGAGAGAATTCTGCCTTCAGACTCAGACTGCAACATCAACTCTTCCCCGAGTCTCCTACAGATTTCGAACTTGCCAGCGCCCACAACTACATGAACAAATTCCTTAAAACAAATCTCTTTTCTCTCTCTTTATATATACATCCTATTGGTTCTGTTTCTCTGAGAACCCTCACTACTACAACATGATTATATATTGTAAATTCTGCAAATTTCTATGTATAATAAATCTCACTAAAAGAAGAAACAGTATTTACCTAAAAGTATCATATTTAACATTTGTATATTCAGAAGTCATAGTCAAAATGTCTTTAGGATCAAAAGAAATAATTGCTTTAAAATTTTTATTTAAGGAATAGAATCATGATGGCTGAGGTCATGAAATTAATAATTTGGGATTATGATTCCCACTGAAAAAACAGAAACAAAAAAACCATGAACACTCTTTCAATAGGTAACTAATAAACGATGGCTAGGATTAAAGCTGAAATACCTCTCTGGTCCAATGGTTACACAGAATCTGCTTGGTTTTCCTCCACAGTGTTGCATTTCAATTCTAATTGCATGATTAAACTAACAAATTGAGCTCCAGACCCCTCCCCTGCCTGAAAAAAAAAGTACCTAGCTGACAAAATCAGAAGTTGTAAGAAAATGCTTTTCCAGTACAAGTAATGTAAGAAACAAGTGCAGCGAAGGAGAGGTTTCAGCTTGAAAGACAGTCATCAATACGGACAGATTACTGTAATTCTGGCTGCTGGTATGATCGATTTGGGTAGCATATGACAATCAATACTGTCCCCATTTAGTGAACAACATTAGATTCATGGTTTCAGAACATGTTCCTAGGATAAAATTTAAACTGTATTTAATGATCATAAATAGCACAATTTATGCTTTGGAATCTTAGTGAGTACTTTTATTGGGCATAAAATAACTGACACAGCAGTACAATTATCCAAATATAATCAAGCTTATTATTTTTTATCCCTTCATTTCTTTTATGAAGAGTAAAGGATTAACTGGTGGTTTCCAAAGCCTACCTGTATCTCAATTTCTGTTGTAATTTATGTTAACTAAATTGTTGACCAATTTTAAAATGCTTGATTTTTTCCTTAATGAGAACGTAATCTGATATTTCAAAAAGGTACATCTTAAAATTTAATACATTATGTTTCTGAAATAAGTATTTATTTAAAATTAAGACAGATGTACCTGTATTTCAATATCTTAAAATACAAATGTCTAGTTGTAGTTTATTATATAAATGTTCATTTGAAAATCAAGTAATCCACCTGTATGAAGTCATTTCCCCCCAACATTTAGAATATAGAACTTTGTACATTATATATATATATATATTTGTACTATATATATATATATTTGTACTATATATATATGCATATGTATGTATGTATTAAGTAGAGATACTATACTACTAGCCTTTGCTGCATGTATATACATACTACACTAGGTATATATACTACACTCAGGTAGCATAGGAAAACAACTTCCTGTAGTTTCTAAACTCAAGATTCCAAGTCAAGAAAAATTTGTTTGATCTACCTGATTTAATGTATTTACTCTGTGTCCCAGAAGTAATTTTGCTGGTAGAAAACTTCAGATTTTCTGTTTAAATAAAGTATTCATGTTTACTATTTTCATCAATTTTCTCCAATGTGGTATCTATTAACATCTTAGCAAGATTGGCTATTAAAAACATGATGAAGTAGGCCTGAAAAATCCAACCCAATCGATCAACCTACCAATCAACCAAACATAAAAATCCAATTAGGCAATTCCTTGGTGTTGGGTAGACTTGTTTTATATTGACTGTAATCTTTACACATAACAGGATTAATCATTGCACAAAATAATGTAACTTATTATTATATCTACTAAGTACATCCAAGTTCATTATCTCATTTAATCTTTACAACAATTCTGAGATGGTTATTAGCATCTTTTTTACTGCTGAAGAAAGTGAGGTTCAGAGATTCTGTGACTTGGCCAAGATCACAAGGCAGAGCTTGAGTTAAAAATTAATGCTTTCTAACTGCAAAGCCAGCTTTTATATACCTTTAGTGTAACATGAAGTCTGAAATAGAAGACTATGAACAGGGATGTAGAAAAAAAAATTAAGCCATATTCCCAAAACTCTTGAGTTTGCATTTTAAAACTACTTGGTAAGGAGTGCATCTTAAATGTTGTTGTACCTCATGTCAGAAAGTTTGTGCTTGCTCAATAAGTTGAGTTCCTATTTTATGACACAAGAGGCAAATAGAGTTTTGCATTACAATCTAATTGATCTCACCACTTTCCAAAAAGACCTAAGACATTTATTTACACAAGAAAGTACAAACTCTTCCATATCTACCTCTATGCTCCACTTTCAATTGCACCTTTAATGAAATGACAGAGGACACTCTCAGAATGGACATTAGGATATAGTGAACTGTGAAAGAGGCAAAGGTCAGAGAGTAAACATCCTTGATGAAGCTAACAGAGTGGATAAAATTTATGGGTAATAACCTGTATATTACATGTTAGATTAGCTACTGTTCTAGAGATATTCAGGAGACAACAAACTGAAAAGTATATGCCAATAAACAGATTAAAACTACAAAGCTTTTATGGAAGTACAGGTTGAGTATCCCTAAGCTGAAAATCTGAAATCTAAAATGCTCCAAAATCTGAAACTTTTGAGCTCTGACATGACACTCAAAGGAAACATTCATTGAAGAATTTCAGATTTCAGGTATTCAGATTAGAAATGTTCAATTAATTGGTAAGTATAATGAAATTTTCCAAAATCCAAAAAAATCTGAAATCTGAAACATTTCTGGTCTCAAGAATTTCAGAGAAGGGATATTCAACCTGTATTACAATGAGATAAAAATCAGAATAATAAAAATTTAGAAAAAGTAGACTAGGAAAGTGAGAATTTGTCAGTAAGCATCTTGTTTTGTTTAAAGGAAAAAGATACTGTATCTAGGGAATGAAGCCGTAATTCCTAAAAAAGGCACATGGTATGTGTGGACCTTATAAATGGTAAGCTGTGAGTATGGGTTTCACAAATCATTCTCCCCATAGTTTATTCACATCTGGGGAAAAGACTCAAGATTCCAGGCCCCAAAGGTAAAGGAAATGAAACTGATTGCTGGCTGAGCTCAGCAGGGTTCACAAAAACTCAAGGGTCTTCTTGAATAGTTCCTCCTAATGCTTCAAACAATCAACAGACAATATAGTCTTCAAAACAATCTTCAGAAACAATCAACAGACTGTATAGTCAAAGACAAGTGACTTAGAAATAAACTCGCCATGTCCATACTACTCACTGAACTTGCCTACCGAAATTTCTTTTCAATTGATAAATCTCTACTTAGTGGATGTCTCCAAATTATACTTTTGTTAACAATTCAAGGCTCATTTTAGTCATTATGATTTCACTAAAATGACTACTTCAAATATGAGTTTTCAGTTTAAAGTAAGTGAAGATATAAATGCTATGAAAAAGAAATACTACAGAAATGTCATTAAGCTTAATCAATGTAACATACCATGATCCACCTGCAATTCCATTTCACTGTGTCAGAATACATGAGAAATTACAGAGTAATCAGATAGCTTAAGTCAATTTTCGTCAAAAGAAGAAAATGTACGTGGTAAACTACCAAGTTAAGATAATAAATCTATTTCATGTGGACTGGAACATAAGATATTTTTAAAAACTTTCCTTTAAAGCTTATCATTTACAGTTTATTATATAAAAAATAAAATGTTTTAAATCATATAGAAAAATTATATGAAAAACATAAATTTATTTTAGAAAGGAATATCAGAAAACAATTTAAATTTAAAACTTTGTGTATGTTGTGTGCCAGGCACTGTTTTAAGAGCTTTACACATATTGACTCATTATTAGTTGTCATAACACCATGAGCTAGATATTATTATCATTCTCATTTTATAGACAAGAAAACTCAGGCTCAAAAAGGTTAAATAATTTTCCCAAGTCTACACAGCTAAGAAAGCATGGCCAGCATTTGAGTTTAGGCAATCTGGCTCTGGAAGTTATGCTCTTAAACATTCCCCATCTTCTCATACCTCCATGTCTCTGATTATGTTGTTCCCTCTGCTTGGAAGGCTCTTTGGCTCTTCCACCTGATTAACTCTTATTTGTCCTTCAAAATTGGTTCAATCCTCACTGTTTCAGAAGTGTTTCCTGACAACACCACTCCATCCAGGTGAGTGAGAGACCCCTTGTTACTATATTTCTGGAATACCTGCCCATATCTCTATTAACAACATGTACGCTGAATACAGTATGTTTCCCCAACTAGATTGAATTATTTGCAATGACTATTTTGATTACTTCTGCAACTCCAGAGTCGTAGAGTACCTGACACATAATGGGACTCTAATTAACCAAAAGATTAGTACTGATTAAAAGTATATAAAAGAGGGCTGGGTGCAGTGGCTCAGGTCTGTAATCCCAGCACTTTGGGAGGCCGAGGCGGGCGGATCACCCGAGGTCAGGAGTTCGAGACCAGCCTGGCCAACATGGTAAAACCCTGTCTCTACTAAAAATACAAAAATTAGCTGGGTGTGGTGGTGGATGCCTGTAATCCCAGCTAATTGGGAAGCTGAGGCAGAAGAATTGCTTGAACCCCAGAGTCGGAGGTTGCAGTGAGCTGAGATCGTGCCACTGCACTCCAGCCTGGGTGACAAAAGTGAGACTCCATCTCAAAAAAAAAAAAAAAGCATGTGAAAGAAAATATATCATTCAAATATAACTGCTCCAACACTGGGGAGGAACTGAACCATCTATACATCAATAAACAGGGAATCAGGCTGGGTGCAGTGGCTCACACCTGTAATCTCAGCACTTTAGGAGGCTGACCAAGGTGGGACAATCATTTGAGCCCAGGAGTTTGAGACAATCCCGGGAAACATAATGATACTCCATTTCTACAAAAAATAATAATTAAAAAAACCCTAGAAAATAAAAGGCTTTAACAATATATAAGAAATATTTACCTTTGTGAGTAGACATACGTTAGAGTAGAAACCATTACATTAAAAAAAGGATACAAGTTTTGATACAATGGAATCAGAGATTTCAGAGCACGGCTTGCATTTATAGCTGTTGCTCTAACCATAATGGGTAGAACCTTTCCATTCACAATAGCACCATCAAAAAGGGGACCAAAGAAGGGAACCTGATTGAGAAATCAGAACATAATTTTACATTCAAATTACAGACAGATTGTAAATAAGAGCAATCAAGACACTTTGCATCCAAAAGTATTTCTGCTGCTTCTTTAGTTCTTCCTTCAGTAAAAATACTATTTGAATTCAATTCTTTTCTGTGATGGGTCACTCATACTAGGACAATAAAAATGTCAAAGGTTTATAGGGTGTCTATTCAAAAGAACTATGTGCTTCATGTAACTGAGTAAATAATTTACACACTTAGCCAATTTCCAAATTTTACTAGTTTCAATTGTATACAAAAAGCCAACACTAGAAGTAAATTTCCTTTTCTCCATTGAGTGAACAAAAGAAAAATATATACTTATAGGCAAGAAGTTAGTTTTTCATTATTTTTGTGACACTAGCTTTACTACAGAACCTAAAACCCTTATTACACAGTTTATTAGAAAAAATATCTATGTTTTGATAATTAAATGTTATTTTTTTGAGGTGACTCACTCATGGTTTCAAAACTTAGAAATTCTGTTTGAATAAGGTTGGCATAAATGGCAGCTGAAGGCAAGGAGGTAAGCTCTGGATAAGATGGTAAATATTTTAGATTTTGTGGTCACATGTTCTCTCTGTTGTATATTCTTCAATTTTTTTTTTTTTTAATTCTTTAAGGCTGGGCGTGGTGGCTCATGCCTGTAATCCCAGCACTTTGGGAGGCCAGATCACCTGAAGTCAAGAGTTCGAGACCAGCCTGACCAAGATGGTGAAAACCTGTCTCTACTAAAAATAGAAAAATCAGCTGGGCATGGCGGCAGGCACCTGTAGTACCAGCTACTCGGGAGGCTGAGACAGGGAATTGCTTGAACCCGGGAGGCGGAGGTTGCAGTGAGCCGAGATTGCGCCACCGCACTCCAGCCTGGGTGACAGAGCGAGAGCCAGACTCCGTCTCAAAAAAACCAAAAACCAAAACAAAACCACCACCACCACCACCACCACCAACAAAATGTCTTTTTAAAAATGTAAAAAAACCCAAAACCAAAACCGAAATATTCTTAGCTTGTGGGTTGTATGAAACCAGGCTATGGGCCACAGTCTGCTGGCCTCTGGTTTAGGTGAACCCTGAAGAAACCTAAATTCACACATAAGAAATTCATACATGAGAAACTTAATCTAATTCAAGGAATTCTGAAGATTCTTAATCAATTGTCAAATGTAGGTTTTCTAGAAACTGAAGAATTCAGTTTAAAAAAGGGAAGGAACACACCAAAAATACTACCAAACTTTTATTATCCTGGAAGAAAATATTTCTGCAATAGTGTGTTTGAATTCTATGGTGTATATATAAGACATCCAACTATAGGATAGGTGACTGAACCATTTGGCTTATTTTTTTTCAATTTGTAGAATCCTCATTTATTGACATGACTAATAATCATGCAATCTTAATAAGATATATCAACTAAAAATATAGGAATCATATAGTCCTATTATAAAGTAAATGATTACTTCTTACTGTGATTTTTAGGAAATTGTAATTGTTCTCTTAATAAAAGGTAAGTCCTTTTTGAGCTTGGTACACAGGAACTTTCACTCTGGCACTACCTAGCCAAATCCTCCATTTAAACACAGTTTCTTGCTATTTATTCTGTTTTAGCTCCTTCTGAACCAGGCTTAGGCAATCCATGTAGCTACCAGGGTCTATGTAACATTTACCCTCAGTTTCACAACTTGATGCCTACTCCAAATTTTATTCTGTAACATGGAAAGAAACCCATGAACCCCTATAGAACCAAAATCTATTACTAAAATGGAAGATAAGGAGTTCTTACCTCTGGTTTTTTCATTATCTGAATACTGAACATGTGATTTTTCATTGGATATATTACAATAAGGACATCACCAAATTCTGTGGGAATAATTCCTCTCCTGTAGTCTCTAGTATGCTCTGACCAAACAATGTGCACTTCATCATTTCCCAAATGTCTCAACTGGAAAGACAAGAAAACAATTTATACTGCTTTAAAAGCTCTTTGAGTACAGTCATACAGTCACATACAACATAAAAAGGGGAAAAACGAAATTAAAAAATTGTTAAATTGCACTTGATCAGTTTTACATATGAAACACAAACACTCAAAAACATCAGGAGACACTGCAGAAGACCAGACAATTTCAATTGTCAATAATCAATGGGTAACAGAGAACTTAGATTTAAAAAGATTCACATATAGCCCAAATACTCTCCTTAACCAGCAACTGCACCAATTCTCCACTAACAGATCTTTTAAAAGATTGTTTTAAAAAAAGAAGTAAGTAACTCATAAATTGGATAATCCCCAGTTGAGTAAGAGAAAGTTGATTATGTTTCGTTTAACGAATTTATTTCCAGGTTTTCTTTGCCCATGAAACTCAAAAATTCTTCCAAATAGATGTCTTGAGAATTGTTAGACCCTCAAGACGTTATTTAAATGTTTGTGGGGTTTGCTTACAAAGGTGTTTCTGGCAATCAGAGAGAGTTAACATTATGATAATTAAAACTGTAAAAACACAAAACATTCAGAAGTTGGATTTCTAATAAGGTGTTAAAAAAATGAACTTAATGCCCTTTAGTCTTAAGTTTTCTTCATAGAGACTGCTATAATGCATTTTATTATAAAATTTCATTATACTAGTACGTTTATTGATTCTGCCACTGTGAGCATTTGAGTTGACTTTTAGTGCAGATCTTACATGGGATTTCCATTAGTTTCAGATAACTAGACACACGGCAGGTGGAAAGGTTTAGAAGAGTAAACCTGGGATAACTGTCATCAATATTTACGCTATCAGCTAACATACGGGCAATTTCTATCTCAGAAATATGTCATTTATTTTGGCTTAAGGATGAACATAGGGTAGGAAAAAGAACTTAATATCTGATTTAAACAAAGAAAGGAGTTAAGTCCAATTAGTGAAAGCCTCTCTTCTGTCACTCCTTAATCCTGGAGTAACTCCTTATATGCATACACAAGTTGAATAATATAAATGTGTGGGACTTGGGCTTTGTGACATTTTTAAAAAGCAAAAAAGATTACACAACTCAGAAAAGCCATGGCTTCATAATTTCATTTTTTAATCAAAATACTTTAAAAATATCCTTCCTATACAGCCATCCCCATGTGTCAGCTTCCCTAATAGGTTTATGTTAACTGAATACAAAAGAAATGTGAAATAAATTTAACCAGGAGGGATGATCCAATCTAATTTTGATACATTAATGTCATATGCTGTACATGTTACAATAGCAGCCAGATCTAATACTAAGCTCCAGGCTATACTGAGATTTCCAAATGGCAGATTGTTCTAAGTGATATCAAGTATAATTGAAGTAATAAACGATAGTAAAAGCTGAGCACACTGTCAGGAAGAATTTAGGTATTTACTTTTTAAAATTAAATGAGTTAGGTAAGGAAAGACAAGACAACTGAAATAATGCAGGTCTCAATTTACAGAAAATTCCTTTTATTTATCTGCTACATTAACCCTTGAACTCTTGCCAAAACTATCTATAATTTCTAGTGCCCACTTATCTAAAGAAACGAGAAAAAAGGGCAAGTATACTTTTATTTTATAACTGAAGCTTGTTCAAATATCTTCTGTATAGTATTAAAAGTCTGTTAAATAAGTTTAATGGAAAAGAACAACATATTTTTGCCAAGCTGTTGTAATGAAGATTTCTGGCACAGAACCATGTACATAACAAAGTCATTCTAAACATGTTCAAACATTTTAAGCGAAAAGCTTCATGAAATCCCTTATCATTTACATTCAAATGCTAAATAAGTAATTATTTTAGGCTGTCATAATGAGATATGACATTATGATATATCTTCTTCAAGATATGTTTTTATATCTTTAAAATCTCTTACATAGTAATTAGACACAAATTGAGAAATTGCTAATCATTGCTATGTGTCTTGGGAATTTTTGAAAGACTACTGAAAAAATCAATTTTTAATGGTTAAGCATTAATAGAAATTTCAGGCATATGTATGTTTGACAAACTTTATATATTATTTAATATTGATTTTATTTATTCCTTATCTCTATGGACTTACAAGATTGTGTCCTATGGAGCAGGGTGTGGTGGCTCACACTTGCAATCCGAGCACTCTGGGAGGCTAAGGCGGGCGAATCACCTGAGGTCAGGAGTTTTGAGACTAGCCTGGCCAACATGGTGAAACCCCATCTCTACTAAAAATACAAAAATTAGACAGGTGTGGTGGCATACACCTGTAATCCCAGCTACTCAGGAGGCTGAGGAGGGAGGATTCCTTGAACCTGGGAGGCAGAAGTTGCAGAGACCTGAGATCATGCCACTGCACTCCAGCCTGTGCGACACAGTGAGACTCCATCTCAAAGAAAAAAAAAAAAAGATTGTATAACCAGTAGGTTTTGCTATACTCTAAAACCACCAAAGAAGTTCCTATCTACATGTTTATTGACCCAGATGCTAATTCATTTCTGAAATAGAGTAGAAGACTTCTGTACATGGGATAGGTCTGTTAAAACGATTGGCAACCAAACTACTCTTCTAAATTTCTTTCAACTGCTACTGAAGTCATTTTGGAACTCAAGGTATATAACATAGGCTACAGATGACTATTATTACTTGAAGAAGACAAAGCAGCTAAATGAAATTTAACATGTGTACAAGTGAAGTCCTCAAATACACTAGAATGTTAATACTGGAAGAGACCTTAAAGTTCTAATTTCCCACCTGATACAGGAGCTTGTGCCACCATATGCCTGATAAGTAGACATCCTGCCTCGGCTTGAATACTTCTAAGGTTGGGGATTTTATGAATTCACAAATCAACCCATTTCTTATTTATTTATTTTGAGATGGAGTTTTGCTCTTGTTGCCCAGGCTGGAGTGCAATGGTGCAACCTTGGCTCACTGCAACCTCCGCCTCCCAGGTTCAAGCGATTATCTTGCCTCAGCTTCCCAAGTAGCTGGGATTACAGGCTCCCACCCCCACGCCCAGCTAATTTTTTATTTTTAGTAGAGATGGGGTTTCACCATGTTGGCCAGGCTGGTCTCGAACTCCTGACCTCAGGTGATCCACCTGCCTCAGCCTCCCAAAGTGCTGGGATTACAGGCGTGAGCCACCGTGCCTGGCCCCCATTTCATTTTTAAAGAGCTACAATCATTAGAACATCTTAATACTAAGCTAAAAACTGCCTTCTGGATGCTAGCTCTTCCAAAATGAGCCTTACCAAATAAATCCAATCTGTATTCTATATATTTTCTGTTATCTGAAGATCAGTCTAATATATATCTTACCTTTCCTTTTCCAGGTTAAAAGTGTTCTTCTTAGCTCCTCTTACAGTTTACAAACATATTCATTATCTTGGGTTATTGTCTCAGTTTACTAATATTTCTATTAAACTTGTGTATGGAATAGAATTACAGTATCAACACATGCTCTGGATAATACAGCAAACCCACAGTGGGGCTGTTTCTTCCTTCAGTCTGTTCAATAAATTACTTTCTGCATTTTAAAAATGATGGCTCAAATGGAACTTGTAGTCAGTTCAAGTTGCTAAGTCTTTTTCTTACAAAGTTCTTTTAAGCAGGTACAATTGACTGCTAGAACTAAAGAAGGGATTTCATAATTTTCCCTTGCCAGGTTCAGATTATCTTTAAGCTTATGAAGGTCTATTGTTAGCCTGACTATGCTATTCATGTGCTGGCTCTCTGCCAGATTTGGGCTATCCTTAAGTTCAAATTCCAGTGTCTTCATTTACATTTTGGACAAAAATGTCAAATGGGACAGGCTTGGTTAAGAGCCTTACAGCAAGTCATTACAGACTTTCCTCCTGGTTAAAAAAATCCACAAAACCCTATATTTATTAAAGGTATTTATTAAGTGCTTACTGCTTACTGTTTGTGACAATTCATTAAATTTCCACAACAACACTATGAAGTAGTAATAATTATTATTATCCCTATTTTTACAGGAGAGGAATTGAAGCTTAAAAGGATGAAGTAACTCGCCTAAGGTCATACAAATAGTAAGTGGCAGAGCCAGGATTCAAACCAAGGCAGGCTGGTTCTAGAACCTATACTGTAACCACCTCCCTATATTGTTTCTTGTTAAATAATTAATTTATGTGCTATGAATATGATTATACAATCACTCATGAATATACTTATCAAACTCTTATTAAGACCACATTTCTTCAACTTGTCCACAACAAGCAACTTAGTTAAATGCTTTATTGCAGTCTATGGTTTTCCCTAATCTAGTAATCCTATTAAAACAAATTAAGTTATTTTGATGTGATTTGTTATGGTGAACTCATGGTGGCTCCTAGTGATCACTACACTTCATTATCTAAGTGCTCACAAACCATCTGTTTAATAATCCTATTTTGCCAGGCACTGACATGAAGCTCACGAATGTTGGTTAATTTCTATAGTCTATGGCCTGCTCCATGTTCTTCTGTGAAAATCAGATGTTCACCCATTGCTACAGACTGAATGTTTGCATCCCATCCACCCCCCAAATTCATATTGTGAAATCCTAACCCCCCAGTGTGTTGGTATCGGAAGGTAGGGAACTCTGGGAGGTGATTATGTTATGCGGGCTCCTTTATAAGGGATTAATGTCCTTATAAAAGAGACCCCAGAGAGCTTACTTGACTCTTCTGCTATTATATATAAGGTTACAATGAGAAGATGGTCATCTGTGAACAAGGGAGTGGTCCCTCATCAGACAATGAATCTGTCAGCATCTTGATCTTAGATTTCTCAGCCCCCAGAACTGTGAGAAATAAATTTCTGTGGTTTATAAGCCATTCAGTCTATGGTATTTTTGTTATATCAGCCTGAATGGACTAAGACATTCATCTTATGGCAATGCACTCATTCTCCATGATTACCAACAGGAATTCCAGAGTCAATTCTAGATTTCCTCAGTGCCATATAATATCACTTATCTGGGGCTGGAGACTAGAATTCTTATAAAGTAACTGTATTATGTCTCTCACTAAATCAATTTATCTTCCTGACTTCTCCATTTCTGTTAAAAGTACCTAACAACTAATTATAATCACTCAGGATTAAAACCTGATTGTCTTTTAGTCTTTTTTGATTACTCTGTTTTCCTTACTACATTGCTAATGAGCTCTTCATTTTTTTAAAAAAGTATATTCCTTTTCTGTACTTTCCTTCCTATTCCTCTACTGCTGTCCTAGATCACATGCTACTCATCCTACATACCACACATACTAATTCATGAGGTCTTAAAAGTCTTTTTTCTCTTCCTTCCCTCCTCCATATCCACCTTCTTTCATTCATAACCAAATATTGAGAGCTGACCAAATGCTAGCTTTTGCAGATGCAACAATGAGTAAAAACAGACATGGTCTCTGCTAGCAAAGCTTTGTGTACAGTGGAGGAGACAGAGTAAAATAACCATACAATAAATAAATAAATAATTTAAAAATACAAATGATGCTCTAAATATACTTTTCTCAATACAAATAACAAAGGACATGGATCTATAATAGCTCTTGAACTAAAAGCTGAAGAACACACAGAAGTTAATTAGGTTACGCAATTACTTCAGGAGATAGGGGTATACGTGTAGAAACTGTAACTTAGTATTCTTACTGCCCCAAGTTCCCATTCTTTCCCCCATCTTTCAGGCACTCACACTTAGTAAAAAACACTCTATGATATAACCCTCAATCATGTGAGAAAACATGCTTTAATATACCTTCTAATAGTCACACATATTTTCCTACATTCACTTGCTGTTTAGATTATTCATTTTTAGCAATCAGGAAAAGTTTCTTGAAAACAACAGGCACAGCATCCAATACTATGCCTTAGCAGAGTGGGCATTCAATAAATACTGGTGACTATTAAAAAGATAATATAACAATACTTATCTTGCATTTTTTTCCTATCATTACCCAGTACATAGCATAAAAATAGAATTATCTGCAGTTATGGCATTTATTTAAATATGTCACTTTGATAAAGACAAAGGTGTCTATAGATAGTTCTTTTGATTTGTGGCTATGGTAGCTGTGGTAATTCACTGAAAAAACATTTGTTAAATGCCAACAGGCCTGGTACTAGGTGCTGGAGATACAGCAGTAAGCAAAAGAGACAAAGTCCTTGTTCTCATGACCTTGATATTCTAGTGGGAGGAGTCAGATAAACATATACAAAAATAAACAAGGTAAACTTACATGCTGATAAATCTATAAAGAAAATAATATAGGGTAATGTGATAAAGTTCCTGAGTAGAAAGGGGCTTATTTAGCTAGGATGGTCTAAAAAGGTCTTTCTGAGAAACTGTCATGTGAGTTTAAGAACAGAAGAATTAGAATGAGGAAGCCTGATAATGTGGAGAAAAAACATTTCAAACTGAGAGAGTAGTAAGTGTACACAGCCCTTAAGATGTGAATGAGTTTGACATGTTGGAAGGTCAGAATGTCAGTCAGTGAGGCCAGATTATGGTAAATGAAAAGGAAAAAGACAGGAGATGAGATCTAGAGGTAGGCAGGCTGGTGGGGCCAAATCACGTAGTGCCATAGTGAGGAATTAGAATTTTATTCCCGGCCGGGCACAGTGGCTCACGCCTGTGATCCCAGCACTTTGGGAGGCTGAGGCGGGCAGATCATGAGGTCAAGAGATCGAGACCATCCTGGCAAACATGGTGAAACCTTGTCTCTACTAAAAGGTGGTGCACGCCTGTAGTCCCAGCTACTCGGGAGGCTGAGTCAGGAGAATCGCTTGAACCCAGGAGGTGGAGGTTGCAGTGAAAAGAGATCGCGCCATTGCACTCCAGTGTGGCAACATAGTGAGACTCCGTCTCAAAAAAAAAAAAAAAAGAATTTTATTCCCTATACAATGAGAGGCCTCTGCTATCTCACCCACATAACATTTACTGTGGTAAGATAAACTTGCATTGAACCATTTATATTTTCTGTTTTCTCAATCCTCTATTCTTGTCATCAGGAGTATATATGTAAAAACTGGAGTTATGGGCAGAGTTTCTTCTATAAGATTGTTATATTTAGGACTCAAACAATGAGTATAATTTCACAGCACTTATTAACTATAATCCTAACTTCACTTTTACTAAAATAATGAAAAAATTTAAAAATTATTCCTTAAATTTATTTTTTAACAAATTCATTTTTCAGACTATATTTAGCATATAGTTCTTTGGAAAGTATCTTATATTTCTGTATAAAATAAAGAAAAACAGATTTAAAATAAAAAATCAGACCAAGCAGCACTACAAGGTTCATTTATTTGCACAACTATTGTGAGTAAATTTCAAGACAGAAAATGAAACACTTTCCATTACACTAATAGTATTTCAGAGGAAATGGACTTAAATAAAGTGCTTCTTTCCCCCTATTTTGGGGGGTCCAGGAAATGAAACATAGACTAGAGAGTTCAACTAAGTATGTTACAATTATCTCAACTTGATCTTCATCAAACTTCTAAAAGGATGATTCAGCTACCTATGAAGCAGAGTATCAGCAAGTGGCTAGAACAAGGAGACAGAGGAAATGAGAGAGGCTCCTATGAACACTTTATACCAATGCTTGCAGCACTTTTGATTTTTAGGGGTGAATACACTCAGTTAAGTGGAAATTATTTTTAACCATTTTCCATCAATCTTCCTCAGGAAGAGATAATTTATAGAACAGATTGCTTGGACTGGGGTTATATCAGGATTTTTATATGGTGGTGCAACATTTCTAAGAGAAACTTAGCTAAACTGAATGTTTGGCTAATTTGCTCAAGAAGTATAGTCTATGTTGTAAATATTCTGCTGCTACTGTCTTGAGCCTTGAAAAAGCTTCTCTTCACAAGAAATATAAATGCTACATTTAAATAGGTCCAAGGATATTTACTTCTCATTCTGAGAAAATAAAATGTTTGAAAATAATTTACAAATCACATATTTTAAATAAAAAATCAGAACTAAAATTAGTTTCTATAAAATGGATATAAATGATTTTACCCTACCAAGTTTAAAGCAAAGGACCAGAGTCATAAATAATTCTAGCTTGCCAGAGGCATGGCTATTTCTTTATACTGACTGTCGACTATCTAATTTAATTAGAGGTATTAAACTCCTTGCTGAGGTCAACAAGCCTTACTTCCTCCAATATTACACTTCAACCCGTGCTCATTAATGTGTCTACTGAATGGATTAACACACCTAAAGATATATGTACAAAGGATAGGGGGGACAACCTAATGATATCCAATTGTTCATTTATAATAGGACACATGTTCTAGCCTCAACTTATTACCACTAATGTGGAATTTATTAAATTCAGGAGAAAAAATACCAATACAGAAAGTGATTTTTTATCAGGGACAACTGGTATAAGACAACTGGCTTCTACGATTAAGTTTAAACATTTAACCTATCAAAAATAAAGTGATACTAAAATAAAACTAAAATATAAGCCTGCTACTTAGAAAAATCTTATATACTAGAACTCTGAGGAAAAGATTAAGGCAACAGTCATTAGGTATAGGGAAACGGGAAACATCAGTATATAGAGAAATCAATGTTTATAAGGTTTTAAAAAATTTCTACGAAAAGAAAGTTTAAGCTAATTACACTGAATTATGAGATCAAATAAAAATTCCCTTTCTGTTGGACTTAAAAGCTGCTATTGTTTCTTGGAGAATCGCAGTATCAGGACGTATATGACCACATTGTTCATACATATAGAGCTGAAACATTGCTTTAATTTAGTTTGACGCTGACAAAGTAAATTTTACTTAAATTGATTTAAATTACTACTAGAGAAAATAAGACATTTCTCCAAAGAGTATATACAAATAGGCAATAAGCACATGAAAAGATGCTCAATATCATTAGAAGGGAAATACAAGTCAAAAGCACAACGAAATATCATTTCACACCTACTACTATGGCTATAATTATTTTTTTAAAACAGAAAATAACAAGTGTTGGCAAAGATGTGGAAAAATTGCAACCCTTAAGCATTCCTGGTGGAAATATAAAATGATGCAGCTGCTGTAGAAAACATCCTGACAATTTCTCAGAAAGCTACATATACAATTACCATATGATCCCAGCAATTCCACTCCTAGCTATATAGCTAAATTGAAAACAGGGATTCAAATAGATATTTGTATGCCAATGTTCACTGCAACATTGTTTACAAGAACCAAAAGGTGGAAACAACCCAATTTCCAGCCACAGATGAATGGGTAAACAAAATGAGGTATATACTTGCAACAGATTATTATTCAGCTTTAAAAAGGAATGAAATTCTGATGTATGCTACAACATGAATGGATCTTGAAAACATGCTAAGTAAAACAGGCACAAAAGGACACATATTTTATGATTCCACTTATTCGAGGTTCCTAGAACTGGCAAATTCATAGAGGAAGTGGATTAGAGGTTACCAGGGGTAGTGGAAGGAGGAATGGGGAATTACTGTTTAATGGGTACAAAGTTGCTGTTTGAAAATTTAAAAAAGTTCTGGAACAAAAACAAAAAACAAAAAACAACAAAACAAGTTCTGGGTCTTCCAGTTTCTGGTGCAGCATATAAAGGTTTGGAATCACCACTTTGATCTAACAACAAATAAAATGCCGAACAAACTGAAAATCAACAATTCTTTTTAGCATCATCAGAGACATGAAGTCACAGGAAAAATGCTCCCCTCCCCATTCCTGGTGTCCCACTGGAGAGAGACAGATAATTACAGCTGACTGATGGAATCTAGTGCCAGTGTAGGAAAACCTGAACTAAAATTGAACTGCTGGAAGCTCAGTGTGGACAAGTCTAAGAGTTAGCAACTCCAGGAGAAACCAGTCTTATGGGGAACTTCCCTACTTTTGTGAGTTTTATTTCCAAGAGCTCTACCAGGTCCTCACAGTGAATAATAGAGAAAAATATCCTCTTGCTTTATGGAGGGGGAGGGGAAAAACAATTATTTGAAACACACCAAAACATTCTGTTCTTCTTTAAAAGGCCTGCCCTCAGTAGAAACTATTTTACCAAAGCCTAATCTACCTGGGAGAAGAAAAATAGCCAACTCTGGCTCCTTGGAAGGTCATACTGTCCCACCTAAGGGAAGAGACTGAAAAACACTAGTGAAGTTCACAATCCAGGGCCACAGGCTCAGCAAAATACTGAAACCTAATGATGGGACAATGGAGTGCCTCCCCTTCCCCCACACCTTACCACCATACCACTAAAGGCCTATTTACCAGAGTTCCTTTTACTGAGCATATGTTCAGATTTCAACAAAAAATTACAAGACAAAAAACATAGTCTAAAGAGACTGAACAAGCATCAGAACAGAATAAGCACCAGAGTCAGATGTGGCAGAGATGCTAGAATTATCAGACCAGGAATTTAAAACAACTATGGTTAACATGCTATGGGGCTCTAATGGAAAAAGTAGACAACATTTAAGAACAGATGGACAATGTATGTAGAGAGATGGAAATTCTAGGAAAAAATAATCAAGAAAAAATGCTAGAGTTAAAAAAACACTGGAACAGAAATTTTAAAATGTCTTTGATAGGCTCATTCACAGACAAGACACAGCTGAGGAAAGAATCTCTGAGCTTCAGGATATCTCAATAGAAACCTCCAAAACAGAAAAGCAAAGAGAAAAAAGATTTATATTCAAACAGAATATGCAAAAACTGTGGGACTACCATGAAAGATGTAAATACATGTAATGGGAACTCCAAAAGAAGAAGAAAGAGAAAAAGGAACAGAAGCAATATTTGAAGCAATAATAACAGAATTTCCCCAACTTAATGTCAGTCATAAACCCAGATCCAGGAAGCTCAGTGAACACCACGCAGGGTAAATGTCAAAAAACTACACCTAGGTGCATCACATTTAAACTTGGAAAATCAAGGGGAAAGAAAAATTCTTCAAAGAAACCAGAGGAAAAAAAATCTTACCTATAGAGTAGCAAAGATAAAAATTACTTCTGATGTCTCAGAAATTACATAAGCAAGAAGAGAGTAGAGTGAAATATTTAAAGTATTGAGAGAGGAAAAAAAATACCACACACCTAGAATTCTGTACCCTGTGAAATTACCCTTCAGAAGTGAAAAAGAAATAAGACTTTCTCAGGCAAACAAAAATTGAGGGAATTTGCAGCCTGTAGACCTACCTTTCAAGAAATGTTAAAACAAGTTCTTCAGAGAGAAGAAAAACATATGTGTCATAAACTTGGATCTACATGATGAAAGGAAGAGTATGCAGAATGAATAAGTGAGGGTAAATTAAAACTTTTATTTTTCTTAGTCATAATTGGTTTAACAGAATATAGTTTAATAATAGCAGCAATGTATTTGAATATGTATGCTCATATTCATATATATATATAGGTTTATATATACCTAAAACAAGCGAAATGAATGACAGCAATGATACAAGGGATGGAAAGGAGGGATTAGGAATACTTTGTTATTGCAAGCAGTAATATATAAGCAGTATAGAATAATTTTTTTTTTGAGACAGATCTCACTTTGTCACTCAAGCTGGAGTGCAGTGGTGCAATCATGGCCCACTGCAGCCTCAACTTCCCCAAGCTCAGGTGATCCTCTCACCTCAGCCTCCCAAGTCGCTGGGACCATGGGGATACACCATCATGCCTGGCTAACTTTTGTGTTTCTTGTATAAACAAGGTTTCACCATGTTGCCCAGGCTGGTCTTGAACTCCTGGGCTCAACAGATCTGCCAGCCTCTGCCTTCCAAAGTGCTGGGATTACAGGTGTTAGCCACTGCACCCGGTTGGTATAGTGTAATTTGAAAGTGGACTTGTAACTTGGATTAACTACAAATGTATAGTGTAAACTCTACAGCAATCACTAAAAAGTTAAAAAGTTAAAAAAAGAAGCATAATTGATATGTTAAGAAAGGAGAGAGAAGGGAATCATATAAAATGCTCAATTAAAACCAGAAAAGGCAGAAAAAGTATAAAAGACAAAAACAGGAACAAAGAACAAGGGCAAAAATAGAAAACAGAATACAGCAGACAAAAATAGAAAACAGTAAAGAATATAGTAGATATTAATTCAACTATATTAATAATCACTTTAAGAATTAATGTTATAAATAAACCAATTAAAAGAGATTGTCAGAGTGGAGCTAAAAACATATATATTGTCTACAAGAAAGCCACTATAAAGACAAATATAGACTAAAAGTAAAAAGATATACCATGCTAACACTAATCAAAAGAAAGCAGGAGTAACTATATTAATTTCAGACAGAACAGACTTCAGAGCAAGAAAGTTATCAGCGATAAAGAGAAGCCTCATATAACAAAGGAGTCAATACTAGAAGATGACATAGCAATCTGTACATGTAGGTGCCTAACAACAAAGCATCAAAATGCATCAAGCAAAAACTGACATAACTTCAAACTCACAAGGAATATTCACCAAGACAGACCATATTCTGGGCCATCAAATACACCTTCGGAAATTCAAAAGAACAGAAATCATAAAATGTCTGCTCTTGAACAATGGAATTAAATTAGAAATCAGTAACAGAAAGATAGTTGGAAAACCCCAAAATACCTGGAGATTAAACAACATACTTCTTAAAAACACATGGGTCAAATAATATATCTCAAGAGAAATTAAGAAATATTTTGAAACAAATGAAAATGCAAAAGTTCTGTAAGAGACAGTGGTGATGGTTGCAAAGCACTGTGAGACTACTTAAAGCCAATGAATTAGTTAAAAATGGTTTAAAAAATAGTTAAAATGAACTTATTCTCTAATAAATCTAGTGCATAAAAGTTTCATCGTTTCAGAGTACAACTTTAATTAAAACTCAATCTTTTTTTGTATAAGGTTTAAGGAAGGGATCCAGTTTCAGCTTTCTACATATGGCTAGCCAGTTTCCCCAGCACCATTTATTAAATAGGGAATCCTTTCCCCATTTCTTGTTTTTGTCAGGTGTGTCAAAGATCAGATGGTTGTAGATGTGTGGTTTTATTTCTGAGGGCTCTGCTCTGTTCCATTGGTCTATATCTCTGTTTTGGTACCAGTACCATCCTGTTTTGGTTACTGTAGCCTTGTAGTATAGTTTGAAGTCAGGTAGCGTGATGCCTCCAGCTTTGTTCTTTTTGCTTAGGATTGTCTTGGCAATGCGGGCTCTTTTTTGGTTCCACGTGAACTTTAAAGTAGTTTTTTCCAATTCTGTGAAGAAAGTCATTTGTAGCTTGATGGGGATGGCATTGAATCTATAAATTACCTTGGGCAGTATGGCCATTTTCACAATACTGATTCTTCCTATCCATGAGCATGGAATGTTCTTCTATTTGTTTGTGTCCTCTTTTAGTTAGTTGAGCAGTGGTTTGTAGTTCTCCTTCAAGAGGTCCTTCACATCCATTGTAAGTTGGATTCCTAAGGTATTTTATTCTCTTTGAAGCAATAGTGAATGGGAGTTCACTTATGATTTGGCTGTTTGTCTATTATTGGTGTATAGGAATGCTTGTGATTTTTGCACATTGATTTTGTATCCTGAGACTTTGCCGAAGTTGCTTGTCAGCTTAAGGAGATTTTGGGCTGAGACAATGGGGTTTTCTAAATATACAATCATGTCATCTGCAAACAGGGACAAGTTGACTTCCTCTTTTCCTAATTGAACACCCTTTATTTCTTTCTCCTGCCTGATTGCCCTGGCCAGAACTTCCAACACTATGTTGAACAGGAGTGGTGAGAGAGGGCATCCTTGTCTTGTACCAGTTTTCAAAGGGAATACTTCCAGTTTTTGCCCATTCAGTATGACATTGGCTGTGGGTTTGTCATAAACAGCTCTTACTATTTTGAGATAAGTCCCATCAATACCTAGTTTATTGAGAGTTTTTAGCATGAAGAGCTGTTGAATTTTGTCGAAGGCCTTTTCTGCATCTATTGAGATAATCATGGATAATCATGTGGTTTTTGTCTTTGGTTCTGTTTCTATGCTGGATTACGTTCATTGATTTGTGTATGTTGAACCAGCCTTGCATCCCAGGCATGAAGCCAACCTGATTGTGGTACATAAGCTTTTTGTTGTGCTGCTGGATTTGGTTTGCCAGTATTTTATTGAAGATTTTGGCATTGATGTTTATCAGGGATATTGGTCTAAAATTCTCCTTTTTGTGTATGTGTATCTGCCAGGCTTTGGTATCAGGATGATGCTGGCCTCATAAAATGAGTTAGGGAGGATTCCCTCTTTTTCTATTGATTGGAATAGTTTCAGAAGGAATGGTACCAGCTCCTCTTTGTACCTCTGGTAGAATTCGGCTGTGAATCCGTCTGGTCCTGGACTGTTGTTGGTTTGTAGGCTACTAATTATTGCCTCAATTTCAGAGCCTGTTATTGGTCTATTCAGGGATTTAACTTCTTCCTGGTTTAGTCTTGGGAGGGTGTATGTGTCCAGGAATTTATCCATTTCTTCTAGATTTTCTAGTTTATTTGCGTAGAGGTGTTTATAGTCTCTGATGGTAGTAAACTAGTTCAACCATTGTGGAAGACAGTGTGGCGATTCCTCAAGGATCTAGAACTAGAAATACCATTTGACCCAGCCATCCCATTACTGGGTGTATACCCAAAGAAGTATAAATCATGCTGCTGTAAAAACACATGCATACGTATGTCTACTGCAGCACTATTCACAATAGCAAAGACTTGGGACCAACCCAAATGTCCATCAATGATAGACTGGAGTAAGAAAATGTGGCACATATACACCATGGAATACTATGCAGCCATAAAAAAGGATGAGTTCATGTCCTTTGCAGGGACATGGATGAAGCTGGAAACCATCATTTTGAGCAAACTATTGCAAGGACAGAAAACCAAACACCGCATGTTCTCACTCATAGGTGAGAATTGAACAATGAGAACCTTGGACACAGGGTGGGGAACATTACACACTGGGGCCTGTCGTGGGGTGGGGGGAAGGGGTAGGGATAGCATTAGGAGATATACCTAATGTAAATGATGAGTTGATGGGTGCAGCACACCAACATGGCACATGTATACATATGTAACAAAGCTGCACGTTGTGCACATGTACTCTAGAACTTAAAGTATAATTTAAAAAAATTAAAAAATAAAACTCAATCATTTAACAACCCTTTTATTTTATTTTTTTGAGACAGAGTCTCACTCTATCACCAGGCTGGAGTGCAGTGGTGTGATCTCAGCTTACTGCAACCTCCGCCTCCTGGGTTCAAGCAATTCTCCTGCCTCAGCCTCCCGAGTAGCTGGGACTACAGGCACGTGCCACCACGCCCAGCTAGTTTTTGAATTTTTAGTAAAGACGGGGTTTCACCATGTTGGCCAGGATGCTCTCAATTTCTTGACCTCATGATCCATCAATCTCTTGACCTCACGTTCCGCCCGCCTCAGCCTCCCAAAGTGCTGGGATTACAGGCGTGAGCCATCGCTCCCGGCCAACAACTCTTAAATGGTGCTATCATGCCTAAAATTTGTCTTATTTGCTATGATAAAGGATTATTAAACATCCATTTCAGATGCTTCTTTTAAAATAATTAAGGGCCCTTGTGACTACTTTGAGGGAAACAGGCATCTTATTTGACATTTCTACAAAGGTCACAGGAATAAACTATCAAGTGCCATATAATTAGCAAGTTTAATACAGTGAAGTAAAAATATCCTGACATAGTTTTCTTTAACAAAAAAGTCATTTTAATAGAAAATAATCTACTTTGTTCCACTTTTAGGTTTGCAATCTAAGATACTATTAATTTTTACAAATAAAACCATGATGAGATATCCTATTAGAATGACTATTATCAAAAAGACAAAATGTAACGGCAAGGATGTGGAAAAAAGAGGACTTTGTTACATAGGTAGTGGGAATTTAAATTAGTACAGGCATTACGGAAAACAGTATGGGGGTTCTTCAAAAAATTAAAAATTAGAACTATCATTATGATCCAGCAATCCCCCTACTGGGTATATATCCAGAGAAAATGAAATCAGTATGTCAAAGAGATTATCTGCACACTCACGTTCAGTGCAGCCTTATTCACAATAACCAGGATATGGAATCAATCTAAGAGTCCATCAATTGATGAATGGATAAAGAAAATGTGGTATATATATAAAATGGAACACTATTCAACCTTACAAATGAAGGAAATCCTGTCATTTATAAAAACACGGATTAACCTGAAGGACTTTATGTTAGGTAAATTAAGCCAGGCACAAAAAGACAAACCATGATCTCACTTTTAAGTGGAATCTAAAAAAGTTGAATTCATAGAAAGATGGAGTACAGTAAGTCCTCACAATGTCATCAATAGGTTCTTGGAAACTGCAACTTTAAGCAAAACAACATATAGCAGGCCTTCAAATAATGTCATATCCTTCATAATTTCATTATAAATTTGATGATAAAATACAATTGGTTTCATTATATGCCATTTTCCTTAAACGGAGAGAGTCATCACTTATGGGGAAGAGTTTGAAAATGGAGAGAAGCTGGTCAAGGGACACAAAATTTAAGTTAGGAGGAATGAGTTAAAGAGAGCTATTGTACAACATAATGACTATAGTTAAGAACAACATGCTGTATACTTGAAAATTGCTAAGAGAATAGATTTTAAGTGTTCTCAACATGAAAAACTGGTATGTGAGGTAATGCATATTTTAATTAGCTTGATTTAGCTATTCCACAGTGTTTACATATATCAAAATGTGTTGTATATCATAAATATATACAATTTCAATTTATCAATTAAAAAAGTAAATGTTTAAAAAAGAAATATATGAGAAATATACTTAAAACAGTCACTATTGTAGGACAGCAGAATAGTAATATATTATTAATTTTAAACTCTGCATTGGGGTTTAAAAATTATGCCCATGGAGCCCTGATTAAATTTATGTATGTATTTATTTATTTATTTATTTATTTTTGAGACAGTGTTTCACTCTGTCACTGAGGCTGTAGTGCAGTGGTGCAATCTTGGCTCATTGCAGCCTCAAGCTCCTGGACTCAAGCAATCTTCCCACCTCAGCCTCCAAATAGCTGGGACTACAGGCATGCACCACTATGCCTGGCTAATTTTTTTTGTAAGGACAGGGTGTCACTATGTTACCCAGACTGATATCGAACTCCTGAGCTTGAGCAATCCTCCCACCTTAGCCTCCCAAAGTGCTGGGATTACAAGTGTGAGCCACTGTGCCTGGCTTATTTATCTTTTTACACTATACTTATAACTGTGTCTACTTTGGGTATAATTTATTTTCATAGAGATTTAAGATAAATTCCTGGAACAAATGGTTTATGTGAAGTTTTAACAAATCTTTATTCCAATCCTATTTAACATCATATACTATTATCAGTATTGATGTCTTATCTTGTACTTCTAAAAAGCATATGCCAAAAAATTCTGTAACAAACTTTTCACTGAATATGCTTTCATAGACTTATTAATTACCTCTACCCCACCACTCATTGCAATCTAATTAGTACCCATATATTAGTTTTCCTAGCTATTATCCATTTATTAGGCAATTTCTAACAATATTCTAAAATGTAAACAAAAGGCATAAAAGGTAGTTGATATAGTTTGCCTTTGTGTCCCCAACCAAATCTCATCTTGAATTGTAATCACTGGGTATTGAGAGAGGAACCTGGTGGGAGGTGATTGGATCATGGTGGCAGTTTTCCCTATGCTGTTCTAGTGGTAGTGAGTTCTCATGAAAGCTGATGGTTTTATAAGGGTTTGACAGTTACTCCTTCACATGCTCACACTCCGTGGCCTGCCGCCATGTAAGATGTGCCTGATTCCCCTTCTACCATGATTTTAAGTCTCCTGAGCCCTCCCCAGCCATATGGAACTGTGAGTCAATTAAACCTCTTTTCTTTATAAATTACCCAGTCTCAGTATTCTTTATAGCAATGTGAAAACAGACCAATACAGTAGTCAATCAAATCTTATAAAAGATTTGTAAAGAGTCCTAAACTTCCTTTTAAAAACAGTATGTTAATAACCCTGTTTCAAAGCTTATTAGTGAAGTGCGAAGAGCTTTGATATCAGGCAACAGAGTATCAAGTGAAATGGCTGATCATGTTCAGTTGGTTACATTTAGTAATAGTTTTGGATAAACTGAGGATAGGATTTTCAATAGAAACCCTGGGGCAAAAACAAACAAACTGAGAAGAAAGAGGAGAAGGAAGAGGTAAAGGAGAAATGTTGGATAAAGTTTTACTTTTAAAAATGTTTCTCACAAAACCAAATATGAGTTGAATACATAAAACTGTACTCTGAGGTATCTCTGTAGCTACAATGACTTTTCCATGGCTGTGTGAGATACAGCAAAATGGTGGTGTAAATTTTAACAGTTGTGGACCATCAATATCATTCTATGATACCCCTTACAGATTCTAAGGTAGCAAGATTTATTTCAATTAAGTAACACTTATTTGTTACATTAGTTTTAGCTCAAATGTATAGGATACAGCATGTTATATTTTAAGTGCTATGTATGTATGTATGTATGTATGTATGTATGTATGTGTTTTTCTGAGTCAGGGTCTCACTTGGTCATCTAGGTTGGAGTGTAGTGGTGTGACCATGGCACACTGTAGCCTGGACATCCCAGGCTCAAGCAATCCTCCCACAGTAGCCTCCTGAGTAATTGGGACTATAGGCACATGCTACCATGCCTGGCTAATTTTTAAATTTTTGGCAGGGGGTCTTGCTATGTTACTCAGGTTGGTCTCAAACTCTTGGGCTGAAGCAATCCTTCCACCTTGGCCTCCCAAAGTGCTGGGATTACAGGCATAAGCAAGCCACCACACCTGGCCTGGAATAATTTCTGTTTTATTTTTTCCTCTCCCTCAATCAATATAAACATTGTATCAGAGTCCATGTACTAAGGGCCTTGAAATATAATTTTACCAATGTAAACAAACACAGAAATCTTTCAATTTGTTATATCCCTTGATACAGTTTGGCTCTGTGTCTCCAACTAAATCTCATCTCAAATTGTAATCCACATGTGTCAAGGGAGGAACCTGGTGGGAGGTGACTGGATTATGGGGAAGGTTTCACCTGTACTGTTCTTGTGATAGAGAATGAGTTCTCATGAGAGCTGATGGTTTTAAAGTGTGGCACTTCCCCTTTGTTCGCTCTCTTGCCTGCAGCCATGTAAGATGTACCTTGCTTCCCCTTTGCCTTTTGCCACGATTGTAAGTTTCCTGAGGCCTCTCCAGCCTTGTGGAACTGTGAGTCAATTACACCTCTTTTGTTTATAAATCACCCAGTCTCAGGCAGTTTCTTTATAGCAGTGTGAAAACAGACTAATATATCCCTATTTTCTTGAAGGTAAATCCTTTGTTAAGACTGTAACCAATCAGAAATGAAAGTGAAGACATTACAACAGGCACTTCAGAAATAAGAAGGATTATAAAGGACTATTATAAACAACTGTATGCCAACAAATTGGATAACCTAGAGGAAATGGATAAGTTTCTAGAATAAAACAGCCTACCAAAATTGAATCAGGAAGAAATGGAAAGTCTGAACAGACCAATAACAAAGAGATTGAAGAATTAATTAGAAACCTTTAACAAAAAGCCCAGAACTAGACAGCTTCACAGCTGAATTCTACCAAACATTCAAAGAATTATTACCAATATTTAAACTCTTCCAAAAAACAGAGTGAAGGGGAATACTTCCAAACATTTTATAAAGCCAGCATCCCCTCGATCCCTAAGCTAGACAGACACCAGAAGGAAAGAAAACTACAGGTCAATTTCTCTGATGAACACTGATGCAAAAATCCTCAATAAAATATTAGCAAACTGAACCAATCCAACAACATATCAAAAAGATTATACACCCAGACGAAGTGGGACTTATCCCTGGCATGCGAGGCTGATTTAACACACACAAATCAATTGATGTGATACACCACATTAACAGAATAACAGTTAAAAACTATGTGATCATCTCAATTGACGTAGAAAAAGCATTCAACTAAGTCCAATATCATTTATTGAGTAAAACTCTTGACAGTTTAGGTATAGAAGGAAAGTTCTTCAACACAATAAAGGTAACTTATGAAAAACTCATCACTAACATTATAACCAATGAGGAAAAATCGAAAGCTTTTCTATTAACATCTGATACAGGGAAAGGATGCCCACTTTTGCTGCACCTATTCAAGATAGTACTGGAAGTACTAGCAAGAACAACCAGAGAAGAAAAAGAAATATAAGGCATCCAAATCAGAACAGAAAAAGTGAAATTATCTTTATTTGCAGATGACATGATATGCTATGTAGAAAGCCCCTGAGATTCCACAAAAACAGTGTTACAACTAACATATGAATTCAGTAATGGTGCAGGATACAAAATCAACATACAAAAATTGCTAGCATTTCTATATACAAATTATGACTTAGCTGAAAAATCAAGAAAACAATCCTATTTATGATACCATAAACATACTTAGAAATAAATTAACCAAGGAGGTGAAAGATTTATACTCTGAAAACTATAAAACATTGATGATAGAAATTTAAAACACAATGAAATGGAAAGATATCTTGGATTGAAATAATTAATATTGTTAAAATGTTCATACTACCCAAAGAAATATATAAATTTAATGGAATCCCCATAAAAACTCCAATGGCATTTTTCACAGAAATAGAAAAATCAATTCTAAAATTCGTATGGAACCACAAAAAACCCTCAAATGGCCAAAGCTAAACTGAGAAAAAAACACAAAGGGGCATCATATTCCCTGATTTAAAATTATATTACAGGCTGGGCACAGTGGCTTACACCTATAATCCCAGCATTATAGGCTGAAGAGGGATTGCTTGAGCTCAAAAGTTTGAGACCAGCCTGGGAAACATGGCAAAACCCCATCTCTTCCAAAAATAAATAAATTAGTCAGCGTGGTGGCGAGTGCCTATAGTTACAGCTACTCAGGAAGCTGAGGGAGAATCACTTGAGCCCAGAAGTTGAGGCTACAGTGAACTGTGATTGCACCACTGCATTCCAGCCTGGGTGAAAGAGTGAGACCCTGTCTCAAAAATAAATAAATAAAATATTATATTATATTATATTACAAAGCTACAGTCATCAGAATGGTACGGTACTGGCGTAAAAACAGAAGCATATACCAGTGGAACAAAACAGAGATCCCAGAAATAAATCCAAACATATACAGTAAACTAATTTTTCACAAGGGCACCAAGATCAACAGGGAAAGGATAGTCTCTTCAACATGGTCTTGGGAAAATGGCATTTCCACACGGAAAAGAATAAAACTGAATCCTTATCTTACACCATACACAAAAATCAACTTAAAATGGGGAAAAGACCAAAATATAAGACATGAAACCTAGAAGAGGACATAGAAGAAAAGCTCCTTGATACTGGCCTTGGCAATGATTTTTTGGACATCACACCAAAAGCTCAGGCTACAAATACAAAAATAAATAAATGGTACTACATAAAACTAAAAAGCTTCTGCAGAACAAAGGTAACAGTCAACAAAACGAAAAGGCACCCTACAGAGGGAAAACATATTTGCAAACCGCTTATCTATTAAGGGATTAATATCTAAAATTTATAAGGGTCTTATAAGTCAATAGCAGAAAAGCAAATAAACGGATTAAAAACTGGACCTAAACAGACATTTATTCAAAAACATAAAAACATTATTGAGGACCTAAACAGACATTTATTCAAAAATGGTGAACTGGTATATGAAAAGGCTCAACAATCTCATTAATCATCACAGAAATGCAAATTAAAACCACTATGAGATATCACTTTATACTCATTAGAATGCTATTGCCAAAAAGGTAAGAGATAACAAACATCGGTAAGGATGTGGAGAAAGGGGAACACTAGTACACTGTTGGTAGAAATGTAGACTGTACAGCAATTATGAAAAAAAAAAAAAAAGTACGGAGGTTCTTAAAGAAATTAAACATAGAACTACCATATGACCTAGCAAACCTTTTTCTGGGCATATACTCAAAGGAAATGAAATCACCACCTCCTCAGGATATCTGCATTCCTATGTTCACTGCAGTATTATTCACAATAACCAAGATATGCAAAACTGTCCATCAATGTACAAATTGATAAACTGTGGTATATATGCATACAATGTAATATTATTCAACCTTAAAAAAGGAGATTCTGCCACTTGCTACACATGAATGGACTTGGAGGACACTATGTGTCCTAAGTGAAATAAGCCAGACAAAGAAAGAAAAAATATTGCATGGTATCACTTATATGTGGAATCTAAAAAAAAAAAACAAAGGAGAAAATATACAGAGATAGAGAATAACACAGTGGTTACCAGGGGTGGAGTGGGGTATGAAATTGGGACAAGGAGCTCAAAGGATACAAAGTAGCAGATATGTAGGATGAACAAGTCTAGAGATTTAACGCACAATAAAAATTGTATGGTATTTGGAATTTTGTAGATTTTAGCTGTTCTTGTCATACACACATAAAAAAACTAGATGAGATGATAGATATGTTAATTTGCTTCAATATAGTAACCGTTTTATTATCTATATGTATCCCACAACATTTCATGTTGTAAACCCTAAATATACACAATAAACTTTATTTTAAAAAAAGACTGCAACCTTTAACCATATCATTGTTTCTTAAAGAAAACATAGTTTGCTGTACAACCACCCTATTTTCAAGACAGCACTGGGTGGAGTGGTGTACTACAACCAGAAACAGTGCTTGATCAATTCGATTTCTTACTTACGTATTTTCTGTATTAACTGTCTCAATTATGAGCATTTTAATTTGAAAGCACTTCTCAGCACTTACTTTTTTGGTCAAAGAATCATCAGAATCAGAAGGCATTCTTGTTGACACGTGAAATATTACCTCTACTGTAGAGGTAGCAAAATATGGAGTGGTCAATCCAGTGCTTTTGTTTTTTTGTAGTCCTCCCATAAAACCACAATGGTTTGTAAGATTTACCTAGAAGTAATGAAGAGTCACATAAATTAATTAAACAAAACCCAAATACACTACAGAGAAAGACTCAAACTTCTTGCTTAAGAAAAAAATTGGGAACAAAGTCTTTTGCATGTTATCAACCAATATTTAATCTAGAATTGTTAGAATTGATTTGTTTGTACTGGTACTTTTTAAGTATTTGAGGATTTCTAATTAGTAGGAGTTAACCAGGAAAGGTATCAACTGCTGTGTACTATGCATCTTTTGTTAGCCTACTAGGTGTTAATGGTAAATTATAAAGGCTGTCAGAGCACACCAAGGCCAGGGAGAAAAAGATCAAGTATGGAAATAGTTTGGGGAAAAGTTAAAATGGTAATATCAGTTTGACAAAATGATTAATTTGGTGTGTTGTATTTACTCATAAAACTGGCTTCCTGATTTGTTAGTACTTATTACAGTCCACAACAAAAATTAGAAATGCAGAACTTAATTACAGTTTAGTTACATTTAAAAAACAACAAGGTGACCTGTAAAAAGATTTTAAACAATTTTTATTTTCTGATTATAAATATAATACATGTTAATATCAGGGTTGTTGCATTGGATGATATTCCCCGGACCTGTGTGATGTACAGAAGCCAAGAATTTGTGTTCATTACAGAAAATTAGGGAAATACAGGAGAATAAAAAAAAATTGAAAATCGCCAGTATTTCCCTACTTAGAGAAAACCATTTATATATATGCTTTGCAATTAAAAAATGAGAATAACAGGTAAAATGGAGAATTACAAAAAAAATCCCTGCACCATATGAACTGAACACATGTCAAATATCAGTGTCAGTTACTAATGGCTGAATACATATATGATTGTTAGATTTTTGTGCCATTACTGTAAGATTACCTCAATCTCTTCCAGTTTAAAATTTATTTTTAACTCAGTAATACATTTACATAATTAAAAATTTTAAAGCATTAAAAAAGCACACCAAAATTCTTCCTTTCATGTCTCTCGCCTGCAACTACTCAGTTACCTTCTCAGAAAGCAATTTAAGTATCTTTAGAAAAATATTATCTGCATATATAATCAAATTCTTATATGTTTGTATGCACACATCCATTCACGTTAGTGTGCACATACACACAGTACATGCATATAAAACATTCTGCATCTTGCTTTTGGAATTAATATACCTTGAAAAACACTCCTTATTAGTAAGTAAAGAGATTCCTCATTTTTGGTTCCTGGCTTCACAGAAGTTCATTTTACTGAGGTACAATCATTTAGTCCCCTACTTGAAGGACATTTAGGTTGTTTTCTGTCTTTTGCTATCACAGTCAATGCTGCAGCAAATAACACTGAACTCATATCATGCTCCATTTGTGAAAGTACAGCTACGGACAAATAGTTAAACGTGAAACTTTAAGTCAAAGGGCATGTGGACTTCTAATTTCAAAACACACTACCAAGTTGCCCTCCACAGATGCCACCAACAATGTATGAGAATGCCCGTTTCCCTCATAGCCTTTGAAATATAGTATATTATCACACTTTATGATCTTTGCTAATCTGATAGGTGACAAATGGTATCTCCAGGTAGATTTTTTGTTTTGTTTTACTTTAGTTCAGAAAGTTACTTATTTTCAAGTCAATTCTCTGATAATGTAAAGGAGAAAGTCTCAGTTTAGTGTTCCTTTGCTGTAAACACTTCACATTTGCTGATCTCTATTGTTTAAATTAAACATCTGGAGAGTCATATGAAGAAATGAAAAAAATAAAAAGAAATCCCATGTACACTTTACCCAGAGCCCCCCAGTGCAAAACTCTATCACCACCAGGATACTGACGACATTGATATAGTTAAGAGAGCATGTTCAAAAATTCAAGAATCCCCCATATTGCCCTCTTATGTGAGCCATACCCACTTCACTCCTACTCTATCCCCTCCTTAACCCCTGGCAATCACTCACTCATCTGTTCTTCACTTCTATAACTATCATTTCAAGAATGTTGTACGAATTAAAGGACATAGGATGTAACCTTTTCAAGTGTTTGGAGATTTTCCTGTTATCTTTTTGTTAATGATTTCAAGTTTGATTCCATTGGGGTTCAAGGACATACTCTATTATTTCAATGCTTTTAAATTTGTTGAGGCTTGTTTTATGGCCCAGGATATGATCTGTCTTGGTATATGTTCTGTGGGAACTTGAAAATAACGTATATTCTGCCATTGTTGGGTGGAATATTTTACATATGTAGATTAGATCTTGTTGGTAGCTGCTGTTGTTGAATTCCTCCATATACTTGCTGATTTTGTCTAGTTTTCCTCTTAACTGTTGAGGAGTGAAGTCTCCAACCATAATTGTGAATTTCTCTATTTCTTCTTTCAGTTCTATCAGCTTTAGTGTCACATATTTTGTAGCTCTGTTATTTGGTGCACATGTATTTAGCATTGCTATGTCTTCTTGGTGAACTGATCCTTCTATAATTATATAATGTCCTTCTGGTCTCCAGTAATTCTCTTTGCTCTAAAGTTGATCTGATATTAATGCAGTCACTCTGGCTTTTCTTTGATTGATGTTTGCACAATATAACTTTTTCTATCCTTTTACTTTCTGCCAGTCTATATTGTTTTATATATATATATTTTATTTATTTATTTATTTTTTGAGATGGAGTCTCGCTCTTGTCACCCAGGCTGGAGTGCAGTGGCGTGATCTTGGCTCACTGCAACCTCCGCCTCCTGGGTTCAAGCAATTCTCCTGCCTCAGCCTCCTGAGTAGCTGGGATTACAGGTGTCTGCCACCACGCCCGGCTAATTTTTGCACTTTTAGTAGAGAGGGGGTTTCGCCATGTTGGCCAGGCTGGTCTCGAACTCCTGGCCTCAGGTGATCTGCCCACCTTGGCCTCCCAAAGTGTTGGGATTACAAGCATGAGCCACCGTGCCCAGCCTATATTCTTATATTTCAAGTGAGTTTCTTTTAGGTAACACATAGGTGGGTCATATTTTTTAATCCACTCTGCTAATCTCTGTCTTTTAATTGGTACATTTAGATCATTTATATTTCATGTAATTATTGACAGGTTAGGGCTTAAGCTTGCCATCTTATTTTCTGTTTTCTGTTTTTCATTTCTCTGTTTTATTTTTCCTGCCTCCTGTGGCTAACTTGAACATTTTCTAGAACTCTGTTTTTAACTATCATTCTTTTGAGTGTACACTGTTGTACAGTTTTGTAGTGGTTGCTCTATGTCTTACATTATATATACATAACTTATCACAGCCTACTAGTGTTGTCATTTTACCAGTTTAAGTAAAGTAACCCTACCTTACTATATGTTCCTTTACCATCCCTGTTTGAAATATAGTTGTCATAAATATTTCCTCTACATATATTTGAAAACACATTAGACAGTGTTATAATTTTTGCTTCAACAGTCAAAAATAATTAAGACAACTCAAGATGAGAAAGCACAGTGATTGTATCTATCCATTTTTTTCTTGCCATGGTCTGCCTTCCTGATGTTTCAAAATTCCTCCTTTTATCATTTCCTTTCTATTAATAAAACTGCTTTCAGTGATTGTTTTAGGGTAGGTCTGCTAGTAACAAGTTCTCTAAGTTTCTCTTCATTTGAGAATGTTTTGACCTTCTCTTCATTCCTGAAGGATATGTTTGCAAGCTATCAGATTCTGGGTCTGCTGGGCACAGTGGCTCATGCCTGTAATCCCAGCACTTTGGGAGGGGGAGGTGGGAGGATTGCCTGAGAACAGGAGTTTGAGACCAGCCTGGCCAACATGTTGAAACCCTGTCTCTACCAAAATTACAAAAAAAATTAGCTGGGTGTGGTGGCGCATGACTGTAATCCCAGCTTCGTCGGGAGGCTGAGGCACAAGAATCACTTGAACTCAGGAGGTGGTGGAGGTTGCAATGAGCCGAGATCATGCCACTGCACTCCAGCCTGAATGACAGAGTGAGACTCCACCTCAAAACAAACAGACAAAATAAACAAACAAAAAACAGATTCTGAGTTGACAGTTCTTTTTTCTTTCAGCACCTGGCTCCCACAGTTTCTGATAAGAAATTTGCTATCTCTTTAATAGTTTCCCCCCACAGATAAGGTACACTTTTTCTCTGGATGCTTTCAAGAATTTTTGTCTTTAGCTTTCAGAAATTAAATTATGATGTGTGTTACTATAGATTTCTTTTGATTTATCCTGTTTGGGTTTCACCGACCTTTTTGAATCTACAGCTTTATGTCTCTCACCAAATTTAGGAAGTTTTCAGCACTTTCTTCAAGTATTTCCAGTACTTTTTCAGACCCAGGCTCTTTCTCCTCTCCTTCTTGGACTCAGATAACAGAATGCTAGACTTTTTTTTTTTTTTGTTAATGTCCCTCAGGTCCCTGATGCTCTGTTCATTATTTTTAGGTTTCTTTTCTTTTCCTTTTTTTTCTTTTTCTTTTTTTCTTTTTTTTTTTTTTTTTGAGACAGGGTCTGCTCTATCACCCAGGCTGGAGAGCAGTGACATGATCTTTACTCACTGTAACCTCCACCTCCGGGACTCAAGCAATCCTCCCATCTCATCTTCTCAAGTAGCTGGGATCACAGTTGCCTGCCACCACACCTGGTTAATTTTTGTATATTTTTGGAGAGATGGGATCTCACTATGTTGCCCAGGCTGGTCTCAAAACTCCTGGCTCAAGCAATCTCCAGCTTCAGCCTCACAAAATGCTAGGGTTACAGGTGTAAGCCACCATGCCCAGCCTAAGTTTGTTTTCTGTGCTGTTTAGGCTGTTTCTACTGTTTTATCTTCCAGTTTACTGATTCTTCTGTACCCCCATTCCCACTCCACTTGGTTGTTGGGTACAACTACATAGCCTTTTATTTCAGTTATTACATTTTTCACTCTAAAACTTTCATTTGGTTGTTCTTTACATTTTCTATTTCTTTGCTGAGACTATTTTTCATTTGTTTCAATTGTGTTACCAATTACTTACTGAAGCATTTCTATCAAGGTTGTTTTAAATATTTGTAATCTTGGTGTGGGCATCTGCTGTCTTTTTTTAAAATTCATTTTGAGATTTTCCTGGTTCTGGATATGATGTGTAATTTTTTATTGAAATGTACACATTTTCATAAGACTCTGGATCTTATTTAAAATTCCTGTTTTAGCTGGTTGTTTGAAGACTCTGCTGTATGCGGGAAAAGAGCAGAGAATCAGGTGAAAGTGCTGACTTGTTTCTGTCAGGTGGAGGTAAAATTATATGTTCCCTACTCAATCTCTGTTGACACCTGGGAAACAGGGAAGATCCTCATTACTGATATGTGGAAGCAGGAGTTCTGGCTTCCTATGTGATGTTCACTGACACAGTCGTAAGGGTGACCTCACTACTGCTGGGTGATGGTAAAAGTCCCAATTCTCCATGAGGCCTCCTCTGAAATGACTCCAGTGGACAGCAGGTGCCTCAGTAATATTGGTGGCGATGGAATTCTACATTTCCCATGTAGTCTCCACTGACTCTTGGGTGTGAATGGGAGACTCATTACCAACTGGTAGACATGAAAGTCTTGGATTTCTACTTGGCCTTCTCTGGCACTATTTGATACTAGCCCAGTGTGGTGTTGGGGGCACCTCATTACAGCCTCATGAAGATGGAAGTCTAGGCTCCTTACCTGACCTTTGCTGTGAGGTTGGGGATGGGGTCAAGGAATTGTCTGTGGTGTTTGGCTACAGTAGTGCAGTTATTATCTAAATGTTTTTCTGTCTTTTTAGGTTGCTCCTTTCCTGGTCCTTTGGCTAGGAAGAGCAGGCTTTGGTTGGTGCTTTTTGTTTGCACCCATTGGTGTTTCTAGGTTGCTGACTTATTCAGCTCCAAGTCTGGGATATATGAGGCAAAAAAGAAAACCCAGAAAATGCGCCACTATGTCATTCTTCCGTCCTAAAGTCCCTAGTTATTCTGTCTTTTCTCCATCTTTCAGAGTCTTCTTATGCTTGTTTTATATGTAATGTCTTATGCTTATTGTACTCAGTAGGAAGAATACAGAAAGTATATCTATTTGACTTTCCCAGAAGTGGAAATCTCCTCTGTACAATTTAATGGATTTCAGGATATTCACAGTTAAGTGCAATCATCACTACAGTCAATTATAGAACATCTTCATCATTTCCCAAAGAAACCCCATATCTTTTAGTTGTCACCCCCCTCCTCCCTCATGCCCTTAACTAGCCCTAAGCAACCATTAACCTACTTTCTGTCTCTATAAATACACCTATTGTGGATATTACATATAAATGGACCATTAATATGTGATCTTGATGATTGGTTTCTTTCATTTAGCACAATGTTTTCAAGGTACATTCATGCTGTAGCACATAATCACTTTCTTCCTTTTTATGACCGAATAATATTCCCTTTTATTGGATACACCACAGTTTAGCCATTCATCCATTGATGGACATCTGGGTTGTTTCTACCGTTTTGCTAGAGTAAATAATGCTGCCAAGAACATTCATGGCCAGGCTTTTGCATGGACATATGCTTTCATTTCCCTTGGGTATATACTTTGGGGGTAGAACTGTTTGGTCACATGGCAACTCAACATTTAACTGTTTGATGAACTGCCAGAATGTTTTCCACAGTGGCTGCACATTTTACATACCTACTAGCAGTGTATGAGGGTTCAGATTGCTCCTAATCCTAGCCAACAGTTGTTATTACCTGACTTTCTGATTATAGTTATCTTAATGGGTGTGAAATGATACCTACTATGGTTTTGATTTGCATTTCTCTGACAGCAAAGGATGTTGAGCACCTTTTCATGTGCTTATTGGTCATATATCTTTTCTGGCGAAATGTCTATTAGGTCCTTTGATCATTTTTTAGTTGGGTATCTTCTAATCATTGATTTGTACAACTAGTTTGTATATTCTAGATACTAGTCTCTTATCAGACTTCACCTTGAAGCACAAAAATTTTAATTTTAATAAAGTACAATTATCTGGTTTTGTCTTTGTTGCTCATGATTTGTGTCTTATCTAAAAATCCTTTGCAAAATCCAAGATAATGAGGATTTATTCCTATATTTTCTTCTAAAGTTTTAAAATTCTAGGTCTTAACATTTAGGTCTGTGATCCATTTGGAGTTAATTTTTGTATATGGTATGGGGTAAGAGTCTGGTTTCATTCTTTGCATATGGCTCATGGTCTCAGCACCATTTGTTGAAAAGACTATTCTTTCTCCATTGGATGGTTGTGGCACCCTTGTCAAAAACGGCTGACCACAAATATGGGGTCTATTTGTGGACTCTCAGTTCTATTCCACTGATCTATATGTCTATCCTTGTACCAGCAGTACCACACTATCTTCTTTTTCTTTTTCCTAAGTTCTGCCCCAGGATCTATCCACACTACCTTGATTAGCATTGCTGTGTAGTAAGTTTTGAAATCAAGAAGTGTAAATCTTCCTAACTTGTTCTTTTTCATGTCTCCCTTACTTTTACTAATACTTTTATGGTATTTTACTTTTTTTAACAGAAAATCTACTTAGGATGTTTTTTATACTTTTCAAAGCATTTTCACATACATAAGCTCAATTGAACTTCACATCATCTCTGTTGGGTAAAAAAGTATACTACACGTTTGACAAATAACCAAAGAGGCAAAAAGAGCTTAAATAACTCACTTAAGGTAAAACAGCAGGTTAATATCATCCATCAATTCCACTACTGGGTATTTATTCAAAGAAAAGGAAATCAGTATATCAAACAGATACCTGCACTGCCATATTTATTGCAGCTTTATTCACAACAGCCAAGATATGGAAATAACGTAAATATCCATCAACAGATGAATGAATAAAGAAAATGTGGTATGCATACACAATGCAATACTATTCAGCCATAAAAAGGAATGGAATCCTATCATTTGCAGAAGCATGGATAGAATTGGAGGTCATTATAAGACAAATAAACCAGACACAGAAAGACAAACATAACATGTTCTCACTCATATGTGGGAGCTAAAAAAGTTGATTTCATGGAGGTAAAGAATAGAATGACAGTTACCAGAGGCAGGTGAAGGTGGTGGTTGTGGTGTGGAGATGAAGATAGGCTGGCTAATGAATACGAAACATATAGTGAGATAGAAGGAATAAGTCCTACTGTTCAATAGCACATTAGCATGACTGTAGTTAACAATAATATATTATGTCAGAATAGCTAGAAGAGGAGATTTGAAATGTTCCCAACACAAACAAATGATAAATGTTTGAAGTGATGGGTATCCTAAATACCCTGAACTGATCACTACACATTGTATGCACTTACCAAAATTATATGTTCCACATAAATATGTACAATTATTATGTAGCAATAAAAATTTTTAAAAGAAATGAAGTCAGTAAAAACATACTGATCTAAATACTACCAACAACCACCTTGACCTAATTGACATACCTAGTTCATTACACTCAATAACGACAGAGTATACACATTGTTTTCAAGGGAACAGGGTACCTATACTGGGTTATATTATATTTCAAAATACTGATATCTTACAGAGTATATTCTGTGATCACAATGGTATAGAATTAGGTATCAATAACGATATCTAGAAAAAACTCACATATTTTGAAATTAAACTACACATTTATAAATAAGCTATGTATCCCAAGGAAAAAATAATAAAAAAATAGGTTAGATTAGCCATAAAAATCTATATAAAACACTAAAGGCTGACATATCAGACACTGTGAAAGGCACTGAGAATTAAAAAAAAAAATCACTGAGATGAAAATGCCTGCCCTCTAGAAGCTTATAGTCTAATGCAGTGCTCTTTAACAATTTTGCTCATATACTCTCTATAGCAATTTTGGAAAACTATTAAATTGAAAACTGTAATAATAATTTTTATCAAAAGTTTAAATGGTAGCCAAGGATACAATTTCCAGTGTACTATATAATAAATATATGTGCTTTAAGTGTATTTTCATCAAAATCTTGGAGCTACAGATTTGGCTGATTCAATATATGTAAAATGTCTGGTATTAAACTGATCACAAGCCAATTACCCACATCAGATTTACTTTCTGTTAGAACATGTCTGGTACTTCATTTTTCAATTCAAATAAACATACTTATACAAATCCTTATGACAAATACCCACCTTCTGAGTTATAATTCTAAGACAGACAGATTTGGTACAGGAACCTTGACATGGGTTGGTTTCTTGAATGACATAAAGTATAATACCTTTCAATATTTCTTGCTTTGCTGACAGGGACTTTCTCCTAAAAGTATACCCACTAGAACTGTCTATTTTGTTGGTGCTAAAACCCTCTGGGACAATGTAGGATTTGGGATGGGTAAGCAGTATGCTTTTCTTTTACAAAGTAAATGAGAGACAAGAGACTGTAGAAGGGTTTTCTGGCATTAGTTTTGGTAAACTTGAGGATCTGGAAGCTAATTTCCTCAAAACTGTGTATACCCACACATTCCTGGAAAGCCTTTGTGTAGCCATTAGGTCCTAGTTTGAAGACCACCAGTCCAGTGGTCACAGCTGTAAGGAAAATCCAGATCTTATAAACCTATGAGTTTAGTACTCTTTCACAATATACTGTCTCATAAAATAGTCAACATCTTTCCTTTCAAAGTCCCAACTGCTGCTGTATGTGCAGACAAAATGGAAGGCAGAAACAATAACAAACTAGTTGTTAAGTTGTTGTATCTCCTAAAATAATACTTCTATAATAAGCTAGGAAAAAAAAGAAAAATAAGCTTATGCTTCCAAATATAAATATTTCGTATAATTTAAAAATAATACCTCCCAACCAAGACCAGCTACAAAATCTTCATATGCTTGACTTCCTCCTGTATTGGTGAGAATGGAGTGTTTGTCTTCTTGTCCTTCAGCAACATAAAATACTGCAATCTTGTGTGTCTCTCGGCTATAAAACAAAAGATTACACCATTAATTTAATCACTATTTTATCTACTCATTCATCCAACAATTAAGTTCTATGTACAAAGTATGTAGCAATAAAAAGATGAAAAAGAATTAGATCTTATAGTCTACAGAAGGAGATATAAATGCAATGTAAGTAAAAAATTACTACAAAATTGCCATTAGAATAAAAGACAGGCACGATCACTTTTGACTGCAAAAACAGAAACTTAAAGGAGAAGATAAAATTGAGTTAGATGAAGGTAAGAAAGATTTGACAAATGAAGAGAAAGAGCATCAGGAAGGACACATAGGTGTGAATACATAAGCATCTTAAGAGTTGTCTGTTTTGCAATGTAGCCGAATCCCATGGTTGAAGGGACTGCATTTTAGAACTAAGTAGGAGTACAGAGATGAGTGAGAAAGGACCCAATCCTTCAAAGTACTTACGAGGTAGAAGAAGAAACACACACAGTTATGTGTTGCTTAACAACAGGGATAAATTCTGAGAAATGTGTCTTTAGGCAATTCTGTTATTGTGTGAACATTATAGATGTACTCACATAAACCTAGATGGTACAGCCTACTACACAACCTTGGCTATCAGGTATATCCTATTGTTGCTAAGCTACAAATCTGTACAACATGTTACTGTAGGAATACTGTAGGCAATTATGACATACTGTTAAGTATGTGTGTGTGTAAATACACCTAAACAGAAAGGGTGCAGCAAAAATAAGGTATTATAATCTTATGAGACTACTGTCATATATGTGGTCCATTGTTGATGAAAGCATAGTTATGCAGCTTGGTTTACAAATATAAAACTGTATGGAGTAATAGCCAAGTTCTTAGACATTTTATTTTTAGTCCTCTCTAAAATTAAAAATGTTTATAAAAGCACATTTCTTGTTTGAAATTTAGCTTTGAAATTTGGCTTTCCAAGCTAACTAAGTCATGCTACATTTACTTTAGGTTGATTTAACAAAGCTTGGGTTAAAAAACTTTAAGACCATTAGTAAAGTTTTCACTACTATACCATGTAGGAATTAAAAAAAAAAAAAACCCTGCAACAACAAGTAAATAAGGATTAAAGTTCTTTAAAGAATTTAGTCTGACAACCAAATTTTCCCACACGTCTGGAGTAAGTTACCAAATCATGATAGTGGGTTGAATATCAGCAAGAAAGATGTTTTAGCTGCTTTCAATAATGGAATATTTTACTTTAGGTGATGAGCACATAGGCAAACTTTCAGTGCGTCAGATGTATCAGTAGGATATGCTAGTGTAAGCAGTAAAATATGATTTGGGGTTGGGTAGACTTCCAAAGCTGCAGAATAAGGGTCTACACAGCCTCTCTCCCAAGCAAAACACAGCTTATCTGCTGAAAAAATTTAAAACATTATTTAAAGTCCCTGTATATTGTCCTAAAGTCATAGAGCAAACAGGGAAATATTCATTCAAGGAAACTCACTAAATCTCAGTAACAACACAGAGCTTTTGATATATGAATTACAACTTGTTTCCTTGCCCCACTCCCTCAGCTCAATGTTGCAGAAGTTTTGCCCTGGGCATTCTACTCAGGCCTAGAAGACAGAGGTTCCCTCTCTCTCCAGCTTCCAATCTGGAGCTATGGCTTCATCAGGGAAGAGACAGGTTACTAGAGGCATTTCTCATCCTTCTCTAGCCCCATGTTACAGAAGATCTATTTTAGATAGGTGTGGCTGAAAGAACCAGGTCTGCTCTCCCTCCCTCCCTCTCTTAGGGCAGAAGCTCCAGGAACAAAACGTTGAGAGTCTCAATCTTCCCCATTCTAGCTTGCTCATAGGGTAGAGATTCTGCCAGAAGAGCGAGCTAAGACCAGGGACTGCCAACTCCTCCCAAGTGCTGACTTGTAGAGTGACACTGCCACTCCAGGAAAAGCTGGTCCGTGACCCCAGGTCAGGTTGTAGTGAGAGATAGGTTTTGCCTAAGGTGAAAAGCAGGTTATAAGGACAAAGAACTCTGTAGCAGTTCTGCCTGAAAGGGCTGACATTATTTGCAACAGAGCTTGGAGGAAAGCAATTAAGAGAAGCTGGCAGCCCTATGACAAGCAAAACAGACAGAACTTTAATAGAATCAGGAAACGAGACAGCCAAGAAGGACCCTTTGGGGATCACAGTCAATTTTGGAGTTCAAAAACCCTGTGCACATACACTAGGCTGCACCCAATAAGGAACAATTAGAGTAAGATGTAGGACGGACAGACATGAAAGCATTCCCAAAGTCACACAGAGACTTATCAAAACAAGGTAAATCCTCACTGGCACTGAATAACCTGAACTCAGGGTCGACTCCTGGGAAGCTAAGACTTAAAAATAACATCCAGTCATTCCTTGCAGTCTGGAAGACCGTGTGCATACCCAAGGATGTACCCTCTTTAGAGTAATCAGGAGTGAACCTTCAAGCTATTAGTCTCCTGGTGCATGTGGGACAAAAAAAACATAAACACTCTAAACTGTGATAGTAGCCTCCAAGCCACACACATCCAACAGTAAATGATAAAAATCAAATGGTAAGGGGAAAAAAATCATACTGGTAAGGGGACTAAGCACAAACTTTGACCAATAAGTACGTGATAACCCAGGGAAGACCCCTCATTAGCCAGGCTAAAAGAAAAACAATTTTTAAAAAATCTGAGCATGGAGATCAGAGGCTAATTACTGGGGGGAAACCAAGTTGTTAGAAAATAAACAAATGACCAAGCAAACACCAACCAACAATATATTTTTGGATTCAAAGACACAGATAAAGTTGAAGTCAAAGGAATGGAAACAAGTACCATAAAATAGAAACCAACAGAGCTACAGTGGCTATACTAATGTAAGACTTTAGAACAAAAAATGTTAGAGATAGAGATATTTCATAATGATACAATGTCAACCTAACAGGAAAATATGAAAATTACAAATATATATGCACCCAAAAACAGAGCCCCAAAATACATGATGCAAAACAAAGACAGAGCTGAAGGCAGAAACAGACATTTCCTCAATAATAGTTGAAGATTTTAATATCCCACTTTCAATAATGGACAGAACAACTAGAAAATATCAACAAGGAAACAGAAGACTTGAACAATAATATGACAACCGGACCTACCTGACATCTACAGAATACTCTATCCTACAGTAGCAAAAAATACATTCTTCTCAAGCATATGTGAAACAACTTACAGGATAGACCATAAAACAAGCCTTGGCCAGGTGCGATGGCTTACGCCTGTAATCCCAGCACTTTGGGAGGCTGAGGCGGGTGGATCACGAGGTCAGGAGATCGAGATCATCCTGGCTAACACGGTGTAACCCCGTCTCTACTAAAAATACAAAAAATTAGCCAGGCGTCGGTGGGGGGTGCCTGTAGTCCCAGCTACTTGGGAGGCTGAGGCAGGAGAATGGCGTGAACTTGGGAGGCAGAGGTTGCAGTGAGCCAAGACCGCGCCACTGCACTCCAGCCTAGGCGACAGAGCGACACTCCGTCTCAAAAAAAAAAAACCAAAAAACAAAAAAAAACAAGTCTTGATAAATTTAAACGATTTGAAATCATGCAAGGTATATTTTTTATCCACAATGGAATGAAAGTAGAAATCAATGAAAGAAAATTTGGGTAATTCACAAATGTGTGAAAATGTAACAATTTACTCCTAAATTACCAGTGGGTCAAAGAATAAATCTCAAGGGAAATGAGAAAATACTTAGAGATGAATGAAAATAAAAAATGAAAATAAAAAGAGAGAATGAATGAAAATATGGCCTGTAAGTAAAGAAGTGCTCATTGGGAAATTTACAGATCTAAATGCCTCTATTAAAAAAGATTTCATTCACCTCCTTTCAGAATGAAAGAACAAAAAGTTTTAAAAAAGATTTCATACCAATAACCAAACCTTCCACCTTACAAAACTGGCACAGTGGTTCATACCTGTAATCCCAGTACTTGGGGAGGCCAAGGTAGAAGAACTGCTTGAGCCCAGGAGTTCGAGACCAGCCTGGGCAACACAGAGAGACCCCATCTCTACAAAAAGAAAAAAACCAGCTGGGTGTGATGGTGCACACCAGTGGTCCCAGGGCCCCTACTTGGGGAGGCTAAGATGGGAGGATCACTTGAGCCTGGGAGTTCCAGGCTGCAGTGACCCATGATTGTGCCACTGCACTCCAGCCTGGGTGACACGGTGAGACCCTGTCTCCAAAAAAAAAAAAAAAGAAAAAAAGAAAGCACAATTAAATTCAAAGCAAGCAGAAGAAAGAAAAGAAAATAATAAAGACTACAGTGGAAATAAATAAAATAGAAGAGAAAAACAATAGAGAAAAAAATCAATGAACCCAAAAGTTGGCTCTTTAAGATGATCAACAAAATTAACCATCTTTAGCTAGACTAAGCAATAAAAAAAGACTCAAAATGACTACAGTCAGGAATGAAAGAAGGGACACCACTATATATTTTACAGAAATAAAAAATATTATAAGGAAATGCTATAAGCATTTGTATGCCAACAAATTAAATTAGATAAAATGATCAAATTCCTAGAAAGACACAATTTTTTTCTTTTTTTTTTTTTTGAGATGGAGTCTCGCTCTCTCGCCCAGGCTGGAGTGCAGTGGTGTGATCTCTGCTCACTGCAAGCTCCGCCTCCCGGGTTCACACCATTCTCCTGCCTCAGTCTCCCAAGTGGCTGGGACTACAGGTGCCCACCACCACGCCCGGCTAATTTTTTGTATTTTTAGTACAGATGGGGTTTCACCGTGTTAGCCAGGATGGTTTTGATCTCCTGACCTTGTGATCCGCCCTCCTCCGTCTCCCAAAGTGCTGGGATTACAGATGTGAGCCACTGCGCCTGGCCAAAAGACACAATTTCTAAAACCAACCTTAAAAAGAAACAGAATACCCGAATAGACCTATAACAAATGAAGACATTGAATTAATAATTTGATTAGAAAGGAAGAAGCAAAAATATCTGACTTGCACATGAGGTGACTTTTTATATAGAAAATCCTAAGGAATCCGCTAAAAAGGCTATTAGAGCTAATAAACAAGTTCAGCAAGGCTGCAAGATATAAGATCAAATACACAAAAACTGATGTTCCATACACTAGCAATAAACAAGCCAAAAACAAAAAACAAAATTTTAAAAATTCTTTTATAATAGCACCCAAAAGAATAATACTTGGGTATAAATTTACTGTGAAGTGCAAAACTTATATTTTGAAAATTATAAAACATTGTTGAAAGAAATTAAAGATCTACATTAAAAAAAAGTCATGTTCATGGGCCTAAAGACTTAATATTGTTAAGATGATAGCATCCCCCAAACTGATCTACAGATTTAATGTAATCCCTATCAAAATCCCAGCTGCCTTTGAAATAGAAATTGGCAAGCTTGGCTGAGTGTGGTCACTCATGCCTGTAATCCCAACACTTTGTGAGGCTGAGGCAGGAGGACTACTTGAGGCCAAGAGTTTAAGACCAGCCTGGGGCCGGGCATGGTGGTTCATGCCTATAATCCCAGCACTTAGGGAGGCCAAGGCGGGTGGATCATGAGGTCAAGAGATAGAGGGGGCGAGACCATTCTGGCCAACATGGTGAAACCTCATCTCTACTAAAAATACAAAAATCAGCTGGGTGTGGTTGCGTGCGCTTGTAGTCCCAGCTACTCGGGAGGCTGAGGCAGGAGAATCACTTGAACCTGGGAGGTGGAGGATGCAGTGAGCTGAGATCATGCCACTGCACTCCAGCCTAGTGACAGCGAGACTCCATCTCAAAAAAGAAAAAAAAAAAAGGAAAAAGAAAAACACCCAGCCTGGGCAACACAGTGAGACCCCGTCTCTACAAAAAAAAAAAATTGGCTGGGCATGGTGGCACATGCCTGTAGTCCTAGCTACTGGGGAGGATGAGGTGAGGTGGGAGGATCACTTGAGCCCAGGAGTTCCAGGCTGCAGTGAGCTCTGATCATGCCATTGCACTCTAGGCTGGGCAAAAGAGTGAGACTCTATCTCCACAAAAAAGAAAAAGAGAAAACAGGAAAAAAACCCTCTGAAATTGACTAGCTCATCCTAAAATTCACAGGAAAATGTAATAGACCCAAAATGGCCAAAACAATCTTGAAAAAGAATAGAATTGGAGAACTCATACTTCTTGATTTCAAAACTTGCTACAAAAGTCATCAAAGCACTCATAGTAATGATGTAAGATGAGACATACAAATCAGTGGAACAGAATCATGTGACCAGAAATAAACTCATATTTATAGTTAATTGCTTTTTGATAATGGTATCAAGACATTTCAATGAATAGTGTTTTCAACAAATGGTACTGGGACAACGAGATATCTACATGAAAAAGAATGAAGTTGGGGCCAGGCACAATGGCTCATGCCTGTAATCCCAGCACTTTGGGAGGCTGTTAGGAAGACTGCTAGAGCTCAGGAGTTCAAGACCAGCCTAGACAACATAGTGAGACCTCATCTCTACAAAAATTTAAAAATTGGCCAGGCGTGGTGGCATGCGTCTGCAGTCCCAGCTACCTGGGAGGCTGATGCAGGAAGATCACTTGAGCCCAGGAAGTTGAGGTTGCAGTGAGCTGTGACTGCATCACTGTACCCCAGCCTGGGTGACAGAATGAAACTCTGTTTCAAAAAAAAAAAAAAAAAAAAAGAAGTCAGACTCTTCCACCATATAAAAAATTGAATCAAATGACTCATAAATCAAAAATGTAAGGGCGGAAACTATAAAACTCATTAAAACAAAAAATAAAAAACAACAAAGGATCTTACATTAGGCGAGGTCTTCTTCTTCTTCTTCTTCTTTTTTTTTTTTTTTGAGACAGAGTCTTGCTCTGTCGCCCAGGCTGGAGTGCAGTGGCGCAATCTCGGCTCACTGCAAGCTCCGCTTCCCAGGTTCATGCCACTCTCCTGCCTCAGCCTCCTGAGTGGCTGGGACTACAGGCGCCCGCCACCACGCCCCGCTAATTTTTTGTATTTTTAGTAGAGATGGGGTTTCACCATGTTAGCCAGGATGGTCTCGATCTCCTGACCTCGTGATCCGCCCTCCTTGGCCTCCTAAAGTGCGGGGATTACAGGTGTGAGCCACCGTGCCCGGCCTAGGCAAGGTCTTTTTAAATACAACACAAAAACACAAGTGACAAAATAAAAATAGGTAAACTGAACTTTGTCAAAATTAAATTTTTTGTGCTATGAGTGATGCCATCATGAAAGTGAAATGACAATTTACAGAATGAGAAAAAAATTGCAAATCATATATCTGATAAAGAACTTGTATCTAGAACATACATATAAAGAACTTTAAAGTCAATAGTAAAAGACCAATTTTATTTTATTTTGTATTTTATTCTTTTTTTTTTTTGAGATGGAGTCTCCCTCTGTCATCCAGGCTGGAGGGCAGTGGCACGATGTTGGCTCACTGCAGCCTCTGCTTCCTGGGTTCAAGCGATTCTAGTGTCTCAGCCTCCTGAGTAACAGGGATTACAGGTGTGCACCACCATGCTTGGCTAATTTTTGTATTTTTAGTAGAGACGGGGTTTCACTATGTTGGCCAGGCTGGTCTTGAACTCCTGACCTCATGTGATCCACCTGCCTTGGCCTCCCAAAGTGCTGGGATTACAGGTGTGAGCCTCCACGCCCAGTCACATAACCCAATTTAAAAAATAGGCAAAGACGTTTATATTATTTTCCTAGGGTTTCTGTAACAAATTACACAAACTAGGTTGCTTTCAACAAAAAATATTTATTCTCTCACAGTGCTGTATGCTAAAAGTCAGAAATCAAGGCATAGACAGGGCCATGCACCTTCCAAAGGTTCTAGGGGAGCATCCTTCCTTGCCTCTTCTAAGATTCTAGCTGTTGCTGACAATTCTTCAGCATTTCTTGGCTTGTGGCTGTATGACTACAATTTCTGCTTCCATCTCTACATACCCATCTTTCCCGTGTATGCAGAAGTGTTTCTTCACGTGGCTTTCTTATAAGGACACAAGTAATCAGATTTAGGGTCAAATCTAGTGCAGTGTGACCTCATCATAACTCTGAAAACTCTACTTCCAAATTGCACTCTGAGTTTCAGGGTGGACATGAGATTCTGAGAGAATACAATTCAACCCAGTACACATTTAAATAGGCATTTTTTCAAAGAACATATATATAGTCAATTATCATAGCAATGAAAAATACTCATGATAAGTCATTAGGGAAATGCAAATCAAAATCATGAGATATTTTAGGCTGATCAAAGCTGTACAGGAAAAAGCAATACTAAAAAAATCTCACAAACTCACAAGATTCCACTTTATATCCACTAAGACGAGTATAATAAAAAAGAATGACAATAACGAGTGTAGGCTAGGGCATGGAGAGTATGTAACACTCATACACCATCGGTGGGAAGGTAAAATGGTACAGCTGGTGTGTAAAACAGTTTGCAGTTCCTCCAATGGTGAAACAGAGAGTTATCATATCATCCAGCAATTCTACTCCTAGGTATATATTCAAAACATGTCCACACAAAAAACTGTACATGAATGTTCACAGCAGCATTATTCATATTCGCCCAAAAGTGAAACCAACTGAAATGTCCATCGACTGATGAATGGATAAACAAATATTTATCAATATAATGAGATATTTTCTGGTAATAAAAAGAAATAAAGTAGAAACATGCTGCATCGTGAATGAACTTTGAAATCATCATGCTAAGTAAAAAAAAAGCTGCCACAAAAACCCACATATTATTTGATTCCATTTATATGAAATTTCCAGAATAGGCAAATTTATAGAGACAGAAAGTAGATATGTGTTATCTAAGGCTGGGGGGAAAGAAAGGCTGGTGGGTAATGGATACCAGGTTTCTTTTCAGAGGGACTAAAATAATCTAAAAATGAGATTGGGGTGATAGTTGTACAACCCTGTGAATATACTAAAAATATGTACACTTTAAATGAATTAACTGTATTGCATGTAAAATATGTCTCAGTCAAGATATTAAAATTTTAATTTGAAAGCATCTATTAAGTGTAAATTCTAATTGTGAAAGAAAAAAAACTCAGTGTTTTTGCTTCTTCAGGTAAAGGGCTATCAATTAGAGCTCATAAATAATAATTTATAAAATTGAGAAGAGCTGGATAGAAATCTTCATCTAATACTATATAAATTTAAAAGGTGAGAGAAGTATATGTGCCATATAGGAAAAAAACAGAAAATAAATCTTTAAAATGCAATAAAAGAGAAGCAGAGTTCAGCTGCCCTTTATGTCAATTAATCTTTCACTACTCCTTCTTATTTTTCTCCTTACTAACTATGGCTGCTAAAATGTTTTATATTGTCATTAGATTAATATGCACCACAATAGTGAATAATGAGGCAAATGTATTAGAAAAAATAGTTAAAATTAGTGAACTTGCAACTACAAATGTTCTATAAGAATATGTATAGTACTGGCAAAATATTATTAGCTCACTACTGGAAAACTCAAAGTGACATCTGTCAAGTTTTAAGCATTTCTAAATCCCTGTATATACCTTGCAATAAAATAATAATACATATCATTTTGTGATTTGAAATTTAAAACTCTGGTGGTTCAACCACAAGGAATAGGAAACAATTAGTCTAGGCAAAGAAAATAAAGAATCTATAAATGGTCTAGTGAGGTAAGTCTGTTAACAAAGTAATCTTTCATTTTCTCCCGCCCTAGTCCTCCCTAGACAAGTAATCAGGTTTGTTTCCAGGTTTCCTGGTTTAAGAGGAAAGCTCAAAAATTGTCTTACTGTCATGTAATTAGAATGAATTCTTACTTGAGCTCATTGTATTGAAAAAACTATGTAGTTTTCTTTAAAATTATTTTTAAAAAGCAAACAAATAAATGTCATGCATTCATTTAATGTAGTGTATAAAAAAATGTATGCTGACTCAAGGCAATGTCTCCCCTTCAAGGTATGCATGAGAATGGAGGTTTGTATGAGAATTGAGGTATGTATTCATACCACAATTCATTCAAGGTATGTATGAGAACGGAGGCAGTTTAGCAGGAGCCAAGAAATAAAAAAGCATAAGGTAATTTAAATAAACTGAATAGCCAAGATGGCTGGTATGGGTTGAGCTCTAGACTGAAGAGTCTGGCCAGGCATTATTACGGAGTCACTAAGGAGTGTTCTCATTAACATCAAATTTTAACATTAGAAAGATTATGTTAGTGGTCAGGATTGTCTAGATGGGGAAGAGTCAGGAGATGAGATCCCACAGAGTACTTAGACAGTTGTTAAAACTGTCTTGGAAAGAAGTGATAAGGACATGAATCAATGAGTTGGGAGCGGTAAAGGCAAGAAGAGACAGAGTTGAGAGATAAAAAGAAGAATGGACATCATGATTATGAAAACCTAAAGGCAAGGGAAAGGGAAATGGTCAAATTTGGGTAACTCTGAAAGGGTACTTCTAAACATAAATATGACCATCAGGAGGAAGATCCGATTTTGAAAAGAAATGTGACCTAGAAATGATAGTAGAGAGGCAGGTAAAAGAAAAATGAGGGAGATACCTATGTTATGAAGGTAAGAAACAGAAAATGAACCAGTGAAGACCTGGAATAATTAGAGAATTAGGAGTTGAACTGAGTAATTTTAGTGTCATAGAAGTTGGGGCAGAGGACTTTAAAATGATCAGAGAGAATTTTAAAAAGACAAAATAGATAACAATATTAGATATTTAATATAGGGGATTTAATATACAATAGATTTTTAGAGCAGTGAAACTATTCTGTGTGATACGCTAATGGTAGATACATGTCAGTACACATTTATCAAAACCAATAGAAAGAATGAGCCCTAATGTAAACTTTGGACTTCAGACACTAATGTAAGATGTAAATAATAGGGGAAACTCTACAGGGGGAATGGAGAATATATGGAAACTCTGTACTTTCCTATCAGTTCTTTTGTAAATCGAAAACTGCTCTAGTTTTAAAACACACCTATGAAGTTAAATTTAAATTTAATCAGATAAATTAATGAGGCTGGTGAGGACTAAAAGAACTTTAGACTTGATGGTCAGGATGCTAACCTTCAGAAAGACAGTTTCAGTATAGCAGTAGAGGTAGGAGCTAGGTAGTTCTGAGGTAAGCAAGACAGAAAAAGTGGTATGATTCCTGTTCCCAAGGACTTGACCATCTAGTACCAAGATATATTGTTATGGAGAACAATCAGAATTGAGAACCCACAGACTACTTAGAGAGTTCTTATAACCGTCTTGGAAAGAATAAGAATAGCTAAACAATAATGATAATAATAACTATGCTATATGATAAATGCTATGACAGGGACATGCTACAGGGTTCTGTGAAAGCATATGGAAGGAGATTCAAACATAGTCTGGGAAGGAAGGTGAAGCATAGGAGTAGATTAAGGTAAAGCTTTCCATATAAAGTGATGTTTAAGCTGAGACTTCAGGAGTGGACAGGAGGGGGACTGGGAATGGTGGTTCACACCTGTAATCCCAGCACTTTGGGAGGCTGAGGCGGGTGGATCACCTAAGGCGAGGAGTTACAGATCAGTCTGGCCAACATGGTGAAACCCCGTCTCTACTAAAAATACAAAAATTAGGCTGGGCACAGTGGCGCATGCCTGTAATCCCAGCACTTTGGGAGGCTGAGGCAGGCAGATCGCTTGAGGTCAGGAGTTCGAGACCAGCTTGGCCAATATGGTGAAACCCCATTTCTACTAAAAATACAAAAATTAGCTGGGCGTGGTGGCGCATGCCTGTAATCCCAGCTACTCAGGAGTCTGAGGCAGGAGAATCACTTGAACCCCGAAGGCGGAGGTTGCAGTGAGCCGTTATCATGTCATTGAACTCCAGCCTGGGTGACAACAGCAAAACTCCATCCTGTGTGTGTGTGTGTGGGGTGGGGGGGGGGGGGGGAAGGGGGTGAATTTACAGCCTAAGATTATTTCATTGTTAAATAATAAAGTATGAAACAAAGATAAATAGAAATCAATTCCAGATATAAGAAAAAGGAAATAAACTTTATAAAAAAGAAAATAATGAAACAGAAAATAATGAGTTAGAAACAGAACATAACAGAATGTAACAAATTAGGACCTGTTTCTTTGAAAAGACTGAGCAGATTGTCTGCATCAAGAAAATTTTAAAAAACCACAAAAAACTAAAATGAAAAAGAAAATTTAATAAAAATTATAACACCATGTATGAATCTCTACTAGTATCTATTTAGAAGTCTCAATGAAATGGATTTTTAGAAAATAGAAAACAAAACAAAACAAAAAGTAAAATTTTCCCAAGAGCTAAAACCTGGAAAGAGTAATAAGGATGAAACAAACTGAAAGAAAAATTAGAAATGTTATGATTTCTTCCAAAACTTTAAGCAACAGATAATATTCATGTTATGAAGCTGGGTATAACCTCAATTCTAAAAACATAACAGGAACAGGACAAAAAATAACTACATAATCTGCTAATAGTGGACTATAACCGAACTCAAAATGAAATTCTGGTAAATCTAACACAACGAGAAGCCAAAAGATCAGGCAGGGTTTAGCTCAAAAATGCAAATATCATTTGATATTAGCAGTCTAGTGATATTAAAATACAATATACACCAATTAGTTAAAAAATCAAAACTATATGAAAATTTGAATAGATGCTGAAAATAATTTTGATATAATTTAACATCCTTTCCATATAAGAACTCCTAGAAAACAGGGTACTTTTTCAGCACAATAAAAATTATCTTTTTAAAACTAATAACTAATATCTTCCTTAATGATGAAACAGAAGAGTTGTTTTCATCAGAATCAGGAAAGACAAGGATGTCCACTGTTACTATACTATTAAACACTATCCTGCAAGTTCTGGTCAGTGCAATAAGACGTGATATAAGCAAAGACAAGCATAACTACTAGAAAGGAGATTATCTGTAGATAATGATTATATATCTAGACAAATCCTGAGACAGACAATAAAATGCTTAAAATCAATAAGAGAATTCACTTCAGTGTTTGTAAACAAAGTAAATATTAAAAAGAGAAAAACCTAGAAAACGTAATGGGGGAAAAATCCTATTCAGAATATCAATAAAACAATAAAACACCTAGAAATATACAAACAAGAAATGTCTGGGTCTCAGAATAAATGAAAACATACTATAATTACTAATGGGAAGAATGATGATTATGATGGTGCTTTGCTTTTTCTACATGAGAGTTTTATTGAATATCCAATCAAATACCAATGGGATTTTTTTTTCTGAAAAACAACAGCATAATTTTAAATGTATCTGGAAGAATAAGTAGGTGAGACTATCAAAGAAAAGAGGAATAATGTGTGTGGGTGCAGTGAGGAAGAAGACTTGGCCTATCAGATATTAAAATATATTATAAAGCTATATTAAAGTGTAATATTTACACAAAAATGATAGACAAATCTAACCAGAAGACTGTAAGTGTTAGAAGGAGCAAGATTACATGAAAAAAGATAAATAAATAAAAGAGTACAACTAGAATGTAACAAAAAGAATGAATACCCCATTTTCCATGATGTGATTTATTACACACTGCATGTCTGTATCAAAACATCTTATGTACCCCATTAAATATATACACCTACAGGGAAATTTATAGCACTAAATGCCCACAAGAGAAAGCAGGAAAGATCTAAAATCGACACCCTAACATCACGATTAAAAGAACTAGAGAAGCAAGAGCAAACAAATTCAAAAGCTAGCAGAAGGCAAGAAATAACTAAGATCAGAGCAGAACTGAAAGAGATAAGAGACACAAAAAACCCTTCAAATAAATCAATGAATCCAGGAGCTGGTTTTTTGAAAAGATCAACAAAATTCATAGACTGCTAGCAAGACTAATAAAGAAGAAAAGAGAAGAATCAAATAGACACAATAAAAAATGACAAAGGGGGTATCACCACCAATCCCACAGAAGTACAAACTATCATCAGAGAATACTTAAACACCTCTAAGCAAATAAACTAGAAAATCTAGAAGAAATGGATAAAGTCCTGGACACATACACCCTCCCAGGACTAAACCAGGAAGAAGTTGAATCTCCGAATAGACCAATAACAGGCTCTGAAATTAAGGCAATAATTAATAGCCTACAAACCAAAAACAGTCCAGGACTACAAACCAAAAACAGTCCAGGACCAGACGGATTCACAGCCAAATTCTACCAGAGGTACAAAGAAGAGCTGGTACCATTCCTTCTGAAACTATTCCAATCAATAGAAAAAGAGGGAATCCTCCCTAACTCATTTTATGAGGCCAACATCATCCTGATATCAAAGCCTGGCAGACACAACAAAAAAAGAGAATATTACATCAATATCCCTGATGCAAAAATCCTCAATGAAATACTGGCAAACCAAATCCAGCAGCACGTCAAAAAGCTTATTCACCACGATCAAGTCGGCTTCATCCCTGGGATGCAAGGATGGTCCAACATACGCAAATCAATAAACGTCATCCATCATATAAACAGAACCAATGACAAAAACCACATGATTATCTTAATAGATGCAGAAAAGGCCTTTGACAAAATTCAACAGCTCTTCATGCTAAAAACTCTCAATAAACTAGGTACTGATGCAACGTATCTCAAAATAACTAGAGCTATTTTATGACAAACCCACAGCCAATATCATACTGAATGGGCAAAAACTGGAAGCATTCCCTTTGAAAACTGGTACAAGACAAGGATGCCCTCTCTCACCACTCCTATTCAACATAGTGTTGGAAGTTCTGGCCAGGGCAATCAAGCAGGAGAAAGAAATAAAGGGTATTCAATTAGGAAATGAGGAAGTCAAATTGTTCCTATTTGCAGATGACATGATCGTATATTTAGAAAACCCCATCGTCTCAGCCCAAAATCTCCTTAAGCTGACAAGCAACTTCGGCAAAGTCTCAGGATACAAAATCAATGTGCAAAAATCACAAGCATTCCTATACATCATTAACAGACAAACAAGAGAGTCAAATCATGAGTGAACTCCCATTCACAATTGCTACAAAGAGAATAAAATACCTAGGAATCCAACTTACAATGGATGTGAAGTTCTCGTCAAGGAGAACTACAAACCACTGCTCAACAAAATAAAAGAGGACACAAACAAATGGAAGAATGCTCATGCTCATGGAGAGGAAGAATCAATATCATGAAAATGGCCATACTGCCCAAGGTAATTTATAGATTCAATGCCATCCCCATCAAGCTACCAGTGACTTTCTTCACAGAATTGGAAAAAAACTGCTTTAAAGTTCATATGGAACCAAAAAAGAGCCCACATTGTCAAGACAATCCTAAGCAAAAAGAACAAAGCTGGAGGCATCATGCTACCTGACTTCAAACATACTACAAGGCTACAGTAACCAAAACAGCATGGTACTGGTACCAAAACAGATATATAGACCAACAGAACAGAACAGAGCCCTCAGAAATAATACCACACATCTACGACCATCTAATCTTTGACAAACCTGACAAAAACAAGAAATAGGGGAAAGGATTCCCTATTTAATAAATGGTGCTGGGAAAACTGGTTAGCCATATGTAGAAAGCTGAAACTGGATCCCTTCCTTACACCTTATACAAAAATTAATTCAAGATGGATTAAAGACTTAATTATTAGACCTAAAACCATCAAAACCCTAGAAGAAAACCTAGGAAATACCATTCAGGACATAGGCATGCGCGAGGACTTCATGACTAAAACACCAAAATCAATGGCAACAAAAGCCAAAATTGACAAATGGGATCTGATTAAACTAAAGAGCTTCTGCACAACAAAAGAAACTGTCATCAGAGTGAACAGGCAACCTACAGAATGGAAGAAAATTTTTGCAATCTACCCTTCTGACAAAGGGCTAATACCCAGAATCTACAATGAACTCAAACAAATTTACAAGAAAAAAACAAACAACGCCATCAAAAAGTGGGCAAAGGATATGAACAGACACTTCTCAAAAGAAGACATCTATGCAACCAACAGACACATGAAAAAATGCTCATCATCACTGGTCATTAGAGAAATGCAAATCAAAACCACAATGAGATACCATCTCACAACAGTTAGAATGGCAATCATTAAAAAGTCAGGAAACAACAGATGCTGGAGAGGATGTGGAGAAACAGGAACGCTTTTACACTGTTGGTGGGAGTGTAAATTAATTCAACCATTGTGGAAGACAGTGTGGCGATTCCTCAAGGATCTAGAACTAGAATTACCATTTGACCCAGCAATACCGTTACTGGGTATATACCCAAAGGATTATAAATCATGCTACTATAAAGACACATGTACACATATGTTTACTGCGGCACTATTCACAATAGCAAAGACTTGGAACCAACCCAAATGTCCATCAATGATAGACTGAATTAAGAAACTGTGGCACATATACACCACGGAATACTATGCAGCCATAAAAAAGGATGAGTTAATGTCCTTTGCAGGGACATGGACGAAGCTAGAAACCATCATTCTCAGCAAACTATCACAAGGATAGAAAACCAAACACCACATGTGCTCATCCATAGGTGGGAATTGAACAATGAGATCACTTGGACATAGGGTGGGGAATATCACACATTGGGGCCTGTTGGGGGATTGGGGGCTGGGGTAGGGATAGAATTAGGAGAAATACCTAATGTAAATGATGAGTTGATGGGTGCAGAAAACCAACATGGCACATGTATACGTATGTAACAAACCTGCACGTTGTGCACATGTACCCTAAAACTTAAAGTATAATACAAAAAAAGTAAATAAATATATACACTTACAATGTGCCCACAAAAATAAAACATAAAATAAAAATGATAGACAAAGCAACAGAAATAAACAGCTGTGAAGCAGAGAGCTTAATATTTAATAAAGGAAGCATCAAATCAATGGCAAAGGTATAGTTTATTCAACAAATTATTAAAATAGACTGTTTTTCAACATTCAAACTAGTTCCAGTTATCATTCCACAAATCAGAATATATTTCAAAATGAATAAAGAATTAAATGTAAAATAATTACCACCTCAATGAAATAAAGATCTAGAAGGACAGGCTGGGCACAATGGCTCATGCCTATAATCCCAGCACTTTGGGAGGCTGAGGCAGGTGAATCACTTGAGGCTAGGTGTTCAAGGCCAGCCTGGCCAACATGGCAAAACCCTGTCTCTTATACTAAAAGTACAAAATTAGCCAGGTGTGATGTGTGGTCAGAAGGCTGAGGCACATGAATCACTTGAACCTGGGAGGTAGAGACTGCAGTGAGCTGAAGTTGTGCCATTGCACTTCCAGCCTGGGCAACAGAGGAAGACTCTGTCTCAAAAAAAAAAAAAAAAAAATCTAGAGAGAAATAAGGAAATGTACTAGAATATTTAACTGATTTCAAGACAGAACTGTTTAAGCACAACAAATAATTCAAGAAATCCAAAGAAAAAAATTGAGAGAAATGATACATAAAACGAAAAAATATGTAGGTTAAATGATCTGAAGTTGACAACTGAAAACTAAACAACCAGGAAAGCTCCCACGAATAGCACGAAAGTTAATCTCTCTCTCTCTCTCACACACACAGACATACACACACACAGACACACAGACATACACACACACACGGAGAGTTCTTACAATTAAGAAAAATTCCTAAATAGATAACTAGAAAAAGAACACCAACAGAGAATTTGAAAACAGATGAAAATTTCCTACAAATATGTGGAAAATATTAACATCACTAGCAGAAGAGAAAAAAAAATTAAAGAGGTACCATGATCTGCTTCTCAAGCTATAAAGGTTAAAAAAGGGTGATTAGTATCTGGTGATGGCCAGGTTGAAGTTATATAGGTGTTGTTACAAAATGTTGGTGAAATTACAAATTATTACTTAATAGAAGCAATTTCCCAATATACATGGCATGAAATATCCTGATACGATTTGACCTAAATAATTCTATTCCTGGGACTCTATCCTGCGGCAAGAAATTAAAAACAACTTAAATGTCCAACAATCATAAAACCTGGCATCATAAAAGATTATTTTTAGGCCGGGCGCGGTGGCTCACGCCTGTAATCCCAGCACTTTGGGAGGCCAAGGCGGGTGGATCACGAGGTCAGGCGATCGAGACCATTCTGGCTAACATGGTGAAACCCTGTTTCTACTAAAAATACAAAAACAAAATTAGCTGGGCGTGGTGGCGGGCAAGTGCCTGTAGTCCCAGCTACTCTGAAGGCTGAGACAGGAGACTGGCGTGAACCCGGGAGGCGGAGGTTGCAGTGAGCCGAGATCGCACCACTGCACTCCAGCCTGAGCGACACAGCAAGACTCCATCTCAAAAAAAAAAAAAGTTATCTTTGAAGAGTATCTAAATGACTGAGGAAATGCTCACAATATAATACAACGCAAAAAAAAAAAAAAAAAACAACTTGGTAATATCCCTATGATTCCAGTTCCGTAAAAAAAAAAAAAAAAAAAAGGAGTCCAGTGTTATATAGATTATATTTTTGTTTTATATTTTCTGTAATAACCAAATAATTATTTTTAAGATCATTTTGAGAAAAGCTAAAAACAACAACCAAAACCAGTTAGAAATTACAGGAAGTGAGTAAAGATCATATTTCTCCATAAATTTGGTAGTAAAAGGAATGAGAGATCTGGATAGGACTATAGCTTGAAAGTAGAGTAACTGAGGAAAGTTTTGTTTTATGCTTTGTTTTGTTTAAAGGCAGATAACAAACAAGTTTATTAAGAGGAACACGAAGAAATATAACATAAAGAGGAGATAACTTTTTGAAGACGATCCTGAAGCAGGCAGAGATGGCAGAAAGCAGAAGTACAAATAGAAAAAAAAAAAGGCTTTTCTCAAACTGAAGGTGAGCAAGAAACGATGGCTCAATACAGAAATTTTAAAGAAGAGAGGAAGATATAGAATTGTTTGATGTGGGAATGGTCTGAATCATCTTACTCACTATGCATTCCTATGGGTAGCTTTTTTCAAACTTGCTTCCCAATCTGTCAGAATCACTGGATTTAATTAATGAGAGATGTGACTAAGGTTTGCTTAAACATGGGAAAAACCAAAGGCTATTTTACAGGTCCAGTTAGTTTTCTGTGATTCAAAAGATGATTCTGAAATGCATAAAAAAGGCATAAACAAGCCAGGCGCGGTGGCTCACGCCTGTAATCCCAGCACTTTGGGAGGCCGAGGCGGGCAGATCACAAGGTCAGGAGATCGAAACCATTCTGGTTCACTCAGTGAAACCCCATCTCTACTAAAAAATACAAAAAAAAGTTAGCCGGGTGTGGTGGTGGGTGCCTGTAGTCCCAGCTACTCCGGAGGCTGAGCGGAGATCATGCCACTGCACTCAAGCCTGGGTGACAGTGGGAGACTCTGTCTCAAAAAAAAAAAAAAAAAAAAAAAGGCATAAACAATTCAAAGACACCCAACATTCTATGCAGTCCTAAATTTTCCTTAAAAAACTTTTGCTCAGAAAGTTATAAATCAATAACACAGTATTATATACTATTTAAAATATTATTCACAGTATTATTCTAAAAGAGAAATACCTGAGAGTTGCTAGTTATGTGAAGATTTTCCAACAACTTACCACTGCCTTGAATCCAAGTTCCTAAGTTCTCTAAGTAGCTTTTCATTTTTCTTCAGGAGATGAAAGCTCCTCCTAAATAGAGAGATTTATAAACATTTTCATCACCTTTGCAGTGAATGACAAGACAGTCCCGGAAATACTTTCCACTCTACTCATGCAACTTTTCTACTTTTCTTGCCTTTTCATACTTCTAACACAAAGGAGAACAGACCCTAAAAAAAATGTAAAGAATATACGTCATTATTTCCACCAGGTGTTCATACATTTCTGCTAGTGGATCATATCAATTGGCCACTTGAATCTTTCCTTGCAGATGTTGTGAGCCTCCTAAACTCATATCCAGGAAAATGGATAAAAGTACTTTGTATTTCTTTTCAAGAGTCTCATAAAAATATGTGAGAAAGTTGTATCTCATGAGAAATAAAATATTCACAGAATCTATATCATTATCAAGTAAGCAAGTGTAATCCAGATGGAATTTTCTTTCTTCCTTGTTTTATAATTTTTAGACTACAAAGCAGTGAATAATTTTACCAAATCCCTTCCATGGGTGCTAAATATGTACAAATTATTTTCATAAAATCAATGCTTGCTGAAGTAAAATACAGCTTCTCATCTTTAATTTTTCCCAAGGGACAACATACGGACCATTCTACAGCAAAAGAGAGTAGAATGCATTTATACCATAACTGACATAACTGAGTGGCAATTACCTATATTTGGTCATACCATATGGCAAACTGTTCCTGAGATATAACATTTCCTATAAGGCAGAGGATATTCTCTTCTAATAAACGGCTTTCCTATATTCCTTATTCCCTTCTAATAAGAGGCTTTCCTATAAGGCAGAGGATATTCCCTTCTAATAAGCGGAAGAGTTTTAAATCAAGTAAGAGTATAAACACTAAGCAAACAAGCAGATCTCTATTTCAATGCTTGACATACATTTGAATTACTTTAAGATTTGTTCGTTCACTGATATCTGAGCTTCCCCTCCTACCATAAATTGACAGAGACAATACATTACCCCTCCTTCCACTACCTACAGGGTTTCATGACATAGGAATTAAAACCTAAATGTATATTAATAATGCTTTACATTAGTGTACAATGCCAGTGTTTTATATACATTATCTGATTTAATTCTTCCCAGTATGTGAGGTGGGTACTACTCTCAATTTGTAGACTGTAGCCTGAGGCTCAAAAGTTAAGTAACTTTAAGCTAGGTCTTCTGATTTAAGCCCATTGTTCTTTTCATTTAGCTCCTACCTAACTTACTTGAATACCTCATGAGTTTATTGTAAGTTTTTAATAAGGTTTTGTAACATGCATCAGAAAACAAAATAATTTTTAAAACTTCAGATTCTTTTTTTGATTTGACCTTGAATCCTGAGTTAATTTCCCTGATTCAAACCGGAAATAATCATATTGCAGTTTCTAAAAAAAAAATTATTAGGCTTACATGAAGGTTGAAAAATGAGCTATAATTTCTAAGTCAAATAGTTCCAGTAGTTATTTTGAAAATATTGATAATTTGCTGGATTATTTTATTCCCCTGAATCCCAATATAACTCAGTGGTCTCAAAAAAAAATCTGCAAAAAAATGAGTCAAAGAACTAATTGGTAGATAAAATTTAGTGAGGAAAAGAACAGAAAATAAAATGCTTTATCAGAAGATGAATAAGACCGAAAAAAAAAAAAAAAGAAAAAATTTCTCCCTTATGCTTACCGTTTGTCCCAGGAATTCATTCCCAATATACTAAGAAGCAATCTGCAATAATAAAATGCTGACTGAGGTTTTTGAGGTATTGGTTCATCTTGTTCCACAGCTTTCATGTTTAAGTCATTAAAGTGCTTCTCAACAAATTCTTTTTCTTCTGTATGTTGCTTAAGGATAGCATTAATAACATCATTTTCTTGTTTTTCAGAAATGCACACAGGTTGTGGAGCAGGAATATTAAGTGAGATTCCAGTTCTCTGTAAGCATTCAGGACTAGTAACACCCAAATACTGCAAGAGCTCATCAAGAACATCTTCTTCATCTCTTATTGTATCCCAAGTTGGTACAGTTTCTCTAAATCTTTTAAACTGGAGAGAAAGTCCATCTTTTACGGTTATATCTTCTAAGCATTCATTAGATGTCGGAGGCTCTTCTGGCTTCTCTTGGTGAGACAATGAAAGCATGAAAGATGTAGGTTCTGACAAGCCACTTACAGGAGGTGGGCCATACAGTATAGCAGAATCCCATGAATATTTTCCAGAGAGATCACGTACTATGATTCTGACATTTGAATTGGCTGATGCAAGGCCAGCAGATAAACCTCCTCCAGGCATATTCTCTTCTGATCTGATCTGGATACAGGACACTAAGGTTGTATTATTTAACACAAAGAACTGGATATTTGGACTCTCAAAGAGTTCAGGAGAAAGTTCAGTACTTTCACTGTAATGATTGTCGTGATTTTCACACACCTGACTTGTTAGCATAGCAGGACCACCGCTCATTGGATAATGGCCCAGGTGATTTACCAGATGTGTAATAACAGTGCGGGCTGCTATAGAGATTAATCCATGCTGCATTTGAGTTTTCACTGGAAATAAAAAATATAAATGAATGGGAATATTGCTGCTTCCTAGGGAATCATATGACAATGAAATATTAGACAACAAATAGGGATTTTATCACATTGTTAATATTTCCAGTTTAGATTCCATAATACAGTAATGATGGCAAAAAAGGAGGAAAACCATTCTTTGATGAAGTTTTGTTTATAAGGAAGACCTTTCTGAAATTTTTGCTAATGGGTCCATAATTTAAACCAAGGCCTTTATATATAGATCACTTTGAAGAATCAGAAGTATTATAAATCAATCATGAAATCACTAATGCACATTAAAAAGCCAAAGACGGCCAGGTGCTGTAACACATCTGAAATCTCAGCACTTTGGGAGGCTGAGGCGGGAGGATTGCTTGAGACCAGTCTGGGCAACATAGGGAGACTATGTCTCTATAAATAAAAATAATAATAGTAATACTAAAATTAGCCCAGTGTGGTGGCCACTGTACTCCAGCCCAGGTGTCAGAGCAAGACCATGTCTCCCACAACAACAAAACAAAATAAAACAAAAAACAAAAACAAAAACATAATGAAATCTGTTCAACTGATAAGTTTCTTATCTCCATTAATAGATTCCAGATTCAGAGACAGTTTGTAGATGCCTTAAATGTCATTTAAATCTGGCTTTTACAGATAATGTAAAAATGTTTCAGAAAAGGTGACATTCCAAGTAAACTCCGGGAATCAGAATAAATTTAAACAGCAAGTCAGTATAGCTAGTACCTGTATGCAAAAGAGATTTTATTTTAAAAGCAAAAATATTTGCTGGATCTACTTATATTTTTCTAAGGTATTCTTCAGGTCAATGTGGTACAGTCTAGCAGTCAGTTGTATGCAAGAAATATTTTTTTCCCTCAAGTACAATACAGAGGAAAACAGGTAAGAAGCATATTCATACGAGTAACTAAAAAAATCATAGGAAACAGTCAAAAGAGAAAACTCAAAGAATATAGTAGTTTAAGAGGCCTGGAAAGGCAAGATGCCCAATGTCAGAATCTGAAGGAGGAGGAAAAGGGAGGGGAGGGGGAGAAGGAAGAAGGGAACACAGAGACAGTAACGAGGTAAAGGAGAAAGGAGACAGACAATAATTTGTCAAAGCCAACTAGTTAAAGACCGCCATTCTAAGGAGGGCTAAAGACTGTGATTCTGAGGGGTGTTGATGTGGAAGCCAGTTTGGGATTGAGTGGTGTCAGGAAGTAGGGACAACTAGCTGACTGTTATCTTAATGCGTTTCATCTAAGAGGTAGGAGGAGAGTTGTTTTTGGTAAAGAAGCATTAGTCATTCATGTTAGGATGTTTAGGGGGTGTGTGTGTGTGTGTGTGTGTGTGTGTGTTTAAAACATTCTTGTCTCTACTTAATTTTAGACATAATTACAGAGTGATTGTGTTTCTGTATTATTCTACCACAGTAACAGAGTGATCTTGTCTTGAGTATTTATATTCTCTGACAGTTAATTAGTTGGGAACACCAGGGCCTGTCAGAACAACTAAGGATTTGTCAGAATAAATACAAATTTATTTATTTATTTATTTTTTTATTTTTGAGATGGAGTCTCGCTCTGTCTCCCAGGCTGGAGTGCAGTGGCGCAATCTTGGCTCACTGCAACCTCCACCTCCCGTGTTCAAGCGATTCTCCTGCCTCAGCCTCCCAAACAGCTGGGGACTACAGGCGCGCACCGCCACGCCCAGCTATTGTATTTTTAGTAGAGACTGCGTTTCACCATATTGGCCAGGCTGGTCTTGAACTCTTGACCTTGTGATCCACCCACCTAGGCCTCCCAAAGGGTTGGGATTACAGGCGTGAGCCACTGTGCTGAGCCAAATACAGATTTAAGAATGTTCTGATTTACATACATGCCCAATTTTATGTGTTTAGTTTGATGACTTTTGGTAATTATATATAATTGTGTAACCACCAACATAATCAATATAAAAAATTCCCTCATCAAAAAAGAATATTTTATTTTATGTAAACTATACCTCAATAAACCTAACTTTAAAAAAAAAGGGAGACCAGTTTGTGCACTGATGGTATAATCACTTTAAAAGAGGCAAGAGAAAAGAATAGTGTTACATTTTCAAGGCTTTAGCCTTCAAGATTCAGAACCAATACCACTGGGTATAGGCAAACCAACCAACCAGCTGCTATGCCATTGATGTTAATACCATCTTCTCCAATTCCAAAAAAGAATAGTTTCCTTTGGGCTTTGGTTGATTTTAAAATGTTGCTGAGTATCAAAATTTTAATTTCCCATTATCAGCCAAGTTATGTCTACATAAATGTAAATATAAACATTTCTTAGCTTATTTACTGGTTTTTTTTTTTTGGGACAGAGTCTTGCTGTGTCACCCAGGCTGGAGTGCAGTGGCACGATCTTGGCTCACTGCAGCCTCTGCCTCCCGAGTTCAAGCAATTCTCCTGCCTCAGCTTCCCAAATAGCTGGTATTACAAGCATGTGCCACCACGCCTGGCTAATTTTTACATTAGAGAAGAGGCTTCACCATGTTGGTCAGGCTGGTCTTGAACTCTTGACCCCAAGTGATCCACCAGCCAGGGCCTCCCAAAGTGCTGGGATTACAAGTGTGAGTGACTGCACCCACCCAACATTTCTTAGTCTAAAAGTTCCAATTAATGGCTGGGTGTGGTGGCTCACACTTGTAATCCCAGCACTTTGGGAAGCTGAGGCGGGCCAATCACCTGAGGTCAGTAGTTCGAGACCAGCCTGGCCAACATGGCGAAACCGTGTCTCTACCAAAAAATACAAAAATTAGCTGGGTGTGCCTCAGGAGGCTGAGGCAGGAGAATCACTTGAACCTGGCAGGCGGAGGTTGCAGTGAACTGAGATCGCGCCACTGCACTTCAGCCTGGGTAACAAGAGTGAGGCTCTGTCTTAAAAAAATAAAAAAGAAAATAAATAAATAAAAGTTCCAATTATATTGAAATTTTTAAAAGTTATTTTTATGATTATTACTAATAACCAGCCATTCAATACTAGATTAATAACACTAAATGATTAACTTTAATTCAATCCTTCATTTTTAAGAATGTAAGGAAAGTAAAAAGTATTTTGAGCTATATGACAAGAAATAGGTAGCTTGAATCTAGTGTTTGCTTTCCCTTCCCTAATTATAACCTAGAATATAATAAATGTTCACACTATAAGGGGATAATCTAGCTGGTATTCCTCATTTTGCACATGAGGACAAATGGGTTCGCAAAGTTAAGTGATTTGCCTGCCATAGGAGATGTCTTTTGCTTCCCAGCTCAGTGTTATTTCCCTCTTTACCACAGCTCTAATTTCCATACTTTTTTCTCTTTTGTTAAACTGTCTTTTTCTTTATGAGATATGGAAACAATGAATTCAAAATTTATTTTTCTCTCTGTATAAGAACTTCAAAAAAGTATTACTTAGGATAAATTACTAAATAAAAAGCAAAGATCAATGGAAAAAAATCAAGACTAAACCGAATTTTAAATGGTAACAAAAATTAAAATTAGTCATTTTAAAATTTTTGATATAGAAAAAGATTTTTCTATTCTTCACTCTCCCTTTTGAGTGACATACTTAAATAGATGACTCATTCTAAGCATTAAATCCTCTTTGCATAACATAGAAGTTTACACTCTGAAGAAGGGAAAGAGTATAATTGAAAAGAAACCACCATAGAAAAGAGAAGAATCCCTGGCTTTGGCTTGCTCTGTGATTCATGATCACAAATACATAAGATTCCTTAAACTCCATTTTTCTGTAAGAATTGCATACTTATTTGTAAAGATGAGTTAAAAACTTTTACATACAAAACTGGATATAACAGAAACAATAAAAAATCATTCAATTTAAAGAGCATTATAAGTAACATAGGTCTTATGAGTTTCTTTTTCAAACCTACTTATAAATAAACTCCAAGAATGAGCCAGGTCTTTCCCTAAAACATAAACCTCGAAGCTCAGGTACCAGAGTATCCCATATGTCTTCTTCCCAAAGGTAGAGACAATGAGAATGCAGTTTAAATGAGCTTGTTCACAAGTCTGTCATAATTACTCACATTGAAAACACGTAAAGAATAAATTTAAATCTCAGATGTAGGTAAAGCATTTTCTGCCCTAAGTTGCTTCTCTAAATTCAGGATATATGTCTGTATATAAAAGGATAAAAATCTCTCAAATTGTTTATTGGGCAATAAATTTATTTATACTTATTTTTGAGCTATAAACTATAGAACATACATATCTCTCTTCTACTTATCTACTAAAATACAAAGAAGACATGAAATTCTCTAGTTTAGATATTTAAAATAAAATTCTAAAATAACCAGTCTTGTGAGAAAATGTAAAATGGAGATATCGATGCTTCTAAGGCTTTGTGTAACTAGCATTCATTTAAATAACTCTATTCAGGGTTGTCTCTTCAGATTGTCAGATTAAACAAATCCTACAGCATTTGCAGCAAACCCATAATTACAGATTATTATGGCGTACAAAAGCAGCAAGACATAAAAAGCTGCTGCAATTCACTGCACTGTAATAGAACATGCAGAGGAAGTTAATTTTGGCAAATGCTTTAAATATTAGCTTTGCATAATAAGTATAGGTGAAACTATAATTAGGACAGAATGAATCCTTTGGAGCCTCCTTTCACTCTGACCCGGCAAATGATGACTTTTTGCTAATAAGACTACTGCCATTTGACAAAAAGCCAACTTCACTACCTTGCTTTATTCTTTAGTAAATTTAATAATTACAGCCACTCCTGACAATAGTTCTCAAATCAGACTTGTTCAATCCAGTACTGAGCTTATTAGGGACACTCAATGTTTAGAATTCTTTGGCCAAAAAAGTACTTGAAGATGATGAAACATGCCTTAGACAAGGGCACAATGATCACTCATTTTCACCACATTAAAAAACACCCAGAGCATGTAGTCACTACAGACCAGAGAATCATGTGCTGTTAGCTCACAGCTGTTCCTAAAAGGTTCTGCATTTATCTGGTCCTTAAAACCTTTGAGGAAGTCCAAAGGGAACAACTTGATACGTTTAGAGAAGGGTACTGCACAGAGTATTTGATATCAATATTAAGCTAATCTATTTACATCTTTTCCTTTGCTTCTTTTACAGTGACTGATATTGGCACAGTAAATTTTGTACAAAATCTAAAATTAAAACTTCCTTTGAAATAAGCAAACTCTATTGCTTTGTTCAAGAAACATACTATATTGTCTTGAATAAAAACTGCCATTTTATACCTTAAATGTGCAAAGGTCAACTATTATTTTCACATAACCATATTTTTAAGTAAAATAAACATGGTATCTTATTACGTCAAATCTAAAAATATAATTTTAAATTGCTTATATAAATTTTGTCTAATTGTTTTTTGCTTTATACTGCTTGTTATACCTCTTTTATATTTGAGAAACAATTTAAATCTTAAATTCCTATTTCAATAGTGTATTTATGTTCTAGACAACCTATCTGTACCTTCTGGGTTAACTGGCCAAATCAATCTAATATACCAGGAGTCAGTACACTTTTTCTATGAAGGGCCAAATAATAAATACTTTTGGTTTTGTGAGCCACGCAATCTCTACTGTTACTCAATACTGCTGTTGTTATACAAAAGTAACCATAATGACAATATGGATGTATCACAATAAAATTATAAAAACAGGCGGTAGCAATGGGCCATAATTTACCAACTCCTATAAAATACTATTATCAAAAGTGCTCTTAATATAAATTGTATCCTCTATCTCCCTTTCTTAAAACCTTCAGCAATTGCTGGGTTCCTCTACTTTACCTCTATATCTTATATATACTTCTATTGTTACACTCCTATTACATTATAAGGTTATTTGCTTCTATTACATCTTTCTCTTCTATCAGAGAGAGAATGCTCTGAATGCAGAAACGTGGCTTAAAAATGTTACTGAGTTAACTATGTACTAAGTAAGGATTGTACAAAGGGCTTTACATATATTATCTTACTTAGTACTTAAAAAAACCTTAGAGGAAACTAATATTTGCATTTTACAAATAAGAAAACAGATATTTAGCAATTGAGAGTCAAAATTCAGGTCAGACTCCAAAGCTATATTTTTTATTCTATATAAATTCCATTATATATAAAATATCAAAAAGAACTTCTAAGAATAATTTAGCCAGAAGTACATGTTGAGTATCCCTAATCTGAAAATCTGAAATCCAAAAATTTTGAGTGTTGGCATGATGCTCAAAGGAAATGCTCATTGGAGCATTTCAGATTTTGGATTTTCAGATTAGGGATGCTCAACTGGTAAGTATAATGCAAATATTCCAAAAGGTGAAAAAATCCAAAATCTTTAACACTTCTGGTCCCATGCATTTCAGATAAGGAATACTGAATTTGCATAAAAGCAATGTCAACATATAATATTAGTAATTGTGCATGTGAAGTTATTTCTTTAATTAATAATGAACTTGTGCTATACATACATGGTTAAACAACTACAAAGTAAGACATACTCTCCTTCTCCAATATTTCCACCCATGGCCTCAAGTTATACCTTGAGAGAACCCAAGCAACAATATTGTCCTGAACAGAATTCATGTTACCTTCTGTTACTGGCTGGAGTTTAGAAGATCGTTCTGAGTCAGGAGAGTGCAGAGGCTCAGGCTCTTTCAGACTTTCCAAATGCATAAAAGGATCATAATCTACAGATGCCAAATCAGAGAGGCTCATGGGAAAATACCTTGGATTGCTAAAACACTGAGCTCCATAAACACACCCATGTAAAACCTGAAAATACAGGGGGAAACACCCAGTTTTACTTAAAAAATAAATAAATAAATAAAAGTTAAAGGAGGATAAAAATCAACTGGTAACACAAGAGCCTGGCAAAGATTTTAAATATTTTAAAACATCAGGCCTGGCACAGTGGCTCATGCCTGTAATCCCAGCAGGGATTACAGGGAGGCCCAGCCAGGTGGATCACTTGAGATCAGGAGTTCCAGACCAGCCTGGCAACATGGCGAAACGCTGTGTCTACTAAAAATACAAAAATTAGCCAGGTGTGGTGGTGGGCGCCTGTTATCCCAGCTACTCAGGAGACTGAGGCAAGAGAATTGCTTGAATCCAGGAGACGGAGGTTGCAGTGAGCCGAGATTGAGCCATTGCACTCCAGCCTGGGTAACAAGAGTGAAACTCCGTTTCAATAAAAGAAAAAAAAAAATCAAGGTAAAATTCAATACCTCTTACAAAGAATGACTAAAATTAAATTATACTCATATGTAACAATGATCTAATTCCTCTCAAAATTTTGCAATGAAACAACGGTGTCTTGTAGGAAGCACTTTTAAATTACCCTTAGGCACTGTAAGCTAAATATGTGTTCTTAGAAATTTTCTAGCTCTAAAAGAATAAAAATGTTATACTGAGAAATGTTATTTCTCTAGGTTTTAAAAACTCTTGGTTACCAAATAAATAATAAAGCAAGGAAGTTTACCTTATAAATGCAATTGAGAACAGATTTTTCTGTTTTATCGCTTTCTGCTCCCGTAGCATGAAATGGTTGGAGCAGTGTCTTTAGAGGTAAGGCCATGATCCAGTCCAGAAGGCAGAGAAGTAAAGATACTACCAACTGTAACAACAATAGAATCATTATAATTGTACATTCATAAAATATATGCTTCTTAAAAATTCATTTTCTTATTCTTGAGTTTCCAAAATTTGTTTCTGGAATCATCAACCCTAAGTTCCACTATTAATATTTACCCAGATCTAACTGATTTTAAGATATTGTATATGAACATTATTGTGGGTTTCTCTTTCATATGTCAGGGCAAGCATAATGAAACAGTAAGCATAATAAAAACAGAAATGTTAAAATTAATATAAAAACAGCAAGCTTAAAAGACAACACATATCAATTAACTATACTTATTCCATTGCACAAGGAATGGAACACAAATGGAAGTCCATATATATTATAATCACTTCCACTTTCCTTTTCTAACTTAACAACATCTCACTGAATAGCCTGCCAGTAAGACTACCTTAAGTACTTTTTGAAATTGTTACTCATTTTACTAAATGAATCCACTGAACACGCTTTTTTGTTTTTGTTTTTTTTCAAAGAGAGGGAGTCTTGCTATATTGCCCAGGCTGGCCTTGAACTCTTGGGCTCAGGCAATATTCCAGCCTCAGACTTCCAAATAGCTGGGACTACAAGGTGCACACCATCATGCCTGGATGGACACTTTTAAACTAATGAATGCTATAAACAGGTCACTTTTTATACAAAATGTAGAATACAATAGCAGAATTCATTGTATTAAAGAATCACAAATAGTGCCATGAAACTGACAATGAAATAGCAACAAGAGACTTGCTAATCTTTAAAAACGAACTCTCCAACTCAAGTAATTCTGGTCTACATCTCCCAACATATCTTCCAAAAAATAAATAAAATAAGGAACAATAAGAAGGCCCAATAAAACCTCACAAAACAACAGCTTCCATATTATCAGAAGACAAAGAACATCCAAACTTCAAATTATCTATTTTTTTAATTTTTATTTTTGAGACAGTCTTGCTCTGTCACCCAGGCTGGAGTGCAGTGGCATGATCTCAGCTCATTGCAACCTTCACTTCCTGGGTTCAAGTGATTCTTGCACCTCAGCCACCTAAGTAACTGGGATTACAGGCATGTGCCACTGTGCCCGGCTAAGTTTTGTATTTTTAGGAGAGACGAGGTTTTGCCACGTTGGCCAGGCTGGTCTTGAACTCCTAGCCTCAAGTGATCTGTCTGCCTTGGCCTCTCAAAGTGCTCAGATTACAGGCATGAGCCACTGCACCGAGCCTCGAATTATCTGTAAGTAGAAAAATATGCAGCAAATCCCAGCATCTTTCTCCCATTCTCCCACTGCAGGTTTTCATGAAAAGCAAGGGTAGTTTGGGAAAAACTGTGAAAGAGAGAAGATGGGAACTTGCTGTGAATCTAAGACTGATCTAAAACCATGCCAGAAAGAAAAAGTCCACCTTAAGTGTGAGAATATTAAAAAAGTATACTGGTAGATCAGAGTAGTGAGTAAAAAGAAAGGATGTAGAAGTACACATAGGAAAGGTAATGCTTAGGGGGAGAAGACAAACAAACCCAGACTGCGAAGACTATGATAAATACCTAACTCTTCAATGCCCACACACCAATGAACATCAACAAACATCAAGACCATCCAGGAAAACATGACCTCACCAAATGAATTAAATAAGGCACCAATGACCAATCCCAGAGAGACAGAGATGTCACCTGACAGAGAATTCAAAACAGCTGTTTTGAAGAAGCTCAATGAAATTCAAGATAACACAGAGAAGAAATTCAGAATCCTATGAGATAAATTTAACAAAGAGATTGAAATAACTAAAAAGAACCAAGTAGAAATTCTGGAGCTGAAAAATGCAACTAGTGTACTGAAGAATGCATCAGAGTTCTTTTAATGGCAGAACGGATAATGCAGAAAAAAGAATTGGTGAGGCTGAAGACAAGCTATTTGAAAATACACAGTCAGAGGCGACAAAAGAAAAAAGAAGAAAAAAGAATAAAACACACCTATAAGAACTAGAAAAGAGCATCAAAAGGGTAAATCTAGAGTTATTGGCTTTAAAGAGGAGATAGATTGGGATATAAAGTTTATTAAGAAGGATAAAAACATAGAACTTCCCAAACCCAGAGAAAGATATGAACACTCAAGTACAAGTAGGTTATAGAACACTAAGCAGATTTTATCCAAATATGACTACCTTAAGACATTTAATAATCAAACTCTCAAAGGTCAAGGATAAAAGGATTATAAAAGCAGCAAGATAAAAGAAACAAATAACATACAATGGAGCTCCAATACATTTGGAAGCAGACTTCTCAGTAGAAATCTTACAGGCCAGGAGAGAATGGCATGACATATTTAAAGTGCTAAAGGAAAAAAAACTTATTCTAAAATAATATATCCAGTGAAAATATCCTTCGAACATGGAGAAGAAATACAGACTTTCCCAGACAAACAAAAGCTGAGGGATTTCATCAACACCAAATCTGTCCCACAAGAAATGCTAAAGGGATTTCTTCAGTCTGAAAGAAAAGAATGTTAATGAGCAGTAAGAAATTATCTGAAGGTCCAAAACTCACTGGTGATAGTAAGTAAACAGAAAACCACAGAATACTATAACGCTGTAATTGTGGTGTGTAAACTACTCATATTGAAGTAGAAAGATGAAAAGATGAACCAATAAAAAATAATAACAACAACTTTTCAAGACATGGACAGTACAATAAGATATAAATAGAAAGAATAAAAAGTTAAAAAGCAGGGGGATTAAGTTAATATGTAGAGTTGTTATTAATTTTCTTTTTGCTTGTTGTTTATGCAGTCAGTGTCAAGTTGGCATTAGTTTAAAATAATGGGTTATAAGATATTACTTGCAAGCCTTATGGTAACCTCCAATATAAACACATACAATGGATATAAAAAAAATAAAAAGCAAGAAACAAAACCATAATACCAGAGAAAATCACCTTCACTAAAAGGAAAACAGGAAGGAAGGAAAGAAGGATGAGAAGCCTGAAAAACAACAAGAAAATAAATAATAAAGTGGAAGGAGTAAGTACCTACTTATCAATAATACCACTGAGGCTGGGCACGGCGGCTCACACCTGTAATCCCAACACTCTGGGAGGCTGAGGTAAGCAGATCACCTGAGGTCACGAGTTTGAGACCAGCCTGGCCTGCATGGTGAAATCCTATCTCTACTAAAAAACCAAAAAATTAGCTGGGTGTGGTGGTGTGTGCTTGTAGTCCCAGCTAGTTGGAAGGCTGAGGCAGGTGAATCGTTTGAACCCAGGAGGTAGAGGTTGCAGTGAGCTGAGATTGCGCCGCTGCACTCCAGCCTGGGTGACAGAGCAAGACTCTGTCTCAAAAAGAAAGAAAGAAAAAAAAAGAATAAAAAATAAAAACCACTGAATGTAAATAGACTAAACTCAATCAAAAGAGAGAGTGGCTGAACAGATTAAAAAAATAAAACCCAACGATCTGTTGCCTACAAGAAACACACTTTGCCTATAAAGACACACATATAGTGAAAATAAAGGGATGAAGATGTTCTATGCAAATGGAAACCAAAAAAAGCAGAAGTAGTTACACTTGCATCAGACAAAATAGATTTCAAGACAAAAAAGGTCATTATGTGATGATAAAGGGATTAATTCAGCAAGAGGATAAAACAATTATAAATATATATGCACTCAACACTGGAGCACCCTGATATATAAAGCAAATATTATTAGAGCTAAAGAGAGAGATATATGCCAATACAATAATAGCTGAAGACTTAAACACCACACTTTCAGCATTGGACATTTCATCCAGACAGAAAATCAACAGAGACATTGGACTTAATGTGCAGTATGGACCAAATGGATATTTACAGAACATTTCATCCAATGGCTGTGGAATGCACATTTTTCTCCTCAGCATCTGTAACATTCTAAAGGACAGACCATATGTTAGGCCAAAAAATAAGTCTTAACATATTTTTAAAAATTGAAATAATATTAAGTATCTTCTCTGACCCCAATGGAATAAAACTAGAAATAAAAAATAAGAGGAATTTTGGAAACTATACAAACACTTAGGAATTAAACAATATTGGCCAGGTGCGGTGGCTCGTGCCTGTAATCCCAGCACTTTCGGAGGCCGAGGTGGGCGGATCATGAGGTCAGGAGATTGAGACCATCCTGGCTAAGACGGTGAAACCCCGTCTCTACTAAAAATACAAAAAATTAGTCGGGCGTGGTGGCGGGCACCTGTAGTCCCAGCTACTCGGGAGGCTGAGGCAGGAGAATGGTGTGAACCTGGGAGGCAGAGCTTGCAGTGAGTCAAGATTGCACCACTGCAGTTCAGCCTGGGCGAGAGGCTGAGACTCTGTCTCAAAAGAAAAAAAAAAAAAAGAAATTAAACAATATCTTCCTGAATGATCTGTGGGTCAATGAAGAGATTAAGAAAAAAACTGAAAGTTTCTGGAAACAAATGATAATGGAAACACAACATACCCAAACCTATAGGATACAGTGAAAGCAGTACTAAGAGGGAAGTTTATAGCTATAAGCACCTACATCAAAAAAGCAGAAAAACGTCAAGTAAACAACCTAACAATGCATCTTAAAGAACCAGAAAAGCAAGAGCAAACCAAACCCAAAGTAAGCAGAATAAAAATAATAAAGATCAGAGCAGAAATGAATAAAACTGAAATGGCAAAAATACAAAAGATCAATGAAATGAAAAATTGGCACATGAAACAAAAAATTGATTTTTTAAAAAAGATAAAATTGACAAACCTTTGGCCACTAAGAAAAAAAGAAACAAGACTCAAATAAAATCAGAAATGAAAGAGGAGACATTAAAAACCGATACAGCAGAAATTAAAAGATCAACAGAGCGGCTACTATGAACAACTATATGCCAATAAACTGGAAAACCTAGAAGAAACGGATAAACTCCTAGACACATAAAATCTATTAAGATTTAATCATGAAGAAATGCAAAACCTGAACAGACCAGTAACATATAACAAGAATAAAGCTGTAATAAAAAGTCTGTCACCAAAGAAAGGCCCAGGACCCAATGGCTTCATTGCTAAATTCTACCAAACATTTAAAGAACTAATACCAATCCTTCTGAAACTATTCTGAAAAACAGAGGAGGAAGTATTTCCAAACTCATTCTATGAGGCCAATATTACCCTAATATCAAAATAAAAGACATCAACAAAAAGAAAACTACAGGCCAATATTCCTGATGAACATTGATGCAAAAATCCTCGACAAAATACTAGCAAACCAAATTCAACAATGCATTAGAAATATCACTCACCATGACCAAGGGAGATTTATCCCAGGGATTCAAGGATGATTCAACATACACAAATCAATCAATGTGATACATTTTTGTCAACAAAATAAAGGACAAAAACCTTTGTGATAATTTCAGTTGCTGCTGAAAAAGCATCTGATGAAATTCAACATCCCTTCATGATGAACACCTCCTCCCCTCCCCCCACAAAAAAACTGGGAAGGAACACACCTCAACATAATAAAAGCCATATTAGGACAGACCCACAGGTAGTATCATTCTGAATGCAGAGAAACTGAAATCCTTTTCTCTAAGATCTAGAACAAGACAAAGGTGTCCACTTCCACCACTATCATTTGACACAGTACTGGAGGTCCTAGCTAGAGCAAGCAGACAAGAGAGAGAAATAAAGGGTATGCAAATTGGAAAGGAAGACATCAAATTATCCTTGTTTGCTGACGATATGATCTTATATTTGGAAAGACCTAAAGACTCTATCAAATAACTATTAGAACTGATAAACAACGTCAAATTCAGTAAAGCTGCAGGATACAAAATCAACATACAAAAATTAGTAGCATTTCTATGTGCCAACAGTGAACAATCTGAAAAAGAAATCAAGAAAGTAATGCCATTTCCAATAGCTACAAATGAAATTAAATAGTTCGGAATTAATCTAAGAAGTGAAAGATTTCTACAATAAAAACTGTAAAACACTGATGAAAGAAATTGAAAAAGACACGAAACAATGGAAAGCTATTCCATGTTCATGTATTGAAAGAATCATTATTTTCAATAATCATGTCCATACTACCCAAATCAATCTATAGGTTCAATGCAATCCCTATCAAAATGCCAATGACATTCTTTATAGAAACAGAACAAACAATCCTAAAATTTATATGCAACAATAAAAGACCCAAAACAGTCAAAGCTATCCTGAGCAAAATGAACAAAACTGGAAGAATCACATTATCTGATTTCAAATAATACTACAGAGCCATAATTATCAAAACAGTATGGAACTGGCATAAAAACTGACACATAGACCAATGGAACAGTATAGAGAACCCAGAAACAAATTGTACATCTACAGTGAAGTCATTTTAAACAAAGGTAAATAATATATATTATGGAAAGGACAGTCTCTTCAATATATGGTGCTGAGATAACTGGTTATCCACATGCAGAGGAACAAAACTAGATCCCTAACTCCTGCCATATATAAAAATCAAATCAAAACGCATTAGAGACTTAAATCTAAGACCTCAAATTATGAAACTACTACAAGAAAACATTGAGGAAACTCTTGAGGGCATTGGACTGGGCAGATTTCTGGAGTAATACCCTACAAGCACAGGCAACCAAAACAAAAATGAACAAATAGGATCACATAAAGTTAAAAAGATTCTGCACGGCAAAGTAAATGGTCAACAAAGTGAAGAGACAACCCACAGAAGGGGAGAAAATATTTACAAAATAATATGACAAGCTATTAATAACCAGAATATACAAGGAACTCAAACAACACTACAGAAAAAATTCTAACAATTTGATTTAAAATGGGCTGAAGATCTGAACAGACATTTCTCAAAAGAAGACATAAAAAAGGAAAACAAGTTAATATGTTCATATGACTATATGAAAACAAGTTCATATGAACACATATGAACTTATGAAAAGATGCTCAACATCATCAGAGAAATGCAAATCAAAACTACTAAATACAATGAGATATCATCTCACCTCAGTTAAAACGGGTTTTATCCCACAATGAGATACCATCTCACACCAGTTAGAATGGTGATCATTAAAAAGTCAGGAAACAACAGGTGCTGGAGAGGATGTGGAGAAACAGGAACACTTTTACATGGTTGGAGTGTAAACTAGTTCAACCATTGTGGAAGACAGTGTGGCAATTCCTCAAGGATCTAGAACTAGAAATACCATTTGACCCAGCCATCTAATTACTGGGTATATACCCAAAGGATTATAAGTCATGCTGCTATAAGGACATATGCACGTGTATGTTTACTGTGGCACTATTCACGATAGCAAAGACTTGGAACCAACTCAAGTGTCCATCAATGATAGACTAGATTAAGAAAATGTGGCAAATATACACCATGGAATACTATGCAGCCATAAAAAGGATGAGTTCATGTCCTTTGTAGGGACATGGATAAAGCTGGAAACCATCATTCTGAGCAAACTGTCGCAAGGACAGAAAACCAAACACCGCAAGTTCTCATTCATAGGTGGGAATTGAACAATGAGAACACTTAGACACAGGATGGGAAACATCACACACCAGGGCCTTTCGAGGGGTGGGGGGAGGCGGGAGGGATAGCATTAGGAAATATACCTAATGTAAATGACGAGTTAATGGGTGCAGCACACTAACATGGCACATGTATACATATGTAACAAACCTGCACATTGTGCACATGTACCCTAGAACTTAAAGTATAATAATAATAATAAAATAAATAAAATAAAATGGGTTTATCCAAAAGACAGGCAATAAATGCTGGCGAGGATGTGGAGAAAAGGGAACCCTCATACACTGTTGGTGGGAATTTATGTTAGTACAACCACTATGGAGAACAGTTTCGAGGTTCCTCAAAAAACTAACAAAGATAACTACTATATGATCCAGTAATCCTACTGCTAGGTATATACCCAAATGAAAGGAAATCAGCATATCTAAGAGATACCTACATTCCCATGTTTACTGCAGTATTATTTACAATAGCCAAAATTTGGGACCAACCTAAGTGTCCATCAACAGATGAATGGATAAAGAAAAGTGGTACATATATGCAAGGGAGTACTATTCAGCCATAAAGAAGAATGAGATCTTGTCATTTGCAACAAGATAGATGGAACTGGAAGTCATTATGTTAAGTGAAATAAGCCAGGCACAGAAAGACAAACATTGCATGCTCTCACTTATCTGTGGGAGATAAATATGAAAACAACTGAACTCATGGAGACAGAGAATAGAATGATGGTTACCAGAGACTGGGAAGGGCAGTGGGGAGTATGGGGTAAGTGGGGATGGTTAATGGGTTCTAAAAAATAGAAAGAATGAATAAAATATAATATTTGCTAGCAAAACAGAGTGACTATAGTAAAAAATAACTGAATTGTACATTTAAAAATAACTAAAAACATATAATTGGATTATTTTGTAACACACAGAAAGGATAAGTGCTTGAGGGGAAGGATACCCCATTTATCCTGACATATTATGCACTGTATGTCTCTGTCAAAATATCCCATGCACTCCATAAATATATACACCTACTATGTACCCAGAACAATTTTCAATAAATAAAAAGATGGGGAAGATCTCTATGAACTTACGTATTAAGGATTTCCAAGATACACTGTCAAGTGAAAAATCCAAAGCAAAGACTATCTAGGCTATGTGTAACAAACAAGGAATAAAAGACGATATACATGCATCTGTTCATTTGTGAAAAAACAATCATAGGATGGATGAACCATAGACTAAAAAAATTAAAACAACAGAGATGGGACAAAGACCCTAAAACTGCATACAAACAGAAAAAAGTGACCTGAACTGAATTTCAAGGTAATTATATAACCATACTGAAGTGGGAAAGGGGGACTACGAAGTAACCCAAATAACTTATGAACACATTTTTCAAACAATAATCTCTCTTGGTAAAGACAAGCACTCTTAACTATAAAGAGGCATAAGTTAATAATTTAAAAAAATAGAACAGCACAAAGAAGTAAACATATCCAGATAAATAATCAATATGGAAACCAGATTTTTCATTGCTGGAGCAGGGAGTTACAAATAAGGAAAACGGGGAAGGATGGACTGAATCTCGTGGTGTTGGATTAGACGTGGAGGTGTCAGACTGGGGCCTGTTGGTGGGGGAAGGTGAGGGAGAGCATCAGGACAAACAGCTAATGCATGTGGTGACGGGTTGACAGGTGCAGCAAAACACCATGGCACTTGTCTACCCATGTAACAAACCTGCACATTCTGCACATGTATCCTGGAACTTAAAGTAAAATAAAATAAAATAAGAATTGGAGGTGTCAGTGTGAACTCAAGGTTTTTAATACTTATAATTAGATACCATCTTATTCTGTCTGTGCTGGCATTACAAATACTTTACACTGGGTGGCTTAAACAAGAGAAATTTATTCCTCACAGTTCTGAAAGCTAGAAAGTTGAAGATCAAGGTGGCAGCCAATTCAGTATATGTGAGGGTCCTCTTTCTGGCTTGTTAGATGACCACCTTCTAGTGTATCTTCACACGGTGGATATTAGTTCATCTCTCTTCTTATAAGGGCACTAATCCCATTGATGAGGGCTTCATCCTCACGACCTAATTACCTCTCAAAGGCCCCACCTCCAAATCCCATGACACTGGGCATTAGGATTTCCATATATGAACTTCGGGAGAGACACAAACATTCAGTCTATAGCAGATATAGAGATGGGTGTGTGTGTGTGTGTGTGTGTGTGTGTGTGTGTGTGTGTGTGTATATGTTATGTATTTCCTAGCTGTATCTGCCAAAGAGGACTTAAGAAACGATACCCCAGGCCGGGCGCAATGGCTCACGCCTGTAATCCCACCACTTTGGGAGGCTGAGACAGGCAGATCACGAGGTCAGGAGATCGAGACCATCCTGGCTAACACGGTGAAACCCCGTCTCTACTAAAAATACAAAAAAATTAGCCAGGCGTGGTGGCGGGCGCCTGTAGTCCCAGCTACTCGGGAGGCTGGGCAGGAGAATGGCGTGAACCCGGGAGGCGGAGCTTGCAGTGAGCCGAGATCGCGCCGGGGCACTCCAGCCTGGGCGACAGAGCGAGACTCCATCTCCAAAAAAAAAAAAAAAAAAGATATCCCAGTAGCAATGTGCATGCCTAGTTCTTAGATACTGATTTCTAAACACCATTTGCCACTTAACGGAAGCAGGGTTTCTTGGAGAAATGGGTAATTTCAGGGCTGGGACAGGGAAAGCACAAAGTGAGTCTGGAAAATTGTGTGCTGACAGAAATTAAAAGCATGCCCCCAAAATAATGGGGATTTATGAAAAAGAAGCCACTTTGAAGGGGCTCCCACTGGCTAAGTATGAGACATTTTGAGCACCAAAATAAATAATAGTTAAGGATTACAAATCATTGCATAAAATCAGAATCATGAGCCCACATTGAAATAAGATGAATAAGAAAGAAAGGAAAGCTCTTCCTTATACGTAGAAAGCTAACTAATGAATGTAGAAAAAATGATGAATTAGGAAATCATCATTTGGCAGCTACTGTAACAATAATTGTTTCTGGTAAGAGTCATTAATGATTAGCAAAACCAGTTAGTGGAAATTTAAGGAGTCAAATATTTATATAGTATAGTCTCAAAGTATTGTCTTACAAATACTAATTCATTGAAAAGGATTAAACAGTAGCTTTACAGTGGGAACACCTGGCAGACACAACCTTAATCATTTGACTGAAGTTAGCACCAATCAGTAATGAAACAAACTGACATCTGTGACACCTGATATAATGTATTAAGAGGTGCACAAAATCTTCTGAGGTATTCCTGCCAAATACGCCTAATTTAAATCCAATAATAACAAACCTAATCATGATGAAACACAAAGCCAAAACGCAGGACATTTTATACAGTAACTAGACTGTATTCTTTAAAATGTCAAGGTCAAGAAATATAGAAAGATTAAGAACCTGTTCCATACTATAGAAGGCTAAAGAGACATTATGACTGCATGTAAGGCATAATTTGGGAATTTCTTTTGCCCTACAGGATGTTAGTGAGACAACTAGTGAAATATCTATAGATTAGATAATACAAATGTATCACTAATACTAATGCTAATTTCCTCATGTTGACAACTATTTTGTGGTTATATAAGAGAATTGCTTGATTTTAGGAAAAACACAATAAAGTAGTCAGCAGTATACACATTTATTTCTCTCTCTATTTCATACTACATACAAAGGGATAAAGCAAATGTGGTGAACCAATATAAATAATTCTTTGTACTACCCTTTCAATGTTTCTATAAACTTGAAATTATGTTAAAAGAAAACAATTCCACCATAAAACTCAAATGGAAGCTCTCAATTGATGTTTCTAACTAAAAACAGTATGGACTTTGGCATCTATCTGTCAATCACAGATTCCAGTCTTGGCTCTGATATTTAGTAACAATTTTGTGACCTTGGGCAACTTAACCTTTCTAAGGCTCAATTCTCTATGAAGAATAGGGATTAAAAAATATTTATCAAGATTATAAAGTTGTTTTGATGTTGAAATAATGCATATAAAGTACACACTGCTGGCACGTGATTTTAAAAAAAAATCACTATATAAATGTTCTTTTTGCTTTATTTTTATTGAATTTATCTTTTAAAACCTGTTAGCCCAAGCCCATATTCACCAATGACAATGAGCCGTTTGAGAAGTCTAAAAACTCCTGGCCCATATACAGTTTATTCAAGTTCTTAAACATTTGAGGTTAAGGAGCAGCAATCTGAATATCATACATGAGAAATGCCTCCCTATACTGGTGGCTTGCATGAGATTAAGAGTTCCTAGAGAAATAATAACATAATTAAAATGATTCAATATATCTATTTGTCCATATGTAGTGTGCCAGCTTCTAATAAAAGATAATAAAAACCCAATTCAAAAAAATTAGAAGATACTGGAATGCAACATAGTGGAGAAGAACCAGTGGATTTAGGTAATATTCTGATGTTCATCACACAGAGAGGAATGTATAATTATAAAGAGGTTTAAGGGCAGGTGTGGTGGCTCACGCCTGTAATCCCAGCACTTTGGGAGGTCCAGGCAGGTGGATCACCTGAGGTCAGGAATTTGAGACCAGCCTGGCCAATATGGTGAAACCCCATCTCCACTAAAAATACAAAAATTAGCATAGTGGTGTGTGCTTGTAGCCCCAGCTACTAGGGAGGCTGAGGCAGGAGAATTGCTTGAACCTGGGAGGCGGAGGTTGCAGTGAGCTGAGATCACGCCACTGCACTCCAGCCTGGGTGACACAGCGAAACTCCGTCTCTAAATAAATAAATAAATAAATAAGATGTTTAAGATAAAGCATATTTGAGGCTGGGTGGGAAGGCTCACGCCTGTAAACCCAGCACTTTGGGAGGTCGGGCGGGTGGATCACCAGGTCAGGAGTTCACGACTAGCCTGGCCCATACGGTGAAATCCCATCTCTACTGAAAAAAACAAAAAAAAAAACCAACCAAAAAAAAACTAGCAAGGTGTGGTGGCATGTGTCTGTAGTTCCAGCTACTTGGGAGGCTGAGGCAGAAGAATCACTTGAACCCAGGAGACGGAGGTTGCAATGAGCCGAGATTGTGCCACTACATGCCAGCCTGGGCAATAGAGGGAGACTCCTGTCTCAAAAAAAAGAAAAAAAAAATTAGTTGGGCATGGTGGCGCACGCCTGTAATCCCAGCTACTCAGGAGGCTGAGGCAGGAGAATCACTTGAACCTAGGAGGCGGAGATTGCAGTGAGCCGAGACTGCACCACAGTATTCCAGCTTGGGCAACAGAGCAAAACTCCATCTCAAAAAAAAAAAAAAGAAGAAGAAGAGTGAATGATAGGCTGGGCACAGTGACTCACATCTGTAATCCCAGCACTTAGGGAGGCCAAGGCGGGCGGTTCACTTCAGCTCAAGCTCCTGAGCTGAAGTGACCAGCTCCTGACCAGCCTAGGCAACATAGCAAAACCCCATCTCTACTAAAAATACAATAATTAGCTGGGCATGGTGGCGTACGCCTGTGGTCCCATTTTGGGGGCTGAGGTGGGAGGATCACTTGAGTGTGGGAGGTGGAGGTTGCAGTGAGTCTAGATTGCGCCACTGTACTCCAGCCTGGGTGACAGAGTGAGACCCTGTCTCAAAAAAAACAGTGAATAAAGTCTGAGATCAAAAAAGCATTTTCGGGATGATTTGATTGTCTTCTATGTGATTACTCTCTCCTAGACCTGGTGTTCTTCCTACCTTTCCTACTAGTCCTTTCAGTCACTTTTACTGAATCATCTTCTCTGCCTTCTCCTTAACTGTTATTCTTTAATGTGCTATACTTTGCTAACTCATCTTACTCTACTATATCGCCTTAAGTGATTTCATATATTCTCACAATGTTAATACTACTCATGTACTGACAATGCCAATAATTTTATTTCCAGCATCAAATTTTCTAATCAGGTATATAATTGCCTTGCTGGTGGTCTCCACCTGGAGATTACTTTTTATATGCAACAAACTGAGAACTGAAACTCACTGCTCCAACAAAGCTGCTCTTTCCTGTATTCCTCACCTTGGCTGTGGGTTCTACTTTGTGAGTATCTATTCTCTATTCCTTTAGCCTTAGCTCAGAACGTCATCAATTCTTATAAAGATGATTTTAATAATAATCACCATATTTTGACTTTTAAGTCAACTTTCACATTTTCTCAAGTGATTTTTCACAAATCTGGTCATATTTTATCCTACATAAAAACCTTTCAAAAAAGTCACTTTCACAGAAGTACCACGTTCATAGTGTGGCATCCAAGGCCCTTTATAATCTGGCCCCTTCCTATCTTAGAAACTTTATTTTCCCAACTCTTAACTGTCCACTTCACATTCTAAAATATGGAACTGCCTAGTTGTTTCTCCAAAACAAACCATACTATTTTATAGTCCCCAGATTTACACATGCTATTCATACCACTTGGAATAATTTTCTGATTCTACTGTTTGTCTCTATTTATGTCTCTATTTAACTTTAAAAGAATTTTTCCTAAATATGCCTTTCCCCAATAGTTAATTACTTCTTTCTCTATTCTACCTTGTATCTCATACATTTTTCTACTTTTTATACTATTTATTATATTGTGTTGCCTCATTTGTGTCTCTAATTTTTAAATTCCATGAGAACAGGGAGTATCATGTTTACCTCTGTTTAGTGCCTAGCAGAACGCCACACTCATATTTTATGATAAATAAATGTTTAATAAATTTAGTGGGCAAGAAAACAAAAACTTAGAAGTATAGCTTTTTCATATTAATAGCTAGACTTCTGGAAGACAAAGATGATATAGAAAAAGATGAACAAGTAGTTATCCAGAAATTATTCATAAACTGGATTTGGAATTCTACACCATAGCCTGCGACACTAAAGCGAAGGATTCTTGGCTAAAAATGGAGGCCGGATGAGGTAGCTCACGCCTGTAATCCCAGCACTTTGGGAGGCCGAGGCAGGTGGATCACTTGGGGCCAGGAGTTTGAGACCGGCCTGGCCAAGATGATGAGACCCCCCCGCCCCCGACACATCTCTACTAAAAATAAAAAATTAGCCAGGCATGGTGGTGTACACCTGTAATCCCAGTTACTTGAATGGCTGAAGCACGAGAACCGCTTGAACCTGGGAGGCAGAGGTTGCAGTGAGCCGAGACTGTGCCACAGTACTCCAGCTTGGGTGACAGAGTGAGATGACTCCGCCTCAAAAAAATGTTAAAAATTTAAAATAAAAAAAATAAAAATGAAGTATATGTCTCTTTTAAAGATGAAGATGATGATGATAAAGTATTTATCAAGAGCTAAACAATCTGTTCAAATGGTGTTTAAACTGAATATGAAGGGAAAGAATAAAAAGTTTTGAGGTAAACACATGAAATCAGTAAGAAATGATAATGGCAGACAGTAGGAAAAGAAAAAACTATGAAAGCCTCATGTATGCCACACAAGAAAATAACTGGGAATAGGTCCAGAAACATAACTATAGCTTCAGATTTCTGTAAATTAATAAGAACATAAGCAGTAAATAAAACATACTTGAGATTTCAAAACAATATGGTTAAGGGGAGACCTGGAGAATAGAACTCAAGATTGAGATATGACAAGGGAAGAGATGAGAATAATTCTCAGAGGAAACTAATAGAATCTAGAGCAGCCTTGTCTAACAGAACTTTGTGCCTTGTCTAACAGAACTTTGTGCAATGATGAAAATGGTCTATATTTGCCCATATGGCTATTGAGCACTTGATATTTGCAAACGAGGAATTACATTTTTCATGTGAACTTTAAACTAAATTTAGTGTCAACTGAAAGCAATACACAGTTAGTAGCTACCATAGTGAGCAGCACCGACCTAGAGTCTCTACAACATTTATGTATAATGTCAGGCATATAATTAAAAAATAGACATAATAACAGGAAAATGAAACTCATAGTCAAAAGAAAAAAACTCAATAGAAACGGAGTTAGTGATGACCCAGATACTGGATTTAGTAGTCAAGGACTCTATTTTAATTATTATAAATATGTTAAAGTATCTATAAGAGAAGATGTATATAATTGATGAAGAAATGCAGAATTTCAGATAAGATATGGAAACTTAAAAACAAAACAAAAAGTAACTCTAGAACTGGTAAATACAATATCTGAAAAAATTAAAGAACCCTCATAATGAATTTACTGAGGTAAATGTCACCTAGTAGAATGTTTTCGCAGACACAGGAGATGTCTTCTTTTAAATGACGTATCTCTATATATTTTATCTTTACTTTCTATCTATACAAAAACAAGTGGCTGCCTTTAGAGGTGATTAACTCCTCAGAATTAACAATCTTCAGGCAAAGGTAAGAACACAATTTGGCAGAATGTAATGAAATAGAGGTGGACAGAATGTCCTCTAAGGTTCCTTACAATCTTGAGACTCAAAGATTTTATCAAATGGCAATGAAATGTGAACCAAAATATAATTTAGTTATACTTAAATAACAGAAAGGCATTTCACATTATAGTAGATTCTGAACAAGGATAAATTTTTACCATGTAAATATACATACCTTTAAAGTTTTGAAATGCAAATATTTTACTAAATAACCACATACTAATCATCAAACAAAATTTAAATTACCCTCTTGTCCATTTCATAAGATGAAGCCTCTGTACTTGGTAAAAGATGGGTGATGGTAGCTATTAGGATCTGTAAGCAAAAAAAAATTTTTTTAAAAGCTCTATATATGTCAAATTAATGGTACATCCTAAAACTTGATTGTTAAATGCTGAAGTGATACAAAACCTACTACTGCAAATTTATTCTAAACACATTAACACTGTTATTTCAAAGTAATGTTTAATAGGTAAGCTTTTCAAGTATAGTTAACTATCAATTATTTATAATCCTCATGTACAGAACCAAAATTATACATATTCTGTCAACCATAAATGGATTTCTTCCCAATTCAAGGGGGTAAATCACTATGTACAAACACACAGAAAATATATGTTCATTATAGAAAAATTAAAAGACACAGATAAGAAAAAGACTAATAAAAACCATCATAGGCTGGGCACGGTGGCTCAAACCCACTTTGGGAGCTTGGGCGACAGAGACCCTGTCTCAAAACAACAAAAAACCACTGTAATCCTATCACCTGAAGAAATCTACTCTATTGCCTTTCCAGGCCTTTTGTTTATATATATATATATATATACACACACACATATAAGGCTTTTTTAAAAATGTGACTTTTTATTTATTTATTTTTTTGAGATGGAGTCTCACTCAGCCACCCAGGCTGGAGTGCAGTGGAGCAATCTCAGCTCTGGGTTCAAGTGATTCTCTTGCCTCAGCCTCCTGAGTAGCTGGGATTACAGGTGTGGGCCACCACGCCCAGCTAATTTTTGTATTTTTAGTAGAGACGGAGTTTCAACATGTTGGCCAGGCTGGTCTCGAACTCCTAACCTCAGGTGATCCGCCCACCTCAGCCTCCCAAAGTGCTGGGATTACAGGCATGAGCCACCGTGCCCAGCCAAATGTGGCTTTTTAAATTAACATATATTATACACTGAATATTATTTGAATAAATATAAAGTACAGAATACAAAGTAAATGAAAAAGACATTATTTAAAAAAAGGCAAAATCTTCATATACAGTGTTATCATTTACCCTGGAAATCATTTAGTCTTATTTAATTTTTTATGTGCATGTTAAAAATGTATAGGTATATATTTATTGTATTTTTATTTTAGCTGTATTGTATGCTATTACATTTTTTAGAAATTATTGCCTCAATGTAGTAAGTAGAAAAATTCCTCTAAATATACTTTATACAGAAAAAGGCTTTACTCACTAGTGCGATACTTACTACATTTAGTGCTGTAATAGAGTCTGGTAAGATGACTGAGTGGGAAAAGCATGAACTTTGGAATCTTACAGACCTGGGTCTGAGTCCTGTTCTCTTGGCTTATGACTCTTATGTAGTTATTAAATCCTCAGTTCTCTCATCTTAAATAAGGAGGGGAGATTGGGGACAGGGAAGGGAATAATCTATCTCAAAAAACTTCTAAGAATTAAATGAGATATCATATGAAAAGGTGACTGGTACATAGTAGGTGTTTAATAAATATTAGTTCCCATCTGTCCTAAAAATGTTATAAAGATAGGAAGATAAGAATGATAAATTCTGGTTAGGGAGAGCAGATAGCGATTTTTATTTTTTGAGGAGATGGTATTTAAGCCAATCACTGAAAGATGAGGGCACTAGAGAAGAGAAGCAAAGCATTTCAGCTAGGAGGAAGAAAGCCAGGGGTATGTTTAAGTGATGACAAGCAGACTCAGTTGCCTGAACAACATGGCATTTCAAAGGAATCTGTACATGATTCTTAAAAAACCAGTTGGGTTCTCCTGTGAAGGCCCTGAATTCACAGCTAAAGAATTTGGGCTTTATTTTATAGCCAAAGGAAAATCAGAGATTTTTTTTTTTTGTGGGGGTATGTGATATGGTAAGAGCCATGTAAATGTGAATGATGACTTTAAGAGCAAGACCACACAAACCAGGAGAAGGCAACAGCAATATCTCAAGAAAGAAATAATGAAGGAATGAAATACGTCAGGTGTTGCAGGAAGCACAGGAGACACCGAATTAGAATGAACAAAAATTCACAAATGACTGGCTAAAGAGGAAAGAAAAAAAATAATGACCTGATTGTGGTAACTGGATGGTATGTTTTCCCTACTTAAGAGGGAATAAAGCAACATACATGTTTATAAAGACGATGACATAAGTTTACACATAGCATTTAATTTTCACTACAACTAATAAATTGTTTTTTGTTTAACTGTTTGTTGAGCCAGGGTCTTGCTATGTTACCTAGGCTGGTCTCTAAGTCCTGGCCTCAATCGATCCTTTCAACTTAGTCTCCCAAAGTGCCTGGATTACAGGCATAAGCCACCAGGCTGGCCTAATAAATTGTTTCTAGTGCTTTTACTTTGTCCAAAACCAGGAATGCAATCTTCTAACATAAAAGACAAGGGAACTATCATGAACTTTGATACCACAAAAAAGCATGATGGGTAGCCATTATTTAGCTATGCAAAAAAATTTTAAAACTATTAAATAATTTTACAATTCAAAGTATCCAAATCTAAAAAAATTTAACAAGGTCATAATAAATAAATGAGAAATTACTTACTTGAATAATTTTCAAGGGAGAATCAGGCTGGTAAATCTGAAGTCTAGGTACATAATGAACCAGCATGTGAAGCATGTTACAAGCTACGTGGGCTACTGTTTTATTAGTAAACTGCAATAATAAAAAAAAAGTTTTAAAAATTTTCATGATGAACTTTTCATCAATGTATTATCTGCTGAAAATTTTTACATTTCATACATTTGTAGGATTATAAATCCTACATTTATAGGTGATTAAGATAAATCTCTAGCTGCAAAATAAAAAAAATCACAACACATTCCAAAGACACATACAACTTTAATTTTCCTTTGTAATGTTTGACTGTCCTCATTAAAGTTTTGTTGCATTTTCTCTTATGTGGATTTATGCAGTGGCCTCTAAACCACTATTCTTTTTATCAATCTTTGCCCTGTTCCAATCAACTATTCACCACACTTCCAAATTAATCTTCTATAGCACTGTTATGATCCTGACATTATGCTTAAAACTCAGAGGACTCCCCAATGGCATAAAGACAAACTTTTCATGCTTCTCTACGTCCACATTTCACCCACACTTCAAACCCCAATGTGTCTCCTCTTTTCCAGTCTTCTCTGATAACTAAGTCAAAATGATTTCTGTTTCTTCCAAACTGAATCAGCAGTTTATATTATACACGCAGTTTATATTATATACCCATTTAGTACTCTCAGGTTTTTATGTTTTATTATTCTCATTTTAATCTTTTTCAGCTATTATTAATATCTTGAAGCTAGTATTTACAATTTTTTCCTATTGTTATCCCTCACTGTCTAGCAATGTGCCTCATAGTAAATATTTAGAAATATCTGTCATGTAACTATTATTTAAAAATATTTATTAGCTACTTTGTATGTTTAGAGTCTTATACAGGTGCTGTGGGTTTTACAAGTCTTAAAACAACAATAATATCATGCATCCTTTCATAAACAAAAAGTACTCATTTATTCATTCAGACTCTCCAAATAATTACATTATTACTACTGAAAAAATCTTGTCTGTCTACAAAGAAGGCACATAACTTGAAAAGATAAAGCAAAAAAACTGAACAGCTCAAGAATTCAGGGAGTGGTAATAAAGATCAAAGAACAGTAAGTTACAAAAATACTAGTTAAAAAAAAACCAGAAAAACCCTATATATGTTTTAAATGGTGGGTTTCCTTTTTTAGATGTCTACCATATATAGTTTAGGGACAAAGCTAAAATACATAAAAAGTTGAGATAAAAATGGGTCACCATAAAGATACCCTAAATTCAAGAAACAGAACAATTTTTAAGGAATGAGTCAGGATCAAGAAAATAATAGAATAATAAAGTAATGAAAACATTTACTAAATGTTACACAAGATACCATTAATATTTGGAGAAAAAAATATGCATTCTCTCCTATCTTAATATATTTCACTAAACAGTTTTCTTTACCTTTAAGGAAACACAAATCACATTCAGAGCTTCCTTAATTTGAGGATGATGAGACTCATGGACTAGTTCTTCACAAATCCAAATACCTAAACTACAAAGTGCTACACATCTGCAAAAAAGGCAAACAACAACGGTTACATAAAATGAAACCACCACCACAAACATGACCCACAATCAACTGACACAGAATGAACATGCACTATTTTAAATGAATTAATGAATTTGTTACTCTATACATTAACTGGTAACCAAAGAAGAGAAAGTATGAAGAAAGCAGAATCCCAAAACTTCTGAGCCTAATTTTCTATTATAATTTACTAAGAAGACTACAGGCTGGGATACCACACAACATGTTTTTTAAAAATCCATGTTAGTCTGTTAGACTGACATTGCTATCAAGCTTCCTAAACAAAATGTAACCTGCTTTCAAAATGGAAAGTGTAATTTTATTGACTGATAACAGCAAAATGAACTTAAGTAAAAACATGAAGCTGATGGAATATGTTAAATATTTTTCTATCTTTTAAATTTAACACACCTAGCTACAAATTGTTTTAAAACAAATTGAGAACATAAAATTTATGTAACTTATTTTAAAATCCAACAGAAACAGAACTTGTAGAATTTTTATCCTGTTCCCCAATGTATTGCAAAGCTTCATTTCTGTAGCAATATAATTTCAGCTGGGTGTCAGCTTGAAGAGAGTTATTTTATGATTAGAATCAGTAAGGATTCTATTAGTGTGTTCAAGTTTAAGCTTCTGATAAAATGTATAATGGTTCTAAGTATCAAAACAGTCACCTTCTTCTAGTATCCTGTTATATATGCCATGTCCCGATACTGATATTCTTAATTTTAGTGGAATGCTAAACTTCAGAAAAATTCAATGCAGATTCTTCTTCCTTAACACAGCAGATCAGAAGGTCTTAAGTCTCTTCTTTCAGTCTAGAGTGTTAAGGCTACCAAACTGTTTACTATGAAAATTACCTGAAAGTCTTCTAGATGAACTCTACTACTTTATTTTTTCCCTATTGTTGTTCACCCATAAATCCTAGGTAATATTTGTAGCACTAAATAACCAAGCTTCGGGTTTAGCTATGGAAACATCTATAATCCTAAAGCAACAATAAACTCTCAAGTGAAGCAAAGCTCTCCGTGGATGCAGCTAACTAAAGGCAGAGACTTAGAACACAAATGCTGAACAATTTTTATTGTAGCAAGAGGAGATAAGAAAGGATATATATATTTTTTTCTTGCATGTAGAGTTTCCTACACCCCCCCTCCACAAGATGTCAAAATAATCTAGATTATTCCCAGCATATAGCTCAACTCTCTGCTCCTGTGCAGACTGGGGGTATTAAGTTTCTTTTTTCTTTTTCTTTTTTCTTTTTTTTTTTTGAGACAGAGTCTCACTCTGTCTTGCCCAGGCTGGAGTGCAGTGGCGCGATCTCGGCTCACTGCAACCTCCACCTCCTCGGTTCAAGCAATTCTCCTGCCTCAGCTTCCTGAGTAGCTGGGACTACAGGGGCACGCTACGACACCTGGCTAATTTTTTGTATTTTTAGTAGAGACGTGGTTTCACCATGTTGGCCAGGCTGGTCTCGAACTCCTGACCTCAGGTGATCCACTCTCCTCGGCCTCCCAAAGTGCTGGGATTCCAGGCACGAGCCACCACGCCTGGCCTGGGAGTATGTTTCTAAAAAAACATATACTAAAAAGGTATAGAAAAACAAGTTGAGACAATGCTTATATTCAACTTCTGGGGTTTTTCCATATTCTCCATAACACAAGCTGTTGTGTTAATGATTTCCAGGTCTACCTCTAGACAGCTACGTTTTAGGCTTCCACATTCTTCCACTTGAGAAGCAACATATATATATATATTTTTTTTTTTTTTTGGTAAAAAAAAGCAAAAGATCTACAGTCTTAAGCACTAAGGTCAAACTTGGTATTGCCACTTATTAATTGTGCATCTAAAAAGCCTCTGAAGACAAACTGCCAGGGTTCTGTCATATCTAGATGACAGGGCAGATTATTGAAATTCCCTGGGTTCTAGTTTTCTTTTCTATTAAAAGGTGGATGAAAATTATACCTGTCTCATAGAGGTATCACAAAATTCAATGAGATAATAAATATAAGGCACTTAGAACAGTGCCTAGCAAGCACATACAAAGGGCTTTAAAAATGTTAGCTAGCTTGCCTACATCCCCCGTCCCACCAGCTATGCATTATCAGAGACTTACTGTTAACTTTCTAAGCATCAGTATCTGGCTAGCAAAACTGGAAGAAGAGGGTGATTCTATTAAACTCTCAAAATCGTGATGAGAATTAAATGAAACAATATTATACGAAAATCCTTGTAAACTTAATTGGGATTAGCGTAAAAGAACAATTTTCTCAAATATATTTGTTTTTAGTTAGCTTGGCTATTGAGAAAAATATACAATTAAATTTTTAAAAACTGGAGCTATGTCTTAATTTAAACAAATGGTTCACTGTACATTATTTTCATTTGCTGGAAAAAGATTTAAATTAGAATAAGAATCCAAATAGTCAAAGCCATGATCTGTAACTTTTGAACTTTGGGTCAAAAAATGTGTAGATGATTGGAAAACAGGAGCTTTGCAGAGATGTAGATCTGAGGAGTAGTAGCACAGACCAATATTGTAGCAAATGACGTACTATTAGAATTAGCATCAAGAATATAAAATATGACTTAATGTTATTTTGGGGAAGAGAAGAAACATGGTGTGCTACTAGCAACCTGCTAATTAAAATCTCAATCTTTTTTTGGAAAGGTTTTGTAAAACAGAGAAAATGTCAGCTTTTATTTCTTAAGACATTTAGAAAAAAATCTAAAACTATGACATATTCTATTTTTAAAAATCTTGATCAAATATTTATAAATATTAAAATATACTATTTTCTTAGATATATTACTTTCTATAATAAAATATTTTATTTTAATTCAATTTAACAAAAATTCATTGGGTACCTGCTACTGCATTTCAAGGTACTGCATAAAAGACATTGACAAATATAACTGAACAATAAACAAAATGTACTTAAATAAAATAAAATTAAAACAAATCATTTTAGAGATAAAGAGTGAAGTTACTGAAAAAGGTGACTAGGATTCTGTTTATGAAGAAAGGTTAGTATTTAAATCATGAAAAAAAGTAAGAATACTTAATTATTCAAGTAACTTAAAATTGTAATTCAGAATGGCTTTTATGTATCTAAAACAATCTGGGCTGCTATAAAAATTCAGTCAACTTCTAAACTTCCAAACACAAAATAGTTATACTCAGTCTAAGAATATCCGACCTACCGTGCAGGACCAGAGGGCTCATCTCTTGCCGAGCTTAATACAGTTTTGATTATAAGTTCCTAAAATAAGGGGGAAATAGTTAACGGCAATGACTGAGATTTCACTCATTCATTCTACAAATATTTATTAAGTGGTTATTAAAGCAGTCTTTGTTCTCATGTATGTACTTTCAATAAAGAGACCAATATTATTTATAAAAGTAGCTAAATAAATAAAAGTTTCTGAAATTTATAGCCAAAAGCATACGTTCAAAAAATAACATTTCTTCCTGATTAGAAGAGTGATAAAGGCAGGTAATTAAAGTAGAATTAATAGCTCATAGGTATGAAGATTTTTAAGATTTTGAGAAATATCATTAAAAGTCAGAACCAGATGGCTTCACCAGTGAATTCTACAAAATATTTCAAATAAAGAATTTAAGAAGAATCTTTCTCAAACATTTCCAAAATATTGAAGATGAGTGAATACTTCAAAACTCATTTTAAGAGGCCAGCACTACCCTGACATCAAAGTCAGACAAAGGCATTACCAGAAAAAAAAAATTAATTACAGGCCAATATCCTTGATGAATATAGATGCAAAAATCCTCAATAAAATACTAACAAACCAAATTCATCAGCACATTAAAAAGGTCACATGCCATAATTAAGTAGGATTTATCACTGTGATGCAAGGATGGTTCAACATATAGAAAGCAATAAAACTAATACATCATATTAACAGAACAAAGGATAAAAATCTTAATAGGTGAAGAAAAAGCACTTAAGTAGAATACATAGCTCAAAGGTATGAATATCCTTTCATAATAAAATATAAAATTTTTTTGCATGAAAAATACGACATCCTTTCATGATAAAAACTCAACAAATGAGGTTGTAACTCAACAAATGAAGTTGTATCGAAACATAACAAGCCCATAGATAACATCATAATCAACAGCGAAAAGCTGAAAGGTTTTACTTTAAGATTAGGAACAAGATAAAGATGCTCACTCTCGCCACTTCTATTCAACATAGTATTGGAAGTCCTAGCCAGAGCAATTAGGCAGAAAAAAGAAAAGGCATCCATTCTTCCTTTTACAACTGTCTCTGTCTACTGATGACATAATCTAATATATAAAAAACCCTACAGACTCCACCAAAAAACTGTTAGAACTAATAAAGTCAGTAGAGTAGCAGGAAACAAAACATACAAAAATCAGTTGTGTTTCTATACACTAACAGTGAACTATCTGAAAAAGAAACTAAGAAAATAATCCGATTTAACAATAGCATCGAAAACATCAAAATACTTAGGAATACGTATAACAAAAGAGGTAAAAGACCTGTACGCGGAAAACTATAAAACACTGAGGAAAGAAACAGAAAAAGACAGAAATAAATAGAAACATATCTGTGTCCACAGATTACAGAATTATTAAAATGTCCATATAATCCAAAGCAATCCTACTTCTGGGTATATATATCCAAAGGAAATGAAATTAGCATGTCAAAGAGATAAGTGTACTCCTATGTTCATTGCAGAATTATTTACAATAGCCAAGACATGGAAAAAACCTAAGTGTCCCTTGAAGGACTAATGGATAAAGAAAATGTGACACACCCACACACGTACATGAATACACATAAAATAGAATACCACTCAGCCTTTAAAAAGAAGGAAATCTTGTCATTTGTGACAATATGAATCAACCTGGAGGGCATGATGCTATGTGAAATATGTGAGGCACAGAAAGACAAATACTGCATGTTCTCACCTACATGTGGAATATAAAAAGTTGAAGTCTTGGAAGCAGAGAGTAGAACGGTAGTTAGCAGGGGCTAGGGAGTGGGTGAAACAGGAAAATAAGTAAAGGGTACAAAGTTTCAAATACGCAGGATGACTAAATTCTGGAGACTTAATGTACAGCATGGTGACTACAATTAACAGTGATTACAGGTACTGGTACTGTACACTTGAAACCTGCTAAGACAGTAGATCTTGGTTTCTTTTACTCCCTCTCACCAAAAAAAGATAGCCATGTGAGGTGATGGATATGTTATTTGGATTGATCTTTACCACACTGTATACGTGTTATCAAGACATCATATTGTACACCTTAAATATGTGAAATTTTTGTCAATTTTACCTCAATAAAGCTAAGGGAGAATATTCATCCTTAATAATTTGTAAAATATGACAATGAATTTTGAAACAAGTTAAAATATTAGTTAAAATTATGTAAATGAATAAAATATTCAAAGGGGAGAAAACGAAGAACAAATACAAGGGTAAAATATTGAAGTGGATGTATGTTTAGCAAACAGAGAAAACAAAATTAGTCTATTAAGGAGTCAGAATACTTAGGCAAGAAGTAAATCAAGATAGATTTGTGCAATAAAAGATAAAGAGACATTCAGAAAAGGACAGAAACATCAACAGGGTCAAATATTATAATGGCTCAGGAGAACAAGAATGCCATTAGATTTGATGATTAAGAATTTTGTTCATTGGTTTAAAAAATCATTCATACATTCATTCAATAAGCATTTGTCAGTCATACAACGTAAGTTCCTTAAGTCATATACAATGTAAGTTCCTTAAGAGGATCAACCTTCAACTTTGTAAACTCAGCACCTAGTCCAATTGATAGGAATTTGAGCTTTCTATGTAATATAGTCTGTCTTAAGGGCTGGAGACAAGAAGTTAGCTAAGACACTGTACTTATCCTTAAGAAGTTTACAGTCCAGGGAGAGAGAGAGATTTGTAAACAAACAATTAAAATACAGGATCATGTAATATAAAATATGCAGGCAAATCCATAAAGACAGAACATAAATCTGAGTTACCAAGAGTTTGGGGTAGGGAGATGTATACGAGCGTTTCTTTGGTGATGACGAAAATGTTCTAATATTGACTGTGATGATGGTTGCACAATTCTGTGACTATACTAAACATTATTAAATGAGTGAACTGTAAAAACAAAAAAATCAAACAAGGTGATATGTACAAAGTTCTGTGTGAGCAAACAGCTCATCTGAGAAGTCATAAAAGACTTCACAAAGGGGTCTTAGATAAACAGGATTTTGAAAGACAAAGTCAGGAATTATATTCTATGTGTTTGGGGTGATAAAGAGAGGCAAGAAGAGGAGAGCAGAATTATACATACATGACACTTTAGTAGGAGAAAATAGTTTTTCCAAAGCATAGAACCAAGAAACACCATGGTAAGTTCCATGTGGCTGTAGTTTATAGAGTATATGGAATCTGATTTTGGTGAAAATGTAAAAATCGAATGATAACCATGGTGTGTAACTTCCCCTTTAAATCTTCATTTTCTGACTAAGAACAGTGATTACTTTTTGCTTTCTTCATTATTATTAGAATTGGCCCTAATTTTGGAGATTTGTTTTTCATACAAAAAAATTTATCTTACTTTGGAGATTTGTTGTTGTTTTTAATCACTTCTGCCATTACTGCCTACACAAGGGCCAACAGAGAACAAGGCCACTCTGAAATGCAGATGCGGATAGTATATAGTAGGCGAGGCTAACCCCTAACTCACTCAAAACTGCATTAATAAATTAAAACTACAACTCATCCTTGGCCTTCAAAATCTCCTGAATAAAAGAAACCATAGCTGCTGATGTGCTGATGTACCTTCAGAACAGTAAAAAACAAAACAAAACAAAAAAAGCCATAGCTATTACATCTTTGAAGGGCAAGGGTCAATTTATATAGTTTTTTGTGTGTCACTGGAAATTTGCATTGATTTTATATGTAAGTCAAGTTCACTTGTTTAACAAATGATTTCCTTTTTTGGGGGGGGGGTGGGACAAGGTCTTGCTCTGTCACGCAGGCTGGAGTGCGGTGGCACAACCATGGCATAAGTGCTCTTCCCACCTCAGCCTCCCAGTAGCTGGGACCACAGGTGTGTGCAACCATGCCCAGCTAATTTTTTATTTTTTGTAGAGACAAGGTCTCCCTATGTTTCCCAGGCTGGTCTTGAACTCCTGGACTCAAGCAATCCTCCCACCTTGGCTAGGATTAAAGGCATGAGCCACCATACCTGGCCTAAAAATTGATTTCTGAGTATATACCAGGTATCAAACAGTATGTTAGGGTACGATGATATAGCAAAAAGACCTTGTGGTATATATATATCTAAAGTAGAAGTCAGACATTGAACACGTAATTACAAGTATAATAAACGTAACAAAGAGATATATGGATGCTATAGAAAGTGTATGCAACATTCCTAACATAAACTGGACTTTTTAAAACTTGAGAAAAAGCAAGTTTTAAAAAAAACAAAAACAAAAAAAAAAACACATCTGCTTAGCCCCTGAGGAGCTATGTCTCCTCTCTCTCAACACTTCTAATTCTAGGGACCAATTCAGGTCACATACAAAGACCATCTGGCAATTACTGTGACAAGCACAACTTCTCAGGACTGTTAAACCCTTGGGAATTTTTTTTTTTTTTTTTTTTGAGACGGAGTCTCGCTCTGTTACCCAGGCTGGAGTGCAGTGGCGCAATCTCGGCTCACTGCAAGCTCCACCTCCTGGGTTCACGCCATTCTCCTGCCTCAGCCTCCCGAGTAGCTGGGACTACACGCGCCCGCCACCATGCCCGGCTAATTTTTTTTGTATTTTTAGTAGAGATAGGGTTTCACCGTGTTAGCCAGGATGGTCTCAATCTCCTGACCTCGTGATCTGCCCGCCTCGGCCTCCCAAAGTGCTGGGATTACAGGTGTGAGCCACTGCGCCCAGCTGGGAATTTATCATACATAGGCATTCAGTTAAGTAAGGACAGGTCTCAGTAAGACACAGGTCTTAACTTATTGATGGAATTATTTATCAACAGGCACCTTGCTGGGCTCAGAGCACTGACTGCTTTTCTACCAGAAAACATTTTGAAGACTTATAAACAACAAGGGTGATCTGGTATGTCTTCTCCTAACTGGACACAATTGTCTTTTTTTTAAGGATTAATATCTGTGGTAAGTTCCACTGGCAACTGTATAGTCACATTTATTTTGCACCATCTACTGTTCAAGCCCCTAAATGCCTCTGGTACATGGGATCTCCATCCCAACTCCATAGTTTCCTAGAGCAGTACAGAGTTTTCCATTACTATGTTTGACTCATCACACTGAGAAACTGGGAGAAGGAGAGAGTCTAATATGCAGGTTTACTTTACCATCTTAATCTCAGAAGCTTTACATTAGTAGCATAGTATCTGGCTCATGGGGTATTTCAATAAATGTTCAGTAAGTGAATGAATCCTAACAGGTAGACATGTGAGTAGGTTCAATAACAAGAAAAAGGTTCTAAAGCAGTTTTAAACACAAAAAAGGATATGCTCCAAATGAACATTCAAGCCTTTGTGTCTGGAGGATATGGCTAATGTTCTTTAACAATTGTGTGGATTTCAAAAAGAAAAGAAAGAATACAAATTTTATTGCATATACTTTATGATTATAAAATCATTTAAGTGCTAAAAATTAGCATCTCATTTCTTACCTTAACATCTGTAAACTGAGACACAGCAACATCAGGAATGTTGGGATGAAGAGAAGGCAGTTCACAATATAAGTTGGGAAAGCAAACCAAAGATCCCAGAAGAACTTGTGCTTCTACTCTTGGTGCCTATGTATCACATTTTTAAAAAGTTTAAAAATATATTGGTGTTATGAAATTATCAGAAAAGTTGCTTTGTTATCCAACTACATTAGACAGGGAAGTGATACATAAAACAAAATTTAAAAAGGAAAGGGAAAACACAAAAAGATTTAAGTTTCCATTTATACTTTCCACATAAACTACTGTTATTGTTAATAAATGCAATAAACAAGTAGCAGAGCTTTCCTCAAATCAGCCACAGTTAATAAGACTGTAAAAACAAATATACCTTATCTACAAGCATCAATTCACCCTAATAAGTAAAAATATAAATAATTTTAAAGGTAACTCACACATTGTGACATATTGTTCTAATAAGCTGATGACTTAATTTCACTAGATTATATTTATTACCAAGGATGAATAAAGAAGAAAAAGCATTAACTATATGAAAGAGGAACCAATCTAGATGGCTTTTATGATATTATGCACATAAGAAAAGCATTGCCTATACCACTTACTAGAAGCAACATTAGAATTTGTCTGGACTGCCAATGAAGGTAACTTTTCATCTTTTTTCCTTAGCTGTATTTAGCCATTTCTGAAGTATCAACACTGAACATTTCTTTTTTCTCTTCTGCCTTCTTACATGCCCACCAAACATCAACATCTTCCTACTAATATATTGTTTTATTTACTAAAACATCTGCAAATTGATTTATATGTTTAATAATACCTAACAAAAATGCTAAGCACAAATCTATTAGAAATATAATACTTCTATTCACATAAATTAAGAACCAACCTCCAAGAGGATTTCCACATCTGAATAAATACTGTAATAGAGGCAATGGTGTAATACTCTATTATATGATTTTCAACAAAACAACTCATTTCCAGATTTAAAAACAATGTGGATTTAAAGATACAAGGCAGCAGTATAAAAGGGCAGGGTGAACTCATATCTACCGTTCCAATTTAAAATAAAAATTATTGTATAAAAATGAAACTGATCTTAAAAATCAGTATTTAATGAAAGAGATTAGCTGAGAGTTTTTCTGTATAGGTAGATGAGGTAACTGGGAATATTCAGGTATGTGCACATAATGGGAGCAGACCTGGAATGTGATCATAATTAAGAAAGGCAAAACCAAATCAATTATTCTATTATCTGCTTAAGGAGGTGGGGGGCAGACGGCATTAACAGAAGGGAGATGATATGAATGAAATCTAAAATAAGAATACAACGAGCAAGAATTGGACTAGGTGTTTCCTCCTTTTTTTTTTTTTCTTGAGAAGGAGTTTCACTCTGTCGTGCAGGCTGGAGTACAGTGGCACAATCTCAGCTCACTGCAACCTCCACCTCCCAGGGTCAAATGATCCTCCCATCTCTCCCATCTCAGACTCCTGAGTAGCTGGGATTACAGGTGCGTGCCACCACTACCAGAAAAAATTTTAAAGACTTATAAACAACAAGGGTCATCTAGCATGTCTGCTCCTAACTGGACACAATTATCTTTTTTTTTTAAGGATTAATATCTGTGGTAGGTTCCACTGGCAACTGTATAGTCACATTTATTCTGCACCATCTACTGTTCAAGCCCCTTAATGTCTCAGGTACATGGGATCTCTATCCCAACTTCATAGTTAATTTTTGTATTTGTAGTAGAGATGGAGTTTCACCATGTTGGCCAGGCTGGTCTCAAACTCCTGACCTCAAGTGATCTGCCTGTGTCAGTCTCCCAAAGTGTTGGGATTACAGGTGTGAGCCACCATGCCCAGCCTGGACTGGGTATTTCCAACACCATCAGAGGAAATGACTTGTTTTAACCTTATTGTGGAGATATGTTAGGCTTGATTCTTGCAATGATTTGGTTTCCTATGCAGCCTTTCTCAACAGGTATCCCTCATATGAACCAGAAAATGCAAAAAATGACTATATTCTACATTTTCTCAAGGATGTTACATAATGCATAGTATTAGATACACAAAGGAGAAATTAGTCATTTCAAATGGATTAGTTACATAAAATAGATGCCTTATGACATTAGGGCTTAATTCTCTTACAGAATCTTGAAAAAAGCTGCAGGAAATGTGCTGACTAGTCATCTGGAATACCCCATTGAACAGTAATAGTTTTCACAGTAAATTAATAAAAAATGACATTGGTTTATATATTGGAATCTTCTGAATTCTATCAACTTTTGCTAGTATCCAAGAGATTTATAGTCTAAGTACTCTGATTGTACTATAACCCTGTGACTTGTTTACCATCTCTAGTTTGTCTTCCATTAATTTACTCCCAGATTAATACTTATTTAATGATCTCAAAGGATGGATTCAATCATTTCTCTAACTACTTTAAAAAAACTTAACTGTGGCCAGGCGCGGTGGCTCATGCCGGTAATTCCAGCACTTTGGGAGGCTGAGGCGGGCGGATCACGAGATCAACAGTTCGAGACCATCCTGGCCAACATGGTAAAACCCCAACTCTAGTAAAAATACAAAAATTAACTGGGCATGGTGGCGCACCTGTAGTCCCAGCTACTCGGGAGGCTGAGGCAGGAGAATCGCTTGAACCCGGGAGGCGGAAGTTACAGTGAGCTGAGATCGTGCCACTGAACTCCAGTCTAGCGACAGAGCGAGACTCCATCTCAAACAACAACAACAACAACAAAACTTAACTGTTTATCTAATATAGCATTATAATCTGATTCCTGGCATTCAAGGCCTTTCCAAAACGTAGTCTAAAGCAGTGCTTCTCAATCTTTAATGATTTTGCCACTTACTTGTGATCTAGTTAAAATGCAGATTCTGATTCAGTAAGTAGGTCCAGGATGGGGTCTGAGATTCTGCATTACTAATAAGCACCCAGATCATGCCAAAAGTTTCTGGTGTGCAGATCACACTTTGGGTAGCAAAGATCTAAAGTACCTTTCTAAGGGGACCTTCACACACTGTTGGTGGGAATGTAAATTAGTATAGCTGCTATGGAGAACAGTAAGGAGGTTCCTCGAAAAATCAAAAATAGAACTTCCATATGATCCAGCAATTCCACAATTGGATATACATACAAAGGAAAGGAAATCAAGATATCAAAAAGATACCTGCACTCTTGTGTTTACCACACACTATTCACAACAGCCAAGACATGGACTCAACCTACATGCCCATCAACAAATGAATGGATAAAGAAAATGTGGTACTTATACACAATGAAACATTAGCCATGAAAAAGAACAAAATCCTGTCATCTGCAGCAACATGGGTAGAACTGGAGAACATTATGTTAACTGAAATAAGCCAAGCACAGAAAGACAAATGCCACATGTTCTCTTTCATATGTGGGAGCTAAAGTGGATTTCATGAAGATAATAGATTGGTGGTTACCAGAGGCCCGGAAGCAGGGAAAGGAGGAAAGAAGGGGGAAAAAAATAATACAAATGTATTTAAAATGTAAGGCTGGGCATGGTGGCTCACGCCTGTAATCCTAGGACTTTGGGAGGCTGAGGTGGGCAGATCACCTAAGGTCAGGAGTTCAAGACCAGCCTGGCCAAAATGGTGAAACCTCGTCTCTGCCAAAAATACAAAAATTAGCCTGGCATGATGGCGCGGGCCTGTAGCCCCAGCTATTCGGGAGGCTGAGGCAAAAGAATCACTTGAACCTGGGAGGCAGAGATTGCAGTGAGCCAAGATCGCATTACTGCACTCCAGTCCGAGTGACAGAGACAGATTTTGTCTCAAAAAAAAAAAAAATGTACATTAAAAAATGATAGCTCAGGTGCTCATGACTGTAATCCCAGCACCTTACAAGGCCAAGGCAGGGAGGATTACTTGAGCCCAGGAATTCAAGACCAGCCTGGGCAACATGGTGAGACCCTGTTTCTACAAAAAGTTAAAAACATTACCAGATATGGTGCCTGGGACTCTAGGTGTGTGCCTATAGTCTCAGCTACTTGGGATCTGTTGTGGGAGGATTGCTTAAGCCCAGGAGGTAAAGGCTGCAGTGAGCCTCGATTGTGCCACTGCACTCCAATCTGTGCTACAGAGCAAGACCCTGATATCTCAAAAACAAAACAAAACAAAACAAAATAAAAATTGAAATGATAAAAATGGTAAATTAGATATGTATACTTTATCTCAATGATTTTTTTTTTAAATAAAGTACCTTTCAATTCTTTTTGCCTATTACACTCTTACAGATTAACTAGCTCCTAAACAAAATGGATTATTTGTCATTCCTTGAACACATCTCACTCATGCCTGTTTACCTCTGCCTGGAACACTGTCTCTCATCTCCATTTTTACTTAAACAAATACTACTAATCTTTCAGGGACATATTTATGTATATTTTCCATGAAACCTCCATGATATCCCTAAACAAATAAGATCTCTCCATTCTCTGAATCACCAAATAATTTTAACAAACTCTTACATTGCACATATAACGTGTCACATAGTGTTCCAACCATGTTACAAATCCTTATAAAATAATCCTATACGGCAGGTTATCTTTCTTTATTTTTTTTTGAGACTGAGTTTCGCTCTTGTTGCCCAGGCTGGAGTGCAATGGTGCGATCTCGGCTCACTGCAAACTCTGCCTCCTGGGTTCAAGCGATTCTCCTGTGTCAGCCTCCCCAGTAGCTGGGATTACAGGCATGTGCCACCAGGCCCAGCTAATTTTGTATTTTTAGTAGAGATGGGGTTTCTCCATGTTGGTCAGACTAGTCTTGAACTCCTGACCTCAGGTGATCCACCCGCCTCAGCCTCCCAAAGTGCTGGGAGTACAGGTGTGAACCACCATGCCTGGCCATCTTTATTTTATAGATGAAGAAACTGAGACACAGAGACATTCAGTAACTTGCCCAAGGTCACACAGCTAATAAGTGGCAGAGCCAGGATTTGAACCCAAGCAGGTCAGCTCTAGACAATGCTTTTAACTACTATGATGTGCTCCTCCTATTGGTATCTATTTGATGCCCAACATTCTGTAGTTGTTAATATACTTCTCCAAATCCCCAGCAGTAGACATTATGTTGCTTGAGCACAAAGTATTATCCAGTTTATTCTATATCCCTCTGTATTCCACCTACAAAAACATTCTGTACGCAAGGGGAGGGGGAAGTTTAATAACCACAAAAGGGCTCAGTACAATGTTGAGTAGTACTAGGTGCTAAATGAACACATATTCAATAACTGACCAAGCATGGTGCTATGCTAGGCTCCGGAGATACCAAGATGAGTAAGACATGATTACTGTTCTCAGGGAACTGGAAAAACAGGGTTATACAGCTATAAATACCGCTGCTGCTTTGTCTGTTTACACTAGGTGACTGTATCCACTTTCATGGCTTTAAATATCATCTATAAGCTAATGTTGCCCAGCTTTTATTTTCAGTCCTGACATGTCCCTTGAGTATATGCAATTATTCTTCTGACATCTTCCTCATGGATGTCTAATACACATCTTACTAGGCCCCAAATAGAACTCCTTCTATTCACTATTGATCTTTCACTCTTGCAGCTAAACAATGAAATAAGGTATGTTAAACTGCTCTTCAAGTTATACAGTACTAGACAAGTATGTTTTTCTCACAAAAACTCTTAGTTTTTTACAGTAGACTTCCAGTTAATTATTATTTTTCATTTACACTTTGCTCCAGAGTGATCCTTCCAAAATATGAATTTGATCATGTCACTCCTTGCTTAAAATCCTTCAATGGTTACTCATTCCTTCCTTAGGCTTCTATCTAATGTTTTCAGCATTATTGCCTTCCTCTCTAGCTCACCTCTGCCATTTATGGATGAACATATTCCATTTATACTGATTTACTTAGCATTGTCTCACAGTTCCACGACCATATGAAAAAATCTTCACATGCAATTTGAGAGTTTACTCCTGGCTGGGCACGGTGGCTCACGCCTGTAATCCCAGCACTTTGGGAGGCTGAGGCGGGCAGATCACAAGGTCAGGAGTTCGAGACCAGCCTGACCAACATGGTGAAACCCCGTCACTACTAAAAATAGAAAAATTAGCTGGGTGTGGTGGTGCCTGCCTGTAATCCCAGCTATTGAAGAGGCTGAGGCAGGAGAATCACTTGGACCTGTGAGGCGGAGGCTGCAGTGAGCCAAGATCGCACCACTGCACTCCAGCCTGGGCGACAGAGTAAGACTTCCATCTCAAAAAAAAAAAAAGAGAGAGAGAGAGTTTGCTCCTAGGACATATGTCCTTCTATGGTGGATGCCTTACCAAGTTTCTTTTTTTTAATTTTTAAATATATAATTGTTAAAGACAATATATATTCAGGGTGTACAACACGATGATTTGATACACACATACACTGTGTAATGATGACTCACCATTGTTTCTTACCTCTTGCTATAGCCCATTGCTCTTTCTTTGCTTTCTTCCCTCCGTTTCTTTAGATTTCCTCAACTTTAAATCCTGTTCTGCTTATCAGATTTTACTGATTTTAGTGCTTTCTTATATTTCAGATTTCTTGCTTACTTTTTTTAATGTAGGAGAAGCAATCAATTCCAATTAAATTGCAAAATTTCCTGATTATCAGCTTGTTATGTTTTATCAACTTTGTTAGTTGAATCCTGGCTAAAGTTTGTTATATGATAAGGAACAGGAAATGACTTACATTGAGAAAAGCTGAAGAAGCCACTCTACCAGCTGCTACAATAAAATCCATAATAAGCATTGTGGCACCAGGCAAACCAAGTGAAAAAAATTGAGGTGAGCAGTGTTTGATGATTGTATTGACAATATCCTTAGAATAAGGAAAGAAGGAAAAAAGAATATCACATATGTAATCTTGAGTATCAGCTAATCAGTATCATTAAAAATAGATAACATATGAAATAATAAAAAAGGTAATTACTGTACATTGGCTAACTGGAAAGACTAATTTCAATTCTTCCAAATAATCCATGCTTAATATTATATTCTATCAATGGAAAGTAAACTGAAAATACATTCATTTAACTGGCATAAATAACAGCATTTTTTTCACACTAGAGATTAAGGAAGGCTCTTTGCTTCACAAGGTTAAAAGTACAAGGCCCACACAATGTAAAACTAAACTGCATAGCAGTTTTCTCCTGTCACCTAGTTGCTTCTGTGCAATAACTCTCATTTCTGAATCCACATGACCCGTTACGTGACAATTGGAAAGATTCTCTTTTTAAAATAAACTGAAGTCCTTTAATGATAGGTATCAAGCCTCAGAAATCTAGACCTAGGCACTTTTAAGGGAATGTTCCTAACTTCATTATTCATTTACTTTGCCTTTGGAATTTACTATGAGGATACAGTGTATTCAGTTGTATTATTCATTACAACTTATCTTAAACAAAAGCTCTCTTCTTCTAATAATTAAGAGAGTCATTTTACTTGAGACATGTTTACAAGGTAGCACACTAATTTTAAATTAATGCAAAAATTTTACATTTTTCAGAAAGATATTATCTTTTAATATTAATATACTCTGTAAATGACCTACGAGTTCATCATATTAGGATAAACATATTTACATTATTCTGACTTGCAACCTCCTACACTTGTTAGTTTAT